>NC_000010.11:97567337-97870368 GCF_000001405.40 Homo sapiens | reverse complement strand
ACATGGTGCATATGCATTTTTGTGTCTGGCTGCTTCTGTGGAACCATAAACTTCTTATTCAGGTCTCAGGCATTTTCAGAGGTGTATTAAAGGCTTATAGGCTATAGGTACTGTCAAAACCAGGGATTCTCAGCCTTACCTTCACATTAAAATCACCAGGGAAACTCTTTAAAATCCTGATGCCCAAGCTGTCCCCCAAAACAATTAAATCAGAATCTCTGAGGATAGGATCAGGCATTGGTGATTTTTCATGCTTCCAGTTGACATCCATTGCCACCAAGGTTGAACGCCTCGGGTCTAAACAACTCTGTGAGATATTAGTCTCCCTATTTAACAACTGGGGAATCTGAGGCTCCAAGAGTCTTCATGTGTCAGTGTCATGAAGCCAGAGCTCAAATTCAGATCTGATGTGGAGTGGTGTTTGCCTTGCCTTATCCCTGGGTGAATGGTAAAGCCCAAACCAGGTGGTGATGCCTCCTGTCTGGGCCCCCCTCATTGTGAGTCCTTCTAGAGGTGTGGAGAGGGATGTGGAGTTTCCCAGGCTCGACAGCCCAGGGGCTGGCCCTAGGGAGAAAGTCACCAGACTCCACCTTTGCCCCACACCTCTGGAAGCCACAGAAAAGTCCCTGCGGGTGGCAGTGGCTGCCAACCGGGGAGCCGTGGGGGACGTGTCACAACAGCCATAGTTCTTTCTGTCTCCACCTTTGATTCCCCGAGTGCAGTGCATAATCCTGCCACTCAGTGGCACCTCGAGCTTCTGTAAACCCTGTGGTTTCACACACACCCGCCCTGTGGCCAAAGGAAGGAAGCCAGACAGCAGGGTGCTGGCGCAGGGAGAGGAGCATGTGCAGCAGGAGCTTCCTGAGGCATGCCTGAGTGGCTGGGGCCTCACTTGGGACCTCGGGGACAGTCTGGCTGAGGCTGGAGCTGCTCCTGGGTCTTGATGGGGCCTGTCCCTGGCTGGCAAGGTGGGTGCAGGGACATGGCTACAGCCAGACCCCGGAGAGACAGGCCACCACCTGTAACTAAGCCAGCAGAGAGAAACCACACCTCCCCAGGCCCACAGTGAGTCGAGTCCCCCACTACCCTTCACCGGGCTGCCTCTGGGTCCCGCATGCCTGCGAGCACAGCCCATGCACCCTCCCGTGATGCCCTGGAAGTGGAGGTGCCAGCCCGGCCTCAAAACCCAGGCATGGCTCCAAGTCCTTCCCTGGGAATCTGCCTGATCCTAATCCCAGGACGGCTGAGGCCCTCAAGCTGTTAAGCGGCCTCTGAGGCTGGATCTGTCTTCTTCCTTGCAGTTTGGAGTCAGATTGCCTAGATTCAAAGCCAAGATCTGCAATTTCCCAGTTACTTAACGTCCATGAGCCTCAGTTTCCCCATATGTAAAATGGGAAATAAGAATCCATGCCATAGAGGGTTGCTGTGAGAATTGAATGACTAATTATGTAGAGTCTTAGCCTAGTGCCTGGCACATAGGAAGTGCTAAATAAACGTCAGCTACTATTATTATTATGATTACCATTTGAAAATGGAAGGGTTGAATGCCTCTCAGTCAGATAAGCACCCAGATTTGGTTTTACCCGTTTAGTAAATCCTCACCCCCTCCCCAGGACCTCATCTCTAGAAGAGCTGAGTTTGGATTCAAATCTGGCCTCGGGGTAGAACAAACTTCCTATCCCAAAACAGAATGAACCTGCCCTCATATTAGAGAACACGCTCACTTGTGGCAACCCACACACGGCCCAGGTTCCAGCAGAGGGAGTGAGTCCAGGCTGCACACAGCTCACTGCAGCCCTTAGCGGCAGTGACAACAAACATGAGAACCACCCAGAGGGGACTGCCCAGCCCCCACCTAAGAGGCTGGAGCCGTTGTCCCCACAGTCTGATGAGCCCCTCTCTGGGAACAGGCCTGAGTTTGTGATCCCAGCCTCCCTGCAGCCTCAGGCAGCTTCCCATCTGGGTGCCATCCCTGTGGTAACAGAGTGGGCACTGAGTCAGGAGACCTGGGTTCCAAGCTTGGGCCCTGTTATCATCAACCAGCTGTGTGGCCTAGGGCAAGTCACCCACCCTCTCTGGACCTCTGTGACAGGATTCAAGTGATCTTTAAATCCCCTGCCAGCTCTAACATATGGTTTCAGCAAAGTATCTGGCACATAGTAGGTGCTCAATAAATTATAAAATTCAAGACACAACTCTGCTAGGTTCCAACATCCAGCTACTTTCTCCATATTTGATCTTGGCCAAAAGGCCGAGAAGTGATCATCCAGCTACTTTCTCATCTTCAGTACTGAGTGACCTGTGTGATCCAGCTCCCAACAGGACCCAACCCAGGGGAAGAGCTCAAGAAATGAGGATTTATTGATATCATTAATTGATTACTTTTGGCCTCGCTTTCAGTCCAACCTGTTCCCCCACCCAAGGCTACAAGTGCCCCAAAGATTCCAGATTAGAGATGCTGAGGTGTCTGCCTCTTCAGTAGACTGCAAGCTCCAAGAAGACAGAGTTCATCCTGCTCCCCATGTCAGGTCCAGTTCAGGCAGCTGAGTATCCCCTCATGTGGTCCTGGAGCATAGAACTGACCCTCCATCGTCACGGGGCAGAGAAAGCATCACAGAGCTTCACGCTGGGCAAGTTCTTTTATTGGAAAAAGAAAAAAAAAAAAAAGGCCATAGCACTGCCTGTGCCCAGCCCTCCCATGGGAGATGCACAGGTCAGACACAATGCCCAGCCCCACAGGGGCCCAGGGAGGGCATAGGCCGTGGCCAGGGGCTGCGGTGGAGCCCACTGAACTGCGGCTCTCCAGGGGGATCCTTGGACCAGGACTCACTTGGGCCGAGGACTTCCTGAGGCTGCAAGGACTAGGCTGACTCTCTCTGGTCTCTGGGTAGGCCCTTGTATCCTACATGCTGCTCCCATGTCTGGTAGAAAAGCAGGCCTCTCTTTGACTCCAGAGAGCTACCTCCAGTGGCTGGTCTTGCACATCCACTTCTAACACCTCCCGCCAACTGAGATAGGCAGCCCCCTTCATTTCATCTTCGGGACACCAGCCCCAGGGGCTGCTCCCATCCCACCTGCTCCTCTGGGCCTCAGAAGCCGGGCATCATTGGCTGGACATCTCCTTTCCTTGCAAGGAGGGAGTTTGCCTTTCCCCTGCAGGCTGCTGGCACCTTTGAAGGTCCATGGAAACCTCACCTACAAAGCCTTAAAGAGCCCCAGCCCCTGGGCAGGCTGAACACACAGTGTCTGCAGCCCCGTTGTCTTGTCATGGGGAGCTGAGAGGGGGCACCAAAGGCCACCAAAGTTTGGCTCTTCTTTCCTAGAACCCCGGCTTCTCTTCCACTAGAACATATGCAGTAGAGTATGTTCCCTGGTAGCCCTAGGGGAGGGGCAAGGGGCTTTTGGACATTTACTTACAGGGGGTCAGGCTGGACCCACACAGGGAAGAAGTCACAGACCCTCAGGTAGCGAAGACAGCAGGATGCAGAGAAGCAGTCGTTGGCCTGGCAGCCAAGGGGAACACACAAACACACTCACACACACATGCACTCACCTGCATACACACACACTCATACACATGAACACTCATACACACATGCTTGTGCACACATGTTCATGCACATGCATGCACTCACACTCATATAAATGCACATTTGTGCACACGTGTGTGCACATGTACTCAGACACACACAGGTGTGCTTATAAATGTGTCCACATTCATACACTTGTGCACTGGTGCACACACATGCGCTCACACACGCGCTCACATACAGGCATGCTAACACACGCAGACTCACACATTTACGCACACTGCACTTACACACATGTGCACTCACACATACATTCACATGTGCATACACACAGGTTCTAATCTCAGGAAACTGGCTGTAGTTCAGGAGATTCAGGCCCCGCATGGCTATGTCTCTTCACGGAGTTTCCCAGACCCCCATATTACCTCCCAGAGCCCCAGGCTCTGTGCCCCCCAACCAGCACCTGGCAGCCTGCAAAGTCTCAAAGTTGGATGCTTCTCGCAAGGCCGAGCTGGCCTCTAGCTCTGAATGCAGGACAGGAAAGCCATAGGTCTAGAAGAGGTCAGGAGTGCGCTGAACAGCTCCCAACCACGGCACCCGTCTCCCCACACCTTGAATTTGGTGGAGGCAGGATCATAGACAGGCCGGGGCCCTGCAGGGGCATGAGAAGGAACAGATACTGGGAGACAGCCACGGGACGCAGGGCCCAAGGGAAAGAGTCCTGGTGGATATGGGTTTGGGATGAGGGGTCATGCAGTGTGGGAGTCCTCTATGTGGCAGGCCTCGGCCCCCCTCGCAGGGTTGGGAGAGGGGCTGTGGAAGAGAGGGGCCGCCTAGGTTGTGTTCTCCCCACCCCAGCCTTCCTAGGAAGATCTGTCTCTGTGTGGCCCAGACCAGCCCCATCGGGAAGGAAAAGCCCCCAGGTCAGGAAATGGACTGATCCAGACGGGGGTGAGGGACAGGGGGCATAGGTTGATGGCCCACAGGAAATATGAGGCCCGTCACCCTCCCTCCCACCCCGGGCAGCAGGGTGAGCCCAAAGAATGACTCAGAAGCGGGTGCTCTGGTAGCGCAGCCGCCGCAGGTCTGCAAGGCCCTCACTCCGGCCATACACCTCCCTACAGGGACTCTCGGCCAGTCACCGGGCCCCCGCCCCACCACCCCCACCGCTGCTGCTGCCACTGCCGCTGCTGCTGCCGCTGCTGGAGCTGCCACTGCTGCACCGGTCCTCGTAGATGGAGATCTCAATCTGGGGTCGGTGGTTAAGGAGAGCTGCGAGCCCAGCTGCTGAGCAGGGGTGGGACATGAACCAGCGGATGGAGTCCAGCAGGGGAGTGGGAAAGTGGGCTTGTGCTGCTGCCTAGACAGTAGGGATGTAAAGGCCTGGGAGCTAGACCCTCCCCAAGCCCATCCATGCACATTACTTAGCTAACAATTAGGGAGACTCGTAAGGCCAGGCCCTGTGCTGGGCACATAGCTGTGATCACAGCAGACAGGGTCGCTGCCCTGATGGCGCTTACATTCCAGTGGGTCTAATGACCATATCTTAGGACACAGATGTGCCCAGGGAGGTGGTGTCACTGCACAGGAAGTATGAGGACTTTAGTGTCCTGAGTTCAAATCCTGATTCAGGAACTCACAAAGCTATGTGACCTTACACCAGTCACTTAACTTGTTAGCCATCCATTATCGCATCTGCAAAATGGGGATTAAGAATAGAATCTTGGGGTTAGTGTGGAGATTAGATTAAATGTATGTAAGACACTTGGCACAAAACCTGGCACATAGTAAAGGCTCAATAAAAACAAGTGCCTCTCACTGGGCTTTGTCAACACGTGATTCTGGGTGTTTGTGGTTTTTTGACTCTGTTTCTCCTCAGTTTTCCAGTAAACCTTATTTTTTAGCAATTCTACTCGTGTTGCTGCTGCCCGGGGGGAGGGATTTGTGCACACCCAGATCACACTATTCCAAGTGGAGATAAAGTCAGCAGAACCACGCCCCACCCCCGTCCAGCCTCTCACCAGGACTGAGACCTTGGGGTAGTCACATCATTCTAGACCTCATGTCTCTCATCTGTGAAAGGAGGACAATGCGACCTGCCACGGGAGATTCCATGAGGATTGCATGAGACTGTGGACCTGTAAATGAATGTGGTGATTTGCATATTCCTGGAGGGGTCTTTGTAGTTAAGGGTGAGCCTGGGTGCAATTCCTGGCTCCCACATTCACCAGCTGCACGACTCTAAGCAGGTTGCTGGGAATAATCAGAGCAACCCACCTGGTAAGATTGTTATGAGAAGTACATGAATTCGTATTTTCAAAGCACTTCACATGATAGCTGGCATATTCTAAGCACTGATTACATGCAGCCCAACAAGTGCAAATCCTGAAACTCACAAAGCCTCCAATAACTTAGGGTGGTGGAGGAGGGCTGAGGACCACTGATGTGGGGAATCCTGGGAAAACCTGAGTGGAGGCCCCTAAGGTGGCCTCGTTTCCTGGCAGCCTCACCAGGATCTCTACTGGTTAGCAGTCCTGTGCCCTCAACACAGAATAGCCCAGAAGGATACAACCCTCATCCCACGCTCCACAGGGTCTGTAAGTAGGAGGCCTCGAGGTGCAAAGATCTTCTCATTCTGCTCCTGGATGTAGCGGGAAATCTTCTTGAGAACCTGCAAAAAGAGGAGCCAGACAAGGATGAGCATGCCACAGGGCAGCCCTGAGGGAAGGGATGCACGGTGGGGCGGGAGGGGCCACCTTCTCATAGTGGGTCTCCATGCAGAGGAAGATGAAGTAGGCCGTGGCGCAGGCCAGGCAGCCCTCGAGGTAGGAGCTGCCCCCAATCTTCTCAGCCTCTGCGTAAAATCCGTTGAGGGTCTTCACAGTCTCTTCAAAGAGCTGCCGCTCGATCTGGAGAAAGGGACAGAGCCAGGCTGCGGTTAGCCTCCCTGGAGTGTGCACAGTCACAGGTAGGGCTGGAAGTGACAATGGTGGGGCCATGTAGATGGGGAAGATGACATTGGCACACAGGCAAGACCAAAGAGGCTGCAGGCAGAGCCGAAAGAGCACTGGCCTGGGAGTCAGGAGACTGGGGGGGCCAGTCCAGACTTGGCCATCAACTAACTGGCTGAGTGACATTGAACTAGCAGCTTAACCATCTAGGCTTCAGTTTCCTCATCTATAAAATGGGAATAAGAATGGCTGCTTGTCCTCCCTTGGAAACAGGAAATTCCCATGATATCCTAGATGTTTTCTGCAGAAGATCAAACGAGTATTCTAGTGACTTTGACACGTCCCATCTTGCTGGTTGTGAGAGAGCTCAGGACTAGATTCATAGGGGCTCTCCATGTTTGGATGGGACTGCATGAGACTGCTTCAGTGAGACCTCAGGGGCATCTCTCCAGGAAGGGGCATTTCCTTCTAGCTCAGAGGTCACCCACAACACCACCACCCTGTGTGTTTGGACACCTGAGAAGCTGTCCTGCCCGTATCCATAATAGGAATGGCTAATATGTATTAAGCACTTTCTGTGTGCCAGGAAATGCACTCTTTCATTTAACTCTCAGAACAATTCTATCAGAAAAGTACTACTGCCATCCCCATTTTACAGGTGAGGACTGCTCTGTGGTCCTAAGACCACGCGGACCACGAACTGCTCTGTGGTTCCAGCTGCCACCGTCTCTGGCCCCTTCACTGGCCTCCCTGCCCCTGCTCCTGCCCTAACTTCCAGTTAAAGTCAGATTATGTCACAGCTGTGATCAAGAGCTCCCACAATCTTCCCATCTCTCTGCAAGTTAAATCCAAGAAGTCCTTACAATGCCCGCTAGGCCCTCCATGGCCCGACCCTGCTACCCCTGGGCCCGTCTCCTCCTCTCCTCTTCACTCAGTACCCCTGCTTCTTGAAATTTCCTCAGGCCCTTTGTGTCCATCTCCTTAGCTGCCACACTTTCCCCTGCAGGCTGCCGTGACACCCTTAACACCCTTGGGTCTCACCTTATTCAACAGCCTCCCCCTGTGCCCAGGATCATTCACCTCTCCCCAGCACACCCAACCCCCGTGACATCCTCCCCTTATTCTTCTAGTATTTGTTACCTCCTGAGTGAGGTATATTTACAGTTGACCCTGGAACAACATGGGTCTGAACTGTGTGGGTCCATGTATATGTGAATTTTCTTCTGACTCTGCCACCCCTGAGACAGCAAGATCCACCTGTCCTGTTCCTCCTCTTCCTCAGCCTACCCAACATGAAGATGACGAGGATGAAGACCTTTATGATGATCCACTTCCACTTAATGAGTAGTAAATATATTTTCTTCTCCTTATGATTTTCTTAACATTTTCTTTTCTCTAGCTTACTTTATTATAAGAATACAGTATATAATATACATAACATGCAAAATGTGTGTTAATAAACTGTTTGTATTAACAGAAGACTCCCAGTCAACAGTAGGCTACTAGTAGTTAAGTTTTTAGAAAGTCAAAGGTTATATCCAGATTTTTGACTGTGCAGGGGACAGGCACCCCTAACCCTGTGTTGTGCAAGGGTCAACTGTATTTGCTTGGTTTTTTATTTTCTACACCATCTAATAGAAAATAAATGCCATGAGTTTACTCCTATATCTCTAGAGACTAATACATAATCAATAAATACTTAGTGACTGCTAAGTAAACTTGTCCAAGGTTACAGCTCTGACTCCAGTCTGTGCTCTTCACTGTGTAACACCAGACAGCCGGGAAGGTCACATTCCAAACTCAGCAGGTGTCACAGTGTCAAAATAGTAGCCCTATTTTTCACATTCTTCACAGTACCTTCTTCCTCACTCATGCAGCAGGACCAGAAATGCTCATCACACAGTTTAGGGACCTCCCTGCCTCTCTAGGACAAAACCTCTGTCCAAGAATAGTTGGAAGCTTAGGAGTTCCCCCTACACAGACCTGGGGAGAACTCATAGAGAAAATCCTATGAAAATCCTGCCCATCTAGTCCATGCCACAAGCCCTGCTGCTCCACCCTGGGGGTCACCCCGCCCTAAAGGACAAGCATGCTAAGATGAGAAAGAGGCCCACATTCTCTCCGAAAGCTGGCTCCGGGTCATATCAGTACAGACCATCCCTGCCCCCACTTCCCAAACCCATTCAGATCTACCTGGGCTGCTGAGTGAAAGCTCAGGATCTGCCTTCTGGCTTCCCCAGTCCCAGGCCCACTCTAGGGCAGCCTAGGATGAAAGCTGAGGACACCCCTGGACCAGAAGCAAAACTCAGCAGCTGATGCCTCACAGCAGCCTGAGGTCCATGAGTCACCCAACTAGCTGAGTCTAGAGGCAGAGGCTGTAGGCAGAGCCCTTGGCTGACTGCCTTTTATGCCACCCAGCAGACTGTGGGATGGTGCATCTGGCTCTCCCCTTTGCCTGAGGCAAGGAGAAGGGAAAAGCAGCCTGCAGCTCTTCCTTTGAGTCTCTAAGCTTTCCCTGCGAGACTGTGATCATGAAGACATTTAGTTTGATCTGTACCCACAAAAGATGCAATTGTGTCAGCAAGAAAATAAGAGTCCTGTGAAAAAGCAGAGAGGCGGGGCACTTAAGCCTGTCTGGTACTTACTAACTCCCATAAGTCACTTCTTTCTGGCCCTCAGTTTCCTCTGTTAAATGAGAGGGATGGACTAGTGTGGAGCTTCTCAAAATTTCATGCATATCTGAATAACCCAAGGAATAGATTAAAACCCAGATTCGGATTCAGCAGATCCAGGGAGGGAGCTGAGATTCTGCATTTCTATCAAGCTCCCAGGTATTGTTGATATTGTTGATCCACAGGCCACAGTTTTAGTAACAAGGACTTAATGGTTCTCAGCTCCAGCTGCAAACTGAAATTATCTGAGCAGCCTTTAAACCCTATGATGCCCAAGTCTCCCCCACCAGGAGATTCTGAGTCAATGGTCTGGGAAGGGGGAGGATAGGTCAGAGCAGCAAAGATCACCACTGCCCTGCCCTACCCAAGCTGACGCCCTGCAAGCTTCCTTTTTCAAAGTTCCCAGGTGCCTCTAAGGTGTAGCCAAGGATGAGAAGCAGCGCTGTTTCTGAAGAAGACCAGCTGAACAAGACTAGCAATTCCAAGTGTAATCTATGAACCACTTGATTCTGATTCACCTGGGAATTCCTCATTAAAAATTAAGGCTTAAGACCTAGTATTTGGGCTGGGCATGGTGGCTCACACCTGTAATCCCAGCACTTTGGGAGGCCGAGGAGGGCGGATCACTTGAGCCCAGGAGTTTGAGACCAGCCTGGGCAACATGGCAAAACCCCGTCTCTACTAAAATTACAATAAATTAGCCAGGAGTAGTGGCACGAACCTGTAACCCCAGCTACCTGGGAGGCCGAGGCAGGAAGATCACCTTAGCTGGGAGACAGAGGCTGCAGGGAGCTGTGGTCACACCACTGCACTCCATCCTGGATTTCCATCAAGGGAAAAAAAAAAAGACCTAGTATTTGATAGCACAACAGGGTGACTATAGTCAATAATAATTTAATTGTACATTTTAAAATAACTAAAAGAGTATAACTGGATTGTTTGTAACAGATAAGATAAATGTCCGAAGTAATGGATGCCCCATTTACCCTGATGTGATTATTACACATGGCATGCTTGTATCAAAATATCTCATGTACCCCTGCTAGGTACCCACAAAATTATAAATAAATAAATACTAAAGTTTAAACAATCATGATTAAAATTCATTTCAAAATTAAGATTTAAAACTATGCTGATTCCAGAGTCCCACCCCTAGAGAGTCTAATGTAGTTGGTTTGGGCTGCAGTCTGAGCATCAGGATTTTTTAAGCTCCCCAGGAACCTCTAATGTACAGCCAAGGTTGAGAACAGCTGCTAATAAATGGAGACTCCTGAGCCACAGTCCAACAACTGGATCAGCACTGCTGGACAACACCTGTATCATCCAGTAGGACTCAGGAATTTCCATTTGTTTAACAAGCTCTCTATATCATTTTTAGGCAACTGAAACTTGAGAGCAGCCAGACCAGAAAATCCCTGAGATCCCTTCAGCTCTAATTTTCTATGAGGAGACAGTAAGACAATATTAAGAATCATCCTTTTGATTTTTTAAAATTCATCCTTTTGAAGTGGCCAAACATGTTACGTGTCCTATGATATTATGTGTCATAGGATCCTGGATAAAATACATTCCAATAAGAACCTCAGTTCCATCACAGCCCTGGGTTCCAAGTGCAGAAAAAGGCATCCTTACCCGGCTGTCCAGCTCTGGGGGGAATTTGGTCTGGAACTGACAGATGGTCCCATCGCTGTAGTCTCTCTGGATAAAGACCTTGGTGGCCAGTGAGGCACTTCGCCGGAGCTCCTGCAGATTGTGGACCTGAGGAGACGTGCGGGCGGCATGTGCTGAGAGTGACCATCCATCTCGGCATATCCCAAATGCAGGGGTTTCCCAGAATGCAGGTCTTCCAGCACTAACACCAGGAAAGTTCCCAGCATGCAGAGACAAGCTGGGCACTCTACAGGTGCTCCAAGAGGCCAAGGGAGGCAGGGCTGTGGGGTCTACCCAAGAAGCTGCCCTGAGCTATCCCAGAGAGATCTTTTAAAAGCCTAAAGCAAGGCTGGGTGCAGTGGCTTGTGCCTGTAATCCCAGCACTTTGGGAGGCTGAGGTGGGAGCATTGCTGGAGTCCAGGAGTTAAAGGCTGCAGTAAGTTGTGATTGCACCACTGCACTCCAGCCTGGGTGACAGAGCAAGACCCCAACTCTAAAAAAATTTTTAACAAGCCTAAAGCAGGGCCAAAGTTGAGTCTCTCTCGCACGTGCACGTGCACACACACACACACACAGAAGAACCTTTCATACTTTCATTCATTCACCAAGTACCAAGCGTTCACTTGTGAGACCCTGTGCCTGGGGAACCCAGCACTGAACAAGACCAGTGCTCCAGTCCTGCCAAGTGGAGCTCACAACAGAGTTGCAGGCAGGGAACATGTGGGACAGAGGAATACCTGAGGTACCCCTGAACTCAGAGACTGGGGTCCAGGCCGAGTTTTATGGCCCCGGCCAGAGAGCACCCCAGATGCTTTTCACATCCAGCACTTCTCACCACAGGAAACAAAGGGCCCATGAATGTCCAAACTTCTCCAGAGAATAGTGTAGATGAAATGGACAGAGGCCAGAAATGGAAGAAATAGCCTTCCCTGGCAGGAAGGAGAGGGGAGATATCTGTCCCTTGTGCACATCTGTGGACTTCACATTGACACAGACTCTAGTGTTTGAGGGGAATGGGCTCAATTCCACAGAACAAGCCCACTTTTTCCACCTCTCCAGCCTCAGTCACCCACATTCAAGACAAGCATCCCACTGGTTGAAATATGCCCAACACTGAGAACACGTGGAGACCAAGCCCCAAAGGCAGAGTGAACAACAGCCAGTTCATCCCATGTAATTAAGCTGGATCCATTCAGTCACTCAGCTCTCATTTATTGAGTCTCTCCTAGTGCCAAGCTCTGGGGGTGCTGAGCAAAAGAGTCTGTGAGCTCCAGGGAGGAAGACAAGTAAATATATAATGAATTAGACAGTGACAAATGCCACAGAGAAGTAACATCTTACCCAGAAATGCTCACTCAGAAAAGGCCTCCTGAAGCCTGTGTTGAGTCATAAAGGAAGTCCAGGGGTTACCAGTAGCAGGGGGCAGGCAGAGAGTGTGGAGAGGGAGGAAAAGGCAACCCAGGCAAAAAGAGAAGCTTGCGCAAAGTGACAAAGATAGAGCACATGGTCTACTAGAGGCAGATTTCAGCAAGAATGGAGGTGGTTTGCAGATTAGATAAGAAACAGTGGGAGATGAGATTGTAGAGGAGGCAAGGGTCAGATCACAAGAAGCAGGAAAGATTCCTGCTGAAGGGGAGGATTTAGGATGACAGATACTTAAACTTGCTTAAACACCGGGGAAAGACTGTGTTAAAGATCAGTTGGTTATAGGTATGTTGCTTTATTTCTGGGTTCTGTGTTCTGTTCCATTGGTCTATGTGTCTATTTTTGTACCAGTAACCCATACAAAACCTGCTGTTTTGGTTATTATAGCCTCGTAGTATAATTTAACGTCAGGCAATGTAATTTGTTCTTTGCATAGGATTGTTCTTTGCATAGGATTGTTCTTTGCATAGGATTGCTTTGGCTATTCAGGTTCTCTTTTGGTTCCATATAAACTTTAGCATTGTTTTTTCTAATTCTGTGAAAAATGATATTGCTAATTTGATAGGGATTGTGTTAAATCTGTAGATTGCTTTGGGCCGCATGGTCATTTTAATGATGTTGATTCTTCCAATCCTTTAGCATGGGATGTCTTTCCATTTGTCTGTGTTATCTACGATTTCTTTCATCAGTGTTTTGTAGTTCTCCTCATAGAGATCTTTCATTTCCTTGGTTAAATGTGTGTGTGTGTGTGTGTGTGTGTGTGTGTGTGTGTGTGTGTCTGGCTATTGTAAATGGGATGGGGAAAGGACTCCCTATTCAATGAATGGTGCTGGGAAAACTGGCTGACCATGTGCAAAAGAATAAACTGGACCCCTAGTTCTCACCATATACAAAAATTAATTCAACATGGATTAAAGACTGAAATTTAAGACATGAAACTGTAAAAATTCTAGACGAAAACCTAGGAAAAACTCTTCTGGATATTGGCCTAGGCAAATAATTTATGATGAAGTCCCCAAAAGCAAATGGAACAAAAACAAAAATAGACAAATGGGACTTAATTAAACTAAAAAGTTCTGCACAGCAAAAGAAATAATCAACAAAGTATACAGACAACCTACAGAAAGGGAGAAAATATTTGCAAATTATGCCTTTGACAGAAGACTAATATCCAGAATCTATGAGGAACTCAAACAATTCAACAAGAAAAAAAACAACCCCATTAAAAACTGGGCAAAGGACATGAACAGACATTTCTGAAAAGAAGAAATACATGCTGCCAATAAACGCATGAAAAATGATCAACATCAATAAGCATCAGAGAAATGCAAATTAAAACCACAGTGAGACATCATGCTACACCAATCAGAATAGCTATTATTAAAAAAACAACAGATGCTGGCATAGATGCAGAGAACAGGGAACACTTATACTCTGTGGGTGGAAATGTAAATTAGTTCAACCTCTATGGAAAACAGTATGAAGATTTCTTAAATAACTAAAAAGAGAACTACCATTCAACCCAGCAATCCCACTACAGGGTATCCTCCCAAAGGAAAATAAATCATTATGTTAAAAAGACACCTGTACTCATATGTTCATCATAGCACTATTCACAATAGCAAAGTCATAGAACCAACTTCAGAGTAACAACCATCAACACTTGACTGGATAAAGAAAATGTGGTATATATACACCATGGAATACTACACAGCCATACAAAATAATAAAGTCATATCTTTTGCAGCAACATGAGTGGAGCTGGAGGCCATTATCCTTAGTGAACTAACTTAGAAACAGAAAACCAAATACCACAAAACACACTTTCTCACTTATAAATCTAAGCTAAACAAGAGGTACACATGGATATGAAGATGAAAATAATAGACACTGGGGATTCCAAAAGAGGGGAGGGGGTGAGGGTTAAAAAATTACCCATCGGGTACAATGTTCACTACTTGGGTGATGGGTACACTAGAAGCCCAATCTCCACCAATATGCAATATACCCATGTAACAAACATGCACATGTACTCCCTGAATCTAAAATAAAATAAAATTTAAAAACAAACAAAAATCTTGGGAAATAATAAATAACTAGGAAAGGTTATCAATAAAGTAGAAGGAGCAGATAATTGGTAGATCAAGGTCCTGAAAAGGTGGGAATCCAAAAACACTATATGTGACTTTCCTAAATCCAGGTGGACCTTGCTGTATGTACGAAATGTGATCTCAAAGTATTGTGACTGGATTAAATAATGTATAAGCCCTCCTGTAGGCTTATATGAGTTGATTCCTCTAATCAAGGTTTTCATTGAGGAAATCCCCTTGATATCTACTAGGAACCTATGATAACTCGGAGAAATAAGGAATGCTTTGGTAATATAAATAAGTTAATTGTTAACATGTCTGCTCTGGTTAAGGTTTTATAATGTTGTATTTTCAAGAGTAAAGAACAAGGCTATGGCCTTCCTCTGCCCCTCTAAAACCAACTTATGAAAGTCAGTCAATCTTGAGGATGGACTCCCCTACCCCTAGAAGGCTCATTCTAGCAGTTTTGTGGGAAGTGGACAAGACTGGGGTGAGGGGCCAGTTGGAGGGATGATTCTCTTTCTAATAGTCCATGGAAAAAACTAAAGAGGTGGTGAGAAAAGCAGTGGTGAGAATGGAAAGAAAGGGAAGAAACCATTCTGATATGGACTCAGCTTCCTGTCCTCTGACCCATACAAAACCTGCTGTTTTGGTTACTATAGCCTTGTAGTATAATTTGACGTCAGGCAATGTGATGCCTCTGGATTTGTTCTTTGCATAGGATTGCTTTGGCTATTCAGGTTCTCTTTTGGTTCCATGTGAACTTTAGCATTGTTTTTTCTTTTTTTAGCATTGTTTTTTCCAATACTGTGAAAAACGATGTTGCTAATTTGATAGGGATTGTGTTAAATCTGTGCCTGAATGCACACATGTGTACACACATATTTGTGTGCTGTCCTGAAGGCGTGTGTCTCTAGCGACTGGCTAGCTACTGACCCAAGCCATTTCTTCTTCCTCCTAGGCATACAGCTATATTAATTCCCAGCCTCCCTTGCAGTTAGGTGTGTCCCTATGACTGAGTAGAATGTGAGAGGAAGTGACGAATGCCATGTGTAGGCTTGATTCATAAAGATGTACCATTTCTCCCTGCTCTTTCCCCTTTCATGGAGGCTGGTGGAGCCCTGTGTTGAAGATAGTGACACCACAAGTTGGGAAGAGCCTTGGTCCCTGAATCACTGAATCACTGCCTTGAATCACCGCCTGGAATACCTGTTGATCAGGAACACTTACCTGGAACTTCACTGAGCAGGATACAAACTTCTATTGTATTAAGCTATTAATACATTAAGATTTGGGGGTGCTACCTTACATAATAAATTCCCATTTCCTCTTGGCTTTGATCCACAGGTTCTCAAGTAGCCAGAGTAGGATAAGTCAACACCCTTTTCAGCACCAACAATATCCTGAGCCTTAGACTACTATCCAGGCTCTGGGTGACCAGAGATCTGCTTCTCTCCCTGGAGAGTGTTTGTGGAGGAGCAACTCTGAGGAGTTGCTAAAGGATGATATCAGACACATTTTATATGGCAGAGCCTTAGTCTCCCAGACCTACATAGAGTACATATATTACAGACTCATCTGAAGTTGGTGAAGAGCCGGATTTAAGGCAAGGCAGGGTCTCCTGGTTTTCTCCATTCATGGTGGCTTGAGTGTGAAGTGCCAGGAAGCCCTAGTGGAAAGATGGCCCACTGACCTGGGGGCAGGAGACCTGACCCTGGGCCACATGGCCCTGGGAAAGTCTTCCCTTCTCTGCACCTCCATTTCTTCAACTGGAAACTAAGAAACTGGAACTACATCATTGCTCAAGCCCCTTTCATCTCTGACATTCTAGAGGCTTTATCAGGGATTATGAATGCAAATGTTTACAGGGGCTGAGCAATAAGTGGGCCAGGTGGGGCCTGGGGCTAATTAGAAAACTGGTGCCCCATCTCAAGGAGACAGATGACTATTGCCACGTGGGAATGTATACCCAGGTTGCCAGCACTTCTGGTGTCTCAAAAGAAGCCAGAAATCTAGATCTTTTTAACATCAAATATTCTGATTTTTGAATATTTCCAATACATTTTTAAAATGTATAAGCACTCAACAGACTAAGTAAGGCACACCCATGGACCAGACTCATTTCTAGAGCTGCTAGTTTAAGACCTCTAAATAAAGAATCCCATGGCTGGGGCCCCTTGGGCAAGAGCTAAGCCAGGCTCCAGGCCACTGGCCAGCTACTAAGTTTTCAGAAAGCTGGTGGGGTTTTCAGCAGAGATCCGTGATGCTCTGAAATCCTACCAGAGGATATCAAAATATGTGCACAACTCTCTCTGAAGCTGCAGTTTCTGTGTTTCCCCTGGGTGTCTCCCAGGGGGTTCTTAACTGACCCAGAGACCTGAGCCTCTCTCCACTTCTCACCTTCCTCAACCCTGCCCCTCTCTCCCATTGCCACCCCTGGCTCACTGGCAGCAGAGTGAAGACAGGGCCGAGAAGCATTTCATAAGGAAGAAAATCAGTGGTGAGACCCATGGGTACCAATTTTCAAACTGCAGTATGAGAAGGAGGGGGAGTCTGCCTGGAGAGTGGGTACCACAGGTCACACATTTGGCTCCTGTTCACCTGACAGTCAACTAGCTGGGGTGCAGAGGAACAAGCTCTAGAGTGCAAATGAGCTCCTGGTCCAGTCTGCCCAAGTCCAACAGGAGTGCCCCCCTGGCGCCATCTTCATCCTCATTAAAAACCATCTCATTCCATAGGATGCATGTGAGGCATCGAGAATTAGGAGGTTCCGCTGATGCCAGCACTCTGCTTCCTGGCTGGGGTGTGAAGGAGGAGTGAGGATCATGAGTCACAGACAGCCAGGTCAGGCCTAAGGATAAAACACCAGCCACAAGACCTCCCTTCTTCTCAGCCTGTACCAGTGCTCAAGCCTGACCCAGTTGTCTACTCATCATTAATTCCATGCCTCAAAGATCAAACCTCCAAACACCCTGCTTGAATAACGCTACTTGGATGCATTTAAAAATCTCTTAGAGACCAAACCCCACCACTTGGAGAAGCCCCTCCCAGCCAGGCACTTCCCAGTTGTCCTTGGCCATCTGGACTATTTCCCAGGGCAGACCCTGCTCCCAGTGACACACATTCACAGAGGTTTGCTGCTCAGAAAATGGGCTCATTGCAGCTCTCCAAATGAGGTCAGTGTATCACTCAGGAGGCTCCATCCCTCCTCTGAGTTCCTTACAGACACCTCTCCCCTAATGCTAACTCCTAAACAGAAATTAGGGAACAGAAAAGACCCAGTTTCCACCCATGAATTTCTTCCCTCTCCCTCACCCCTCCCTCTCTGTCCCTCTCCCCACCCCCTTCCTCTCCCTCTCTCCTTCTCTCAATACAGCTTCTCCTAGAGCTGAGGAGTTCCTATTGAGAATCCTAACAGAATAATCATGGGAACTTAAAGCGATGTTTTCCCTCTCCCAACAAGTTTATCCTGGTAATCTCAACTCAATTCTAACAGTAAAAACAGCCTTGGGAGAATGACTCACCCCACAACCCAGAATACGTGCAGGTCCTGTGCCCTGGCAGAGCTAAGGCTTCCTGCCTCAGTTCTGCCATCAGAGTCCACCCAAGGCCAAATTGTGAAGTGAGGAATGTTTGTCCTCAGCTCCCCATCACTCCGGGACTTTCCTCTGTCCCTCTGCCCTCAAACCAACCCAGCCAGGCCAAGCAGGGGGCCTGAGTCCCCACACTCCAGCCCTTCATGACTTCCTTTGCATCCCTCTCTCCACCAAAGCTTCACATCAAGACCTGGAGGGCCCTCCTCTCTATCAGGTGACACAATAGGCTAATTGGATGCAGGAAAAAAAAGCACTGGCCAAAGAGGCAGAAGACTCAAGTTCTTATCCCATCCCTGCCACCTTTTAGCCATATTTTCCTGAATAAGTCTCAGCACTTCAGTTCCATCATCTGTAAAATGGGATAATGATGCCTTCTTTGGCTCCTTCACAGGGACCAGGCAAGTTTCTGAACCTTAGTTGTCTCATCTGTTAATTGGGCATAATAACACCATCCTTACCCACTTCATAGGGCTGCTCTGAGGCTTGAAAGAGATCACTTATGCGATAGTGCTTTGTACACAGGAAAGCGCAATATTTTCAGAGGCGTTATGAGCAGAGCCCCTCCCAGGGGAGAGTCACACATGTCTCATAGCAGCCTCCTGGAAACGCTGTCTTGACATAGAGATAGAAGCCTGCTGGTTGGAATCTGTGGGCCATGGCAGACATCCTGGGACAGATGGGCCTGTTGGAATCTGTCAGATCACATCGCAGAGGCAGCTGCCTTCTCTGCCCACGCTGCTGGCCCAGCCATGCCCATGTAGCTGAAGTTCCCCTTTTCTGTCCAACACAGCAGCCTCTGCTGCAGTCTGGCAGCCCTATCTGGAAGGTAACCAACTCCTTGGTTTCTCCCTTTGTTCTTCCTGCTGTCCTCCATGTCTTTGGTGCTTTGTGAGTACTCTGCATTCCTCTACTCTAGAAACCAAGCTCCCAGGGTCTGCCCAGGGCTTGCCCTCACACCAAGTCCTGAGGGGCAACTCTCCGCCTAGCTAACCTTGTGCCTTGTCAGAATGCCAAGCAATGCCAAGCAACAGCACCTTGTTCTGTGGTGGAAACTTGAGTGGAATAACAACAGCCACACTTGGTATTAATGTCACACTGCTCACCAGGATGCCCAGAAGCACTGCATTGAATCATTCACAGGCCTCTGCTCTCCCCCAGTGTATGCCAGCTGGATTGGAAATGGGGAGACACCACAAAGGAAGTCAACATCAGAACTGGGGAGACCCTGATGTCCTGAGTTTCGCTCCAAAAATTCAAAGGCAAAAACTTTCCGCTCTGCTGCTGACATGCTGTGTGGAGTAGCAAATTAGTCCTTTCGTTTTCCACACATCACCTTTATCATGTATAAAGTGGGAACATAAAGAGCCCAATCTCCCTCCTGAAATGAGGGGGGAAAGGGCAATCCCTAGGGGTAGAGGGGGGAATCCTCGACCTCAAGCATTATACCAAGATTCTGCCCTTAGCTAACAGGCCCCGTGGTTCAGCCTTCAAGTGCTTGAAGGTGACACACCTATCAGTGCACCTTGAAGAAGGCAGAAACTCCCATCAGATGGAGGGGAAATCTGGACACCCTGGGACAAAAAAAAAAAAAAAACTCGAATGGGGTAAAAAAGCAAGAAGGGTGATATGCAAAAGTGGAGACCAACCATTTGGGTTCTCAGCCTGAGGATGTCTTTGTCCCCTCCCTCCCGCAAAGGAAATGCGGATGTAGAGGTAAGTCTGTCATCCCTTAGCCAAGCTTTTGGGTTCAGAAGCTGACTGCATAGCAACAGCGGACAGCCGCCTTCCCTCCCCTCACACACGCACACACACGCGTCTCCAACCCTCTAGGAAAGCGGTTTCAGGACTTGTGAAGTCCAGGGAAGGGGAAACCCCAGCCTGGGGCCCTGAAGCAACCCTGGCGCTAATGCCAACAAGTGTCGCGGACAGCTTGGGGGCTCAGGTGGGGCGAGGGGAAGATTGACACGCAAGGGGGAGATGAGCCCTCACTAAGCCCCTACCTCCTCCCTCCAGACCTGACCTGGGGAATCACCCCATCCCACCCCCAACTCCCGCCTCCCACTCCTGCCCAGCCCACCCCTAGGGCATTTGGTCCCGCGGCAATCGGGCACTGCCTGCGGGTGGGGCGCTCGCCCCTACCTCGGTGGCCATGATCCGGGGGCGCTCGGAGGCTGTCGCGGGGCCGGGCGAGGGGGGTCTCCGCGGTGCTGACCCCGGGAGCAGGTGGGCGGCGGCGGTGGCGGCGAGCTGGGGCCCGGGGCGCTGTCCGCAGTGCTGATGCGGGCGCCGCGGGCCCGGGCTCAGGTGGGCCGGGGGCGGGCGGGCGGCTGGGTCCAGGCAAGGGGCGCGGCGCTGTCCGCTGTGCTGAGGCAGGCGCCGGGCCCGGGAGGCGAGGCCGCGCCCGAGGCTCCTCACGGCCCGATCGCCCGCTGCCGCGGCTCCTGCAGGCAACGGCCGGGTTTAGCTTTGGCGGCGGCGGCGGCGGGGATGGGGGCGGCCGGGGGAGGAGGGGCCAGGAGCCGCCGCTGGCCGGGAGGGGGAAGCCGCGGCCCCCAGACTCCGGCGCCGCCGGAGAGGAGCCCCGCCCGGGCCACAGGCTCGGCTACCGCCCCGCGCGAGGCCCCGCCTCCCCTTCCTGCCCTCCCCCTCGTGAGAGCCCCGGAGCTCTGCGCTCGCTTCCGTGGCCCCCGGGACATCCAGCCTGAAGGACAGTGGGGCAGGAATTTTTCCGGGGCAAGACGCTTCAGCCTGCAAGGCTGACCGCTCCCGAGCCGCTCGCAGGCCCGCAGGTGAGGCCTCTCTACCTTTCCAGCCACCCCCAGTGCCCCGGCTCTACCCCTCCCTCGCCCCGCCCCCAGCTTCCTCTTTAGAATAATTTCTTTTCTTTCTCTCCCTTTTCCTCTCTGTGTGCCCCCCCCCCATATACACACAGTCAGGCTTGCACGGACGGCCCCTCTTTTCCCCTCTCCTTTGCACTTCCTGGAACCCCACTAGCTAGACAAAGATCCTGCCGACCGCAGAGAATCATTTCCTTTCTTTAAATACGTGCCCACATTTCGTTCTCAGCCATAGCCTGGGGTCCCTTCTTTCAGGCAGCTCCAGAATTGAAGCCAGTCTCTCCTTGCTGCTCTTCCTGGACCTGGTCCCCACCCTTTACTCTTCCCTCTCTCCTCTGCAACCCGAGTTTACATACACGCACCACCACTACCACCACCACTCAAAAACCACAAGCAGATGGTGCCAAACCGGTATGCTCACTCTCCAAGGATGGCAGGTCTGGCTCTGGTGCCACCTTCGCACTTTTGACATCATAAATTCCAACTAAATGATCTATTTGTTTAATAAAAAGGAGACCAGGTGCAGTGGCTCACACCTGTAATCCCAACACTTTGGGAGGCTGAGGTGGGAGGATTGCTTGAGCCCAGGAGTTCAAGACCAGCCTGGGCAAGACCCTGTCTGCACAAAAAATGAAAACATTAGCCGGGCGTTGTGATGTGTGCCTGTGGTCCCAGCTACTCAGAAGGCTAAGGCAGGAGAATCACTTGAATCCAAGAGTTCAAGGCTGCAGCTAGCCATGATTGTGCCACTGTACTCCAGCCTGGGCAATAGAGCAAGAGCCTGTCTCTTAAAAAAATAAAAATAAGGCCGGAAGCAGTGGCTCATACCTGTAATCCCAGCACTTTGGGAGGCCGAGACGGGTGGATCACCTGAGGGCAGAAGTTCAAGACCAGCCTGGCCAACATGCTGAAACCCCATCTCCACCAAAAATACAAAAAAAAATTAGCCAGGCATGGTGGCACCCGCCTGTAGTCCCAGGTACTCAGGAGGCTGAAGCAGGAGAATTGCTTGAACCCGGGAGGCAAAGGTTACAGTGAACTGAGATCACACCATTGCACTCCAGCCTGGGCGACAAGAGCGAAACTCTGTCTCAAAAAATAAATAAATAAATAAATAAATAAAATAGACATAAAAAAAAGGAAACACCAACACAAGTGCCTTTTTACATACCCATAATACCCCTTGGTCTCTTTGAGGGGTGGTGGGGTGTGCTCCTCTGCAGCTCACTGCTGCCTGAGAGTCTGAAGCCCACACACAGGGAGAACCTGGCGGCCAAGAGACCTGGCCCAGGCTTTTCCAGCTGTATAACCTCGAGCAACTGTCTTGTTTTCTGAGCTTATGGTTCTCTTTCTGTAAAATGTGAGTGTTGGATTTCACTAGACTGTTTCTAGGACCTTTTGTTTTTTCTCCAACCTTTTATTTTGACATTTTTAAACATACCAAAATGTTGAAAGAATAGTACAATAAACTATGCCATCTACCTAGCTCCAACAATTGCTTTTTGCCACATTTGCTTTATTGATAGATATGAAAACAGAGCTATATTTGCCTAGATTATCAGAAGGTGACAGATATCGTGGCCGGGCGCGGTGGCTCACGCCTGTAATCCCAGTACTTTGGGAGGCCGAGGTGGGCGGATCATGAGGTCAGGAGATTGAGACCATCCTGGCTAATACGGTGAAACCCCGTCTCCACTAAAAAATACAGAAAAATTAGCCGGGCGTGGTGGTGGGCACCTGGGGAGCTACTCCCCAGCTACTGGGGAGGCTGAGGCAGGAGAATGGCATGAACCCAGGAGGCAGAGCTTGCAGTGAGCCGAGATTGCGCCACTGCACTCCAGCCTGGGTGACAGAGCGAGACTCCGTCTCAAAAATAATAATAATAATAATAATAATAAGGTGACAGACATCGTGAGGTTTTATCTGTAAGTACTTCAATGAGATTTTATCTGTAAGTACTTCAATTCACCATGCATCTCCCAAGAAGAAAAGCGTTATCCCAACTAGGCACAACACCATTCTCATGCTTTATTTTATTTTATTTTATTGAGATAGGGTCTTGCTCTATCACCCAGGCTGGAATGCAGTGGCACCATCTCAGCTCACTACAACCTCTGCCTCCTGGGTTCAAGTGATTTTCAGCCTCCCAAGTAGCTGGGATTACAGGCACGCACCACCATACCCAGCTAATTTTTGTATTTTAAGTAGAGACAGGGTTTCACCATGTTGGCCAGGCTGGTCTCAAACTCCTGAGCTCAGGTGATCCGCCCACCTCAGTCTCCCAAAATGCCAGGATTACAGGCATGAGCCACCGCACCCAGCCAATTATCATGCTTTTAAAATGCCCATATTATCTAATATTCTAGAACAGTTTGTCACCCCTAAAACACATTAATAGCGATGACCCCTCAAAAATTTTCCCAGAACTTTTCATTTTTAGTAGCTAACATTTAGTGAGCACTTACCATGTGCCAGCCCATATGCTACACACTTTACATGTATGATCTTACGTAATCCTCACAATTACTCTTTGAGTTGTGTTCTTGTGATCTTTTTATTATTCCCACTTTATAAATGAGGGAACTGAGTAAGTTGCCCAAGGTCATAGGGTTTGTGGGGAATGGAGACAGGATTCAGACATGGGCAGTCAAGCTCCAGAGCCTGTGTGGTTGATCCTCCTAACTGTATTGCCTCCCTCCAGCATCTGGTAGACCATAGACTAGCAGAGCAATGACCACATCTCCAGCTGCCTATTTTGCAGATGAAAACGCTGAGTCCCAGAGTGTAAGTGACATGCTAAAGAAGTTAAAGGCGGGTGTCTCATTCTACCTTATAGTTTGGCATAGGATTTGGCATAAAGGACCAAACAGAATATCTATGAATCCTGCAGTGGTCACTGGTAATAAAAGAACACATAATCTGATGATCTCCATGTAAATTTCACAGTTCCTCCCACTTGATTTTTATCACATCAATTAGACAACCTTCTGGAAACCATTCTCTTCACCTGATGACTAGATATCTGGATGAGGCCATTCAACAAATCCATTCATCAACATCTATTTGTTGAACACCTACTGTGTATCAGGCACTCTTCTAGGAAATTGGGATACAGTCGTGACTAAAAATGCAAAGCCTCTGTCCTTATTGAACTTATATAGTAATGGGGGTAACAATCCATGACATAAGCAAATATGTGTAAAATATGTCAAGTTTTGATCACTGCTAGGAAGAAAAGTGTGATCACTGCTAGGAAGAAGATATGGTAAGGAGATAGTGATAGAGAGGGCTTATTTTCGAAAGAATAGTCAGGGAATACTTTTTTTGATAAGGTGAAATTTGGGTAGAGCCCTGAAGGAAGAGAGAGAACTAGACATATAGATACCTGGAGGAAGAGTGACAAGGCAGAGAGGACAGAATCCAAGGGCCCTGACGCAGGACTGGGCTTGGTATGTTCAAAGAATAGCAGGAGGCTGGGCGCAGTGGCTCACACCTATATCCCAGCACTTTGGGAGTCCAAGGCAGGTGGATCACTTGAGGACAGGAGTTCAAGAACAGACTGGCCAACATGGCAAAAGCCCATCTCTACTAAAAATACAAAAATTAGCCAGGTATGGTGGTGGCTGCCTGTAATCCCAGCTACTTGGGAGGGTGAAGCTGGAAAATCACTTGAACCTGGTAGGCGGAGGTTGCAGTGAGCCGAGATTACACCACTGCACTCCATCCTGGGTGACAGTGTGAGACTCCGTCCCCAAAAATAATAATAATAAAAACAAAGAATAGCTGGAAGACCAGTGTAGCTAGACCTGAGGTGAACAAGGGGAAGAGAGTTGGGAGTTGAGCTCAGAGAGGTAGCAGGAATCAGGTCTTCCAGGGTTTTGTAGGCCCTGATAAAGACTTCAGATTCTACTCATAAAGTAAGATGGCAAGCCTAAGAAGGTTTAGCGTAGGGGTGTGACATCATCTAATTGCAGTTTTTGAAAGATTCCACTGGATGTCAGAGGGGAGGCAAGGCTAGAAGCTGCAAAACCAATTAGGAGACTGTTAGAGCAGCCCAGGCTTAGAAGATGTGGTGGTGGCTTAGAATTTGGTAGTAGCAGTAGAGGTGGGAAAAAGTGGCTAGATTCTAGATATAATTTGAAAGTAATGCTGAGAGGATCTTCTGATGGATTGGATGTGTGGTATAAAGAAGGCAGGCCGGGCATGGTGGCTCATGTCTGTAATCCCAGCACTTCGGGAGGCCAAGGCAGGTGGATCACTTGAGATGAGATCAGGTGTTCAAGACCAGCCTGACCAACATGGCAAAACCCTGACTCTACTAAAAATACAAAAATTAGCCAGGCATGGTGGCACACACCTGTAGACCCAGCTACTCAGGAGACTGAGGGAGGAGAATCACTTGAACCCAGGACGTGGAGGTTGCAGTGAGCCGAGATTGTGCCACTACACTCCAGCCTGGACAGAGAAAGACTCTGTCTCAAAATAAATAAATAAATAAGAGATCGTCAAAGATGAGTCTAAGTCTTGAGATCTGAGCCATCAGAAGAAAGGAGTGGCCATCTACTGAGAGGGGAAGACTAGGGACTGAGCAGGCCTGAAGGGATAGAGAACACAGCATTTTGGTTGTGTTTTGTTCACTTAGGTTTGAAGTTTGATGTGCATGTTATAAGCAAATTATAAGGGAGGATGAGGAGTTGGAGATATAACTTCAGGACCCTTCAGTATGTGGATAGCATTTAAAACCATGGGACTAGAGACATCATCGAGCGAGTAGGCATAGCTAGAAAAGCTGTCCAAGAACTGATTCAGGACACTTGGTCACTGACAGGCTGGAAGACAAAAGACTGAGAAGAGGGGCCAGTGAAGTAGGAGGAGATTCAAGAGAGGGCGGTGTCCTGGAGCCAAGCAAAGAAGGCTGGAAAGAGAGCCTTGCCTGCCATGTTGAATGCTGCTCACAGGTGGAATAAGATGAGGACTGAGGAATGACTACTGGACTTGGCAGCAAGAAGGTTCGCCAGTGACCTTGACAAGAGCCATTTTAGTGGTGCAGGGATAAGATCCTGATTAAAGTGGGTTTGAGAGTTAGCATGGAGGAGAGAGAGGAGAGGTACTGAGAGTGTAGACAATTCTTTCTCCTGCAAAGGGAAGCAAAGACTAGCATGGGGGTCTGAGAGAGACATGGAAGCAAGGGAGTTTCCTTTCAAGAGGGAAGACATTAGGGCATGTTTGTCTGCTGACAGGAATCATCTAGTAGAGAGGGAAACACTGATGATTCAGAAAAGAGAGGGTTAATTGCAGGAGCAAGCCCTTAACAGGCCAGCAGAGAATGGGACACAGGGCAAACAGAGAGGGGATGGCTCAGGAGAGGAGCACAGACAATTTCCCACAGAGGCGAAAGAAACACAGTGGACTGGATTAAGAAAATGTGGCACATATACACCATGGAATACTATGCAGCCATAAAAAATGATGAGTTCATGTCCTTTGTAGGGACATGGATGAAATTGGAAATTATCATTCTCAGTAAACTATCACAAGAACAAAAAACCAAACACCGCATATTCTCACTCATAGGTGGGAATTGAACAATGAGAACACATGAACACAGGAAGGGGAACATCACACTCTGGGGATTGTTGTGGGGTGGGGGGAGGGGGGAGGGATAGCATTGGGAGATATACCTAATGCTAGATGACGAGTTAGTGGGTACAGCGCACCAGCATGTCACATGTATACATATGTCACTAACCTGCACATTGTGCACATGTACCCTAAAACTTAAAGTATAACAATAAAAAAAAACACAGTAAATGGCCACAGATGGGAGCTGGTTAGGAGGTTTTGTCACATAAAGAAAAACCTGAGCTCCACTCCTGCTCCCCTTCAACTAGCCAACGGCTTTTCACACATCATTCAACCATTACCTCTAGAAAGCTTGGTCCATCATTCAGCCAGTACCTATAGAAAGCTTGCTCCGTGCCAAGCATGGAGCTGGCACTTAGCCCAGAGAGAGTTCTCCCCATTGACGTCACAGGACTAGAGTCTATAGAGAGCTTTGAGATCACTCATGCAAGGACAAATGATCCCTTTTAATATCTAGCTCCTCTGGTGGGAAAGAGGCTTTCACAGCCTCACCCTATTTCCCCTACATTGCCTCCAGGGTTGTAACAATCTCAACAGACCTCAAGTCTTAGAGGCCTCAAAGTGGAAGCCACAGAGAGAGACCCACATTCAGAGTGGGCAGCATTCCATGTTGGGCTGACTCAAGGCTGTGATGAGATGCTAGAGGATGGGATGTTCCCAAATGCAGTCATCTGGACTTTAACTCCTATATTTGAGGCAGAGAGCTCTTTGAGATTTAATCTGACTAATCATTATTATCCAGCTGCCTTGGGACAACCTAGTCCTATGCAAGAGCCTAGCTCTTTGATGTTTTTTATCATAAATTAATGAGTTCACCCACAAAATAACATCAAAGAAGATCCACTAACATTCAGTGTTATCATCCTCCAATCTGCGGCTGCATTGGAAAGCCTCCCCATAAAGGACCACAGCCGGAAAAAGAAACCAACTGAAAGATTTGGAAATCATAATAGCTGGAAAGAGATGAGAGAAAAACGAACTCTTGCAGACGGCAGAGAAGCCAGGGAAAGAGCTAGCAAACCTCAGGGAGATGAAGAAAAAGCAGGGGAGACGAGGAAATTCTCAGCACTTGGGTCTGGATGGAAAACAATTGCATGAATGCTTGAGGGGGAAATTGTGGTCTGGAAAGCCTTAAACAATGTCATCTCATGGCACATTGCGGAGACTACTAGGAAGTATGTGGTAGGAAACGGCATCCCTGGAGTCAGATGACATAGGTTTCAACCTCTGGCTCTCCTATTTACTATGTAATCATTAGCAAGTCTCAATCTCTCTGAGCCTCTGATTTCTGATCTGTAAAATGGTGGCAATAATTCTCCCTTCCCAGATAGAATTCATCCAAATATTAGAGGCTTTCTTTTTTTTTTATGGTTATGAAAACAAATTTATTGTTAAAATTACTATTTTTAAAATTCTGTTCTACTGTGAGTTTTAACATTTCTGTTCCCATTAAAACATTTTTTTAAAAAAAGTTAGTTTTAGATTGCAATTTGGCTTAATTTTATTTTATTTATTTATTTTTTTTTTTAATTGATCATTCTTGGGTGTTTCTCGCAGAGGGGGATTTGGCAGGGTCATAGGACAATAGTAGAGGGAAGGTCAGCAGATAAACAACTGAACAAAGGTCTCTGGTTTTCCTAGGCAGAGTGTTTGTGTCCCTGGGTACTTGAGATTAGGGAGTGGTGATGACTCTTAACGAGCATGCTGCCTTCAAGCATCTGTTAAACAAAGCACATCTTGCACCGCCCTTAATCCATTTAACCCTGAGTGGACACAGCACATGTTTCAGAGAGCACAGGGTTGGGGGTAAGGTCATAGATCAACAGGATCCCAAGGCAGAAGAATTTTTCTTAGTACAGAACAAAATGAAAAGTCTCCCATGTCTACTTCTTTCTACACAGACACAGCAACCATCCGATTTCTCAATCTTTTCCCCACCTTTCCCCCTTTTCTATTCCACAAAACCGCCATTGCCATCATGGCCCGTTCTCAATGAGCTACTGGGCACACCTCCCAGACGGGGTGGCGGCCGGGCAGAGGGGCTCCTCACTTCCCAGTAGGGGCGGCCGGGCAGAGGCGCCCCTCACCTCCCGGACGGGGCGGCTGGCCGGGCGGGGGGCTGACCCCCCCCACCTCCCTCCCGGACGGGGCGGCTGGCCTGGCGGGGGCTGACCCCCACCTCCCTCCCGGAAGGGGTGTGGGCGGAGACGCTCCTCACTTCCCAGACGGGGTGTCAGCCGGGCGGAGGGGCTCCTCACTTCTCAGACGGGGCAGCTGCCGGGCGGAGGGGCTCCTCACTTCTCAGACGGGGCAGTTGCCAGGCGGAGGGTCTCCTCACTTCTCAGACGGGGCGGCCGGGCAGAGACGCTCCTCACTTCCTAGATGGGATGGCGGCCGGGAAGAGGCGCTCCTCACTTCCTAGGTGGGATGGCGGCCGGGCAGAGAGGCTCCTCACTTTCCAGACTGGGCAGCCAGGCAGAGGGGCTCCTCACATCCCAGACGATGGGCGGCCAGGCAGAGACGCTCCTCACTTCCCAGACGGAGTGGCGGCCGGGCAGAGGCTGCAATCTCGGCACTGTGGGGGGCCAAGGCAGGCGGCTGGGAGGTGGAGGCTGCAGGGAGCCGAGATCACGCCACTGCACTCCAGCCTGGGCACCATTGAGCACTGAGTTAACGAGACTCTGTCTGCAATCCCGGCACCTCAGGAGGCCGAGGCTGGCGGATCACTCGTGGTTAGGAGCTGGAGACCAGCCCGGCCAACACAGCGAAACCCCGTCTCCACCAAAAAAATACGAAAACCAGTCAGGCGTGGCGGCGCGCGCCTGCAATCGCAGGCACTCGGCAGGCTGAGGCAGGAGAATCAGGCAGGGAGGCTGCAGTGAGCCGAGATGGCGGCAGTACAGTCCAGCTTCGGCTCGGCGTGAGAGGGAGACCGTGGAAAGAGAGGGAGAGGGGAGACCGTGGAAAGGGGAGAGGGCGAGGGAGAGGGAGAGGGAGAGGGAGAGGGAGAGGGCTATTAGAGGCTTTCTCTAGATGTTACCTGACTTTTCCAAATCTTGTCTTTCAAGAGGAAAACAGGAAAAGATTTATGGTGATGCCTTGAGAGAGATCTTCCCACACTGACATTTCTTCCAGGCCCAGTGGGATTTCCTAAAGCATAGAAGAGATATCGGCAAACATGCTTCATTTCACTCGGCAAGTAGTTAATTAGGCACCCACTGTATGCCTCAGAGAGATGACCATGGGATGTTTCCAACCCCCTAAGGACACAAAATATAATCAAGTGATGGCCAGGGTCTGTGATAAGTGCTAAGGTGGAGACAGATTCTCCACAGTTGGGGGCCCAGAAAGGTCTTACTAACTACGTGGCATTTGAGCTTGGCCTTCAGGGATTAGTGTCAGATCCCCAGACACCAGATGAAAAACAGTGTGCAAAGGCAAGGATGCATGAAAGGTGCCTGGAAACACAAAACCTCTGGAACCTCAAATTCAAGAAAGCAGCTGCCAGGCAGACACAGCAACAACTGCAGAGGCCCCAGAAACATGAATGGAGTGGACCTGCCCTAAAAATAGAACAAGGGCAGGCTGACTATGACACATGTTTGGAAGTGGAGTCACTAGGAGGTGACTAAGCGAAAGGGGAGTTGCCTCCCTCCCTCCCTTTCCTAACTTCATTCATAGTCTCTCTCTCTCTCTCTCTCTCTCTCTCTCTCTCTCTCTCTCTCTTCCCCATCTCCAGGAAGTGGAGTGGGAGGCAAGGTTCTATAAGTAGATTCTATAAGCAGATTCACAGCTGCACAGGAGAGACTGCAGATACTGAGATGACATTGGGGAATTATTGGCCAAAATGTTTACCTGTTGTTACAATAGCCACTGTGCTGGAGGCCAGACAGAATGCCCACCGGACCTTTGTTCTAACAGTGGCTCCAGAGGCCCTCTGAAGTAGCAATCAGGAATGACCTACTGCAAGGTCTCACTTTTACACCGAGCAAACTGGCAGCAAACTCACCAATCATTTCAAACCATAGCCAACTGGGGGCAGATTGCAAGGCTTCTGGCTAAATTAAGGAAATTATTTCAGGAAGTAAATAGACATGAGCACAAAGGGTAACAGGTGCTTATAAAGCATCATTAATTACGAGAGCCAAAAGGGATCATAGAGTTCGAACCAATTTTAGTTGCAGAACCCTTTGTTCAAAGTCTCGCATGAAAGTCAGATACATAAAACAAATAAAAGAAAGTGGATTTGGAGGAAATGCGGCAGAACTTGCTTGCTCTACCACCCTCCACTCCCTGCAGAAGTCCCAAAGGCACCTCCCATCACCGTGGACCCCCTCAAGGGCTCAGCAGATTTTTTTCTAATCATTAAAGTAACACATGCCTATGATTTTAAAAACCCAAACATACAGCAAGACTTATTTTAAAAAGGCAAGAGTCCCCCACCAGCTCTGTCCTGAGCCTTCCCACTCTGTCTTCTTTCCTCTAGAAGAAATGACTTTTCACTCTTTTCGTGGTTTCTGTTTTAAATTCTTCTGATAATGATCTTTACTTTCTAATGATATACCTGTACTTTTTTTTTTTTTTTTTTTTTTTTTTTGAGACAGAGTCTCGCTCTGTCGCCCAGGCTGGAGTGCTGTGGTGTGATCTTGGCTCACTGCAACCTCCACCTCCTGGGTTCAAGTGATTCCCCTGCCTCAGCCTCCCTAGTAGCTGGGATTACAGGTGTGTGCCACCAAGCCTGGCTAATTTTTGTATTTTTATTAGAGACAGAGTTTCACCATGTTGGCCAGGCTGGTCTCGAACTCCTGACCTAAAGTGATCCGCCTGCCTCGGCTTCCCAAAGTGCTGTGATTACAAGTGTGAGCCACCACGCCTGACCTATATACCGGTACTTCTATGATTTATTCACTTTAGAAACTGTCCTGTTTTCTTCAGTGACAGAAGAGAACTTGGGTCACACCGCTGCCCTCCCCTCCCAATATAGTTATGTCACTATTTAAACTTAATTTTTATCAAAGTAATACATGCAATTAGTTTAAAATTCCAACCAGGGACAAAGGCTTATGCGGGCAGTAAAACACAGAAGTTGTGTCCTATCTCTTCCTTCCCTCCCGTCCTTCCCAATCCTCCTTCCCACTCAGGTAGGTTGGCTTATGGAAAACAGAACTCTCTGTTTAGTCCCCCTTCTAATCCTTTTCTGTAGCACTCATCACCTTTTCTAGAAAACTGTATAATTTACTTATTATGTCTTCTGTTTGTCTTGCCTGCTAAATTGCAAGCTTGGGTAAGGATCTTTGCTATGTTCACTGATGTATCCCAAATGCCTAGAATAATGTCTGGTTCAATAAATATTTGTTGAATTGATTAAAGCAGAGTTCTCTGGAAAGGGAGCTTCTTTGAGATACTGTTAGAATCAATCATTTTATATCTGATTTGTTCTGTGGGAGGGCGTATAAATGAAAATTTTATTTTGTAGATGATACAAATTTCTAGACAATAGGTGTGGTGCCATAATAGATAAAGACTTCAGTTCAGACCCACTTATTGGCTTTCCATGTTTGGACAAATTGGTCCAATTACCTTGGAAAGAAAGTAGCTATTTGCTTAGCTTGGTAGAGACTGGGAAGGACATGAATGATGAGGAAATGGCCTTTGCCAACCTCACTCTCCCAAGGTCAGTTGCTGCTGTGGAAAGGAGAACCAGAGGTCCCAGGGGTAACTGGGCCACCAGAGGCCCCAGAGCCAGAAGCTCTTAGCCACAGGCTAGGACTGAGCATCTCCTATGTTCCAGGTACTGTTCTGGGCACTGGCGGGAAGGAGAGAACACCATTCTCACCACACCGATGCCCAGCACTATCAGTCCCATGTTGCAGACGCATCTTGAAGTCCATCAGGGCCAGGAAGCCTTTCTTGAACCATCCCACTCCCAAACACAGGACTTTCTAGACATCTCTCTCATGGTTTCTATCCTACCATGCTTTGCCTGGTAAACTCCTTAGAGGTTTTGGAATTCCTGACCATTGCCCAGGTCACAGGGCAAGTTCCGGCAATTGGAACATTTCCATAGTCTTCCGAGTTCTAGCAGCCATTTCACCATTCCCTGCCTCCACGTCATCTATTCCTCCTGCTGGGCTCCTGATACTCCCCTGGACCTAAAGTTATCTTGGCTAAAAAGTGCTGGGGTCAGGCGCGGTGGCTCACGCCTATAATCCCAGCACTTTGGGAGGCCGAGGCAGACGGATCACTTGAGGCTAAGGGTCCAGACTAGCCTGGCCAACATGGTGAAACCCCATCTCTATAAAAAATACAAAAAGTAGCCGGGTGTGGTGGTGTGCACGTGTAGTCCCAGCTACTCAGGAGGCTGAGGCAGGAGAATCACTTGAACCCAGGAAGGGGAGGTTGCAGTGAGCTGAGATCGTGCCACTGCACTCCAGCCTGGGTGAAAAAGCGAGACTCCACCTCAAAAAAAAAAAAAAAAAAAAAAAGTGCCATCCCTCCTCACCAAGACTACAACACCCAGGACTCCTCTCTCTCCTGTGTCCAGCCCATCTGGCCCCCACACACCACCACCCCCAGCCCTTCTCACCACTTCTCTTCTACACACACTCCATGCCAGCCACAGCCAGAGTAGACTGATTTTCCACTCTCTCAAATGTGCTGTGCTCTCTCACTTCTGAGCTTTCACATGTGCTCTACCTGGAACATTCCTTGCTCTTCACCTGCCTTTTCACCTGGCTAAACCTCTTCTAGTTTCGATTTACAATTTCCTTCCTTGGGATTAAGGCTTTCCTGTCACTTTGGCCTTGGTCATGTGTACCCCTATTACGAGCACCCTATACTTTCCCCATAATAAGTCATACTTTCTACAATTTATTTGTTTGTCTTCCCTATCACACCATAAACTCCTGAAGGCAGGAACTTTGTCTCCTCATCTGCATTCCCAGTGCCTAGAATAGAACCTGGAACATAGTAAATGCTCAGTTAATATTTATATAGGCAGTTGAGTTGACTTACAGGAAAGGGAACATCTCCATTCAGTTCCCCAAGGTTGAGATAGGGAGAGGCATCGTTCCAATCATAAAGAACTGTATGGTCTTGTCTGGGAAATCTGGCTTAGACACCATGACAAAGTGAGCATCTAACAGGTGCCCCAGGGACCTATAGAGACAGCAAGAGTTATAGGAAAGCTGAGCAGGGAGAGATCCCAGCAGTCTAGTAACAGAAGTCTTCCCCTCACCCATAGGACTAGAGGTAGATACGAAAGATGAGGTGTTTTATGCTTAGGGAAGGAAGATGCTAGACAGTGTGGGGGTGGAGAGTGGGCAGCTGGAAGTTAAGAAAGGGGAAGATATGTCTGGAAACAGCAGCCCATGCTGGTGGATTTGAACTACTCTGTCAAGAACCAATGCTGGAGCCAGATCATGAAGGGCCATGAAAGCCAGGACGGGGCCATATATGCAATGGGAGCATGTGAGGGCATCAGGAAAGCAATGTATTGGAACCATCCATCTGGAAGCAGTTTTGGGGGTGGATGAGAAGGGGAAGGACCAGGTGGTGGGGCATGGGGCATGGCCTAGGAGTGAGGACAAAGGGACAGATGCAAGAAACATTTTCAGTGTGGTCACCCAGGGCTGCTGCTTCTGATTGAGTATATGAGATGGAGAAGGGAGGGGTGGACAAAAGAATGAAGGACGACCCATCCATCTCCATGGCTGGAAGATGCTGTGGTCAGAAACCACAAAGGCAGACCAGGTGAGAATTACACATGGCAGATGTAAGGGGAGAGGAGAAGCATTCGTGGTTTTTCAGGACTGAAGGGACTCCATCTCAAAAAAAAAAAAAAAAAAAAAAAAAAGACTGGGAAAAACTTGGGAGGGCTCTATAGAATTGATGCAATGAGTGATATCGTTTGTGTATTTGTCCCCACCCAAATCTCATGTTGAATTGTAATCTCCAGTATTGGAGGTGCAGCCTGGTGGGAGGTGACTCAACCATGGGGGTGGATTTCCATGAATGGTTTGGCATCATCCTCTTGGTGCTGTCCTCACAGTAGTGAGTGAGTTCTTGCAAAATCTGTCTGTCTAAAAGTGTATGGCACCTATGTGACATTCCTATTCCCCTTTTGCCTTCCACCATGATTGAAAGCTCCCTGAGGCTTCACCAGAAGCCAAGCAGATGCTAGCACCACGCTTCCTGTAGAGCCTGAAGAACTGTGAGCCAATTAAACTTCTTTTCTTTATAAATTACCCAGTCTCGGGTATTTTTTTAAGACAGGGTCTCATTCTGTCACCCAGGCTAGAGTGCAGTGGTGCTATCATGGTTCATTGCAGCCTCAACCTCCCAGGAAAAAATGATTCTCCCACCTCAGTCTCCTGAATAGCTGGGACCACAGGCACAAGCCACCACACCTGCCTAATTTTTGTATTTTTTGTAGAGACAGGGTTTCACCATGTTGCCCAGCTGGTCTTGAACTACTGGACTCAGGCAATCTGCCCTCCTTGGCCTCCCAAAGTACTGAGATTACAGGCACAAGCCACTGTGCCAGGCCGTGTCTCAGGTATTTTATTATAGCAATGCAAGAATGGCCTAATACAATAAGAATGTGTCATTTGACCTCAGGAGAGGGTTAAAAAGGGCTATGAGAAAGACTGGCTGTCTAGCCTTGGGCAAGATCTTCAACTGAGGTTGAAGATACCTCAGTTCAAATCCCAGCTGTGTCACTTACTAATTCCATCACTGTAGATGAGTTAATTACCATCTCTGAGCTTAGGCTCCACATCTGTGAAGTGGAAATTATAATACCGAAGTCACAGGAGCTTTGTAGGGAGTAAAATGACCTCTGGAAAGAACCATGTTCAGCTCCTGGTCTGTAGCAGGTGTTCAGCAAAAGTAGCTCATGGAGAGAAGAAGTCAGTGTAAGGAGAAAAAGACGATGGCAGCTGGAGATCCTGGACCCTGGAGCATCACAGAAGCCCAGGAGGGAAAAGCCCTCCAGAAGGTGGATGAACAGTGTCAGGTATTATAGAAAGTTCAGGAGGAACTGGATTGGCAGGAATTACATTACTGAGTCTTTAGAGAGTGCGATTTGGAGTACAAAAAGAACAGGATGTACACTGTACAAAAAGTACAGTGAACAGAATGACAGAAAAAGCAAGACAGAGAAATCACTACAAAGGCCAAAGTCAGGATTTTGGGGCTGCAAATAGATTATCCTATGAACATCATTTGAGCAATAAAGACATCTGATTAACATAACAAGCAGTCTATAGGGTGGCAGCTCCAGAATGAGCTCACTGGCCCCCAGTGTCCCTAAGAATCCAGGCCTTTTTCATCCTTTCTCTACATCCTGAGCACATTGGCTTCTTGTCCTCGGACTTACTGCCCAGAGTTGCAAGGTGGCTGCTGCAGCTCCAAACATCATGTTCTCATATATAAACATCCATGGCAGGCAGAAGGAGGGAGAACCTACTTCCTTTTTTCAGGGAGATAAATCTTTCTCAGAAGCCTCCCAGTAAACATGCCCTTGTATCATATTGACCAGAACCGGGTCCCATGGCCATGTCTAGTTGCAAGGGCAGCCAGGAAGCTCTCCAGCATTTTCAGACTCTATAGGAAGAGGAAGGCAAGGAAGAAGAGGTTGAACATAGCCAGAGATTGGATATGTGACCAACACTACCTACCACACTACTCATTTATGAAATCTGGAAATCATAAATATGGGGACACTGGAGATGATGGGGATGAAGGGGAGAAGTAGGCTCCTACATTAGAGAGAAAAGAGCCCAGGCTTGAGAGAGAAGGAAGGCTGCATCCTTTTCTGCCATAGCCAAGAAGGGTAGAGGGTGGGCCTGGAAACAGACTCTGAAGAGGAGAGAGTAACCTTAACCTTGGCAAAGACAAAAAATGGCTGCTTTGAAGAATGCACTGGAACATTGAGGGGGACCACAATGAGATACCACCCTCTAAATCAACAAAACTTAAAAAGACACCAACCATGGGCTGGGAAGGCTGTGGATCAACAGGAATACTTCTATACTGCCGACGGGAGTATCAGCAGGTACAGCCGCTTTGGAAAACAATTTAGCCTTACTCCATAACCCAGCAATTCCACTCTTAGATCGACACCATTGCATCTGTGGGTCCAGTTACAAACCAAAATGTTCTCAGCAGCACTGTGAAAGAAAAAACCTGAAAACAACCCCAAACATCCTTAGGTCAGAAAATGAATAATTATATCGTGATCTACTCACATAATAGAATAACTATATAACAGTAACTGGCCGGGCACAGTGGCTCATGCCTGTAATCCCAGCACTTTGGGAGGCTGAGGTGGGCAGATCACTTGAGGTCAGGAGTTTGAGACAAGCCTGACCAACATGGTGAAACCCCATCTCTACTAAAAATACAAAAATTAGCGGGGCGTTGTGGCCGGCACCTGTAATCCCAGCTACTCGGGAGGCTGAAGCAGGAGAATTGCTTGAACCAGGGAGGTTCAAGTGAGCCAAGATCGAGCCATTGCACTCCAACCTGGGGGACAAGAGTGAAACTCCATCTCAACAACAACAACAAAGAAGTTACAACACGGATATCAGAAAAACCAGGTTGAACAAAAAAGGCAAAGGAAAGATACATACAGTGTGGTTGTGTTTATATTTACATAAAGTTCCAAAGCATGCAGAAACTAAAACAATATGTTACTTGGGTATATAAACATAAGTGCAAAACTATAAAGAAAAGAAATAAAAAGATAAACACAAAATTCAAGAAAGCGATTAGCTCTAGGCAAACTTGGGGAGACGCAGACGCAGAAATCCAAATGGGAAAGAAATGCTCTCCTTAAACTGAGCGGTGGGTACACTGGTGTTCGCTGTGTTCTCATTCTTTATACTTTACACAGATGCCAGAAATATTCTTTCGTACCCACTGAATAACTAATTAAAACAATTTGAAAATTAAAAAGGAGAGAGAATGCAAGTGAGATGAAGGCACACCTGCGAGCCCACTGTGGGGGCAGAAGCCCTGCCCTTTGCATCACCATCTGGGACCGCCAGAGCTCAGACAACATGGAGTTGAGACAACTAGATGTGTTATGGCTAAAGTCTGGCCAGTTCTGTCTGGGTGTCACTTAGAATGGGGAGAACCTCGCATTTGGGAGGGAAAGGATGGTGGACAGGAGTGGGATGGAGAGAGACAGCCAGACATGAGGATGTTTTTCCTTAAGGAACTAGTGGTGAACAAAAGAAAAGAATTGCTCCCTGCATACAGGGCTTGCCCTGGGCCTGGAGCAGCCCGGCTTCCCACTGAAGCCTCCTGACACGTTTAGGGAGGGGGAATTACCATCTCCATTTCTTTTTAAGAGATAGGGTCTCACACTGTCACCCAGGCTGGAGTGCACATCATAGCTCACTACACCCTGGAACTCCCAGGATCAAGTGATCCTCCCACTTCAGCCTCCTGAGTACCTTGGACTACGGGCTCACATCACTGCACCCAGCTAATTTTTTTTTTATTTTCCATAGAGACAGGTTCTTGCTATGTTGCTCAGGCTAGTCTTAAACTCCTGGCCTCAAGTGATCCTCCTGCCCCAGCCTCCCAAATTGCTGAAATTATAGGCATGAGCCACCGCGCCTGACCTTCCTTCTCCATTTTACCAAAGAGAAGACCTAAGTTATTAACTTGCTTATGCCACACAGCAAGTCAGTGGGAGAGGCAGCTACTTGCAATCATATGTAACCTCCTCCCAGTCTGGGCTGCCGGCCCTCCAGCTTCAGCTCATGCCCACTGCCCTTCCATCCATCCTTCTACTCAGCCAAGACTCTCCTGCCCAGGGGTTTGCACATCCTGTCACCTTTTTCAGAAACCGACCTCCCACATCTTTCCCTAGCAGGGTCTTTCCCATCTTCAGGTCTCAGCTTCAATGCCACCTGCTCAGAGGCCCCTCTTGACCACCCCACTTCAGTGGGACCCCTTGTTACTCTCCTTCCCTGGACTCTGCCATTTGCCCTCCTTGTGCCTCAACTGTCCATATGCATCAGCTGCTTTGCTTGCTTACTGTCTTTCCCATGCACTGGAACATATGTCCCCTGAGGGCAGGGAATGCATGCCTATATTTACCATGGCATCCCCACTGCCCAGCTGTAGATCTGGCATATGGCAGGTCTTTGACAAATGTTTGTTAAATAAACGAACAGCTGAACTAGAGTAGTGAAAGAAGGCTGAGACAAGAGACATGCAGACAGACTCAGACCCATGTCCCCGCTCAGAGAGGTGTCTATCCACACCCTCTGTGCCCAGGAGAGCAATTGGAAAGCCCCTTCTGCCTTCAGACTAGCGTCTGGGCAGTCCTGGATGCCCAGGAAGGGAGGAGGTAAGACCCTCCAGATGGCATTGTTACTGGCAGCTTGGGCAACCCCTGCCCAGTGGGGATGTTCCCTCCCTCCATCTGCTCCTAATGAGATCTTTCCTGACTGCAGCATTGGGCTCTTGGCAACCACTGTTCCAGAGGGTACCCTGCAATTGGAGGGTGTTCAGAGATGAAATATCTGAAACAATGCAGGAACAAGGGAAATGGAATAATTATAACAGATGAAAAGACGCACACTCTGGGCTTTGCCAAGTTAAGCAAAATAGGATAATTGCATGCAAGGCTCCAAGGGGTGTGAAGGCCTTTGAGGGAGGGGAAGTATTGGGGATAACATGAGAGGGTATAATTATGCAAAATGGCATGAGATGAATCCCTGGGAATTTTAGGCCTAGTGGCAGGAACCATTTTCTCCCAGCAAAAGCTCTGAGGTTGGACAGCAGTTTCCTAATGGAAGGAGTGGAGTCCCACACTGATGGCATTTAAGCCGATGTTAAGCCAAGCCAAGCCTGGAGACTCTACGAGTACACTGGCCTTATTCTAGAAAGCTGGGATCAGGTGTTAGGGGGCAGAGGTGATCTGATGGCAGGGTGGTGCAATGGTCATTTGCACAGCCTTTCTGGTCAGCAAGAGCTGGATTCCAGTCCCAGCTGGCAGCCTTCTAGCTGTGTGTGACCTTGGGCACATGGCTCAACATCCCAGGGCCTCAATTTCTGCATCCATGAAATGGTGACAATACTACCTGTGCTATAAGGCTATCAGGATGATTAAATGTGATAACATATAAGCTCATGTCACAGTGCCGGGTATACAGGAAGAAGGCATTAAGTGTCAGCTACAAAATCTGCGTGGAGCCACTCATTGGATTTTGCTAGGATATCTGGTCCATGCTAGAAGGAGGATACAGGCAGATCCCTGGAATCCCAAGGCTTTGATTGGCTCTGAGGTCCAACTTCCTGCAGGAGCTGCTTGGGAAGTGCAGGTGATAGCAGGCCCCAGCTCAGACATCATAGCTCATAACAGTGTGAGATTTCTGAGAACTGGAAACCCTCAGCAGGAGAGGCTGGTTAGGCAGGTGCCACATCTTCCTTTCCTTTATTTTCTAGGCAGGGAAAACCAACCAAACTCCAGCCTTTTACTGGCACCGTGGGCACAAGGCCATCTGGCCTCAGGACCCTACTGGAGAGATGAGTGTTTTTTTGTAAGCATCTGTGCCAGAACAGGTTTACAGAAGGACCCAATGTCTAGTTTATAAGTGCCTGTTAAGAGTATTTCAGAGATGAATGGACTCACTTCCCACAAACCGAGGGAAGATGAGAGTCTGACCAGGTGGGAGGAAGCCAGGCCAGCCAAGCCTCAGCAGCAGAGAAGCTCCTCCCCCTGAGTGTTCTGGTCGGGACACAGGTGATTCCTGGCTCCCTGTCTTGTAGCCTCTGAAACTGACTTGGCTCCCAAATGTCTTAGAATGAAAGCAGGGAAGGGGCATTTCCTTCAGCCGACAATGAAAACATAAGAAACCATGTGATAAAAGCAGCATAAACAAAGTGCTATATGGGGAACAAAGGAACAGTGTACAGTCCTTCCTTTTCTGCACAAAGCTTCTTGGGAGGTGTGGGACCTGGGAGGGGTGGGACCTGGGAGGGGTGGGATCTAGGAGGTGTGGGACCTGGGAGGGGTGGGACACGGGAGGTGTGGGATCCGGGAGGTGTGGGACCTGGGAGGTGTGGGATCCGGGAGGTGTGGGATCCGGGAGGTGTGGGATCCAGGAGGTGTGGGACCTGGGAGGTGTGGGATCCGGGAGGTGTGGGACCTGGGAGAGGTGGGATCCGGGAGGTGTGGGAGCTGGTAGGTATGGGACCTGGGAGGTGTGAGAAGGCTATTTTGACCAGCAGAGTTGGGAGGAGAGCAGTCCAGACTACAGAAAGAGCACGGACAGAGGCGTGGAGAGGAGGCAGTCAGCAAGTTCTTGTAACCGGCCCATTTGGAATTAGAGACCATCCTGATCCTCACCAATCCCCACGTGAGTTGCTCCCTGTGACTTTCTACCTGATCCGGTATGGGGATGTGGGACAAGACATGGAGGCAGGAAATGAAAGTGGGGTTCCCTGTGGGGTCCCCAGCACACTGTTCAGGCTGGTGGGGTGCAGTGGAGACAGCAATGGATGGGGAGTCAGGAAATCCAGGTTTGAACCCTAGCTCAGTCCTTTACAAGCTGTGTGACCTGTGACAGGTAACAGGCCCTCTCTGGACCTCGGGCTCTCCATCATTGACAGAGGCAGGTGGGCCTCATGACCCTCAGGGCTCTCCCAGGCCTGACACCCTGAGATTTGCAAATTCTCCTGCGTTCTAGCTGTTCATGTGTGTCTGGGTTTCTGTCCCTCATTTGAGTCATTTTACAAACAAGAGAGCAGGAAATCAGGATCCTCGAGAGGTCTGTGAAATTGAAGTCACTGAGTGCCAGAGGATCTACCAAACACAACAGGCAGAGACTTCCCTATGGCTCCAGGGTGGCCAGCTTCATCAGCCCTGACTGCCCAGACAGAAAGAGCAAGGTGGGAGAAACAGGTTCTGCATGGAGAGCCACAGCCAGAGAGATGCTGGATCCCAGGAGGAGGAGGCTTCGCCTGTGCCCAGGGCAGGTTCTAGGGGACCAGCTGGCTCCTGCATTGCTTCAGATAGCCCTGGGATAGCTGGGTACCATTGATGGCTCAGCACTCAGCAGGGAGAAGACCTGACCCACATCCTGGTGCAGCAGGAAACCACTCGCATTTGTTTACCCTTACTCTGTGCCAGGCCCCAAGCCAAGGGCCTCATATCCATCATTTCACTTAGTCCCCCCAGCCATCCTGGGAGGAGTGGTACCTCTGCTACACCCCTTCTACAGATGGGCAAGGAACTTCCCCAAGAGGACACATCCAAGTAGGAAAGTCAGGATTCCAACTCCAGTCTATCTGATACCTGATCTTGTCCTCTTTTCAGAGGAGTCTCCACTCCTCTAGTGGGAATCCAGAGACTGGAGCCCAGCCTATTCCAAAATCCCACCACTGCCAGCCTGCAATTCCATTTGCCACTCCTCTGAATGAAAGCACTGTTGTCTCCTGAAGGTCCCAGAGGGACACAATAAATGGAGAAGGTATCGGACTGTCAGTCACTCCAACAGGCCAGGCTATAAGCAAGTGGGACATGGGCCAACAAGGTTTGACAGGGGATGAGGCTGGGACTATTGGGAGGGGAGGGGGTCTGAGAGACACCTGCAGGTGCTCCAGGAGGTGTGCCTAAAGAAAGAGGAGCTTGGTACAGCAGAGTGACTGAGTGACTGCGGTACCTTACTCCAATACTTGGGTGCAGCCCAGTGATCTAGAAAGAACAGCTCCCTGGGGCAGAAATGCACAAGGCCAGAGAGCTTTTAGAGAGAAGGCCTCTCTGGCAGAAGGAGTTTCGGCTGGCTAGGGAAGACTGCAGCTGGGGCCCTGCTCCCAGGATCTAAATCAGGCCACCCAGGCTCCAGGGCCCCCAGGCACTGGACTGCTTTGGGAACTGGGGAAATTCCTCCGGAATGAGATGGCACACAGGCTGCCAGCCATCCTCCCGCGATGCTCACTGAGCTTCTGGCAGGGAGGGAGCCCAGAGCCAGCAGAGGGGCTGCATTTTGAAATCAGTGGGATGACTGCAGGTGGGAGAGGCTGTCAGCAGGAATCCTGCAGCTCCGGGGCTCCTGTGGAAGAGACGGGAGGGATGCAGGAAACGCCTTTCCTAAGAAGCACAGCAAGCTTAGAGGATCCTGGTCATGGCCCAGCCACACCAGCGGGGGGGGCTGGCCCAACCTATCCTCCAGAGATCATATAAAAAATAATAACATATTGCTGAGCACCAATTCTGAGCTAGACGCTGGAGATACCGTGGGGCAAAAGACAGGCAAAGGGCCCTGCTCTCATTATGTTCTAACGGGAGTAACAAGCAATGCAACACAAATACATAATAAACTAGAAGGTGATCAACACTTAGAAGGGATATAGAAGAGGGAGGAAAGATGGGGAGGGGGGGCAGGGTGCTGGCAAGGGCCAGGGGGCAGTTTGCAATTTTAGGCAGCACAACCAAAGACCTCACTAAAGAGGTGACGTGGCTGGGCATGGTAGCTCACGCCTGTAATCCCAACATTTCTGGGGGACAAGGCAGGAGGATTGCTTGAGCCCAGGAGTTTGAAACCAGCCTAGGCAACATGGTGAGACTCTATGTCTACAAAAAATTTTAAAAGACTAGCTGGGCATGGTGGCGCATACCTGTGGTCCCAGCTACTCAAGAAGCCAACCCAGGAGGATTGCTTGAACCCAGGAGGTTGAGGCTACAGTGAGCCATTATTGCACCATTGCACTCCAGCCTGGGTGACAGAACAGGACCTTGTCTGAAAAAAAAAAAAGTGACATGTGATTGAAGACCTGAAGGAGGCTAGATAGGGCAAGCCATACGGACACCTGGGGAGGAGCATTCCAGGTGCAGGAGCAGCAAGTGCAAAGGCCCTGAGGCAGGAGTACTCTGGCAAGTTCCAGGCATGGTGAAGAGGCCAGCAGCTAGAGCAGAGTGACAGGAAGGGAGCAGCATGGGAACACAGGGAGTATGCTAAGGGGCAAATCAAGTCAGGCAGGGCCTGAAGACTGTCACAAGGATTGTGGCTTTTCCCTTGCATGAAAGGGGAGTCCCTGGAGGCTTGTAAGCAAAGGAAGGATATTATCTGCCATATGTCTTAACAGAACTACTCTTGCTACTGTGTTGAGAACAGATGAAAGAAAACTGGGAAACCCAGTTATTATTATCACCATCACCATCACCATCACCATCACCATCACCAACTATAGCAGCAACAGCCAGTTACTGCCCCTGCACCAGGCTCACTGCCACCCACTTCACTGTTACTGTCTAGTTTACATCTCACAACAACCTGTACAGACAGACGGCCTTATTTCTCCCATTTTATAGCTGAGGAAACTGAGGCTTGGCCAAAGTCAGAAGGTCACACAGATACACGCCCTCCATAATCCAGCCCACGCTCTGGCTCCTCTGCCCAGCCTCGTCTCCCACACCTCCCTTCTCACCTGCACCCAGCCTCCCACCCCAGGGAGCTACTCCCAGTTTCCCCAACTCCACGCATCCTTCCAGGCCTCTGATTTTTTTCATATGCTGTTCCAGCTGCCTAGAACTCTTTTCTCCCATACCTAACTGGCATGTGAATTTCAACCCATCTTTTGAGAGACAACTCAAACTTTGCCCCTTTGGGGGACCCCTCCCTGATTGCCTCCAGCACAGCAGCTCATGGCCACCTCCCCAGAAATATGAGGCATTGCAACTACTGCGCAGCTGGCCTCCCACATACCATGTGAGCGCATGGCCGGGGGCTGGAGCTCATCAACCTCAGTTTCCCCAGCAATCAGTTTTGCAACCTGACAGGTCTCAGGCTCAAATCCTGCTGACACTCTGTTGGCCTAGGTGATTTTAAATTTCTCTGTTGCAATTTAATTCTGAGTCACACTTCCTTCATGCATGTCCATTTCTGTGCACGTACCCCTGACCTTGGACAGATACACGCAGAGCCTTGAGCTGATGGGTGCCATTGAGCTTCAGAAGAACGATGCTTGTAACAGAGGAGGAGGTGCACGATGCAGAGGGAGCCCTGTGCATTTTAGAATCAGCCAGACCTGAGTTCACATCCCGTTCTGCCTCTCACTGGCTGTGTGGCCATGAGCAAATCATTTAACATGGGCCTTCCTATCTTTGTCTATAAATGAGGCAAGTGATATCCACTCCCATGAGTTTTGTGAAATCTGGAAATTGTACAAATGCAATGCCTGGCCCTGAATGTGCCCTCAAGATGTGGCATTAATGTCTCCTTGCCTGTCCCGTCCCTAACCCCAGGAGTATCCTATACATTACACTTGTCCACCGTGCTCTTGGGAGGCCTCATGGGCCTCAAGGGCTAGTGTACTAAGCCAGAATCCCCCACTTCTGGCCCCAGTCCTCTCTCTGAGGCAGGGCCTATAGTTTCCTGGCAGTTTCCCCTGCCCTGGGACCTGGAACCCTGCCCCTGGCCGGCCCCACTGCCTGGAAGGTCCACGTGCTCACTCCTTCCCGCCCACCAACTGCCCTGCCTCCATTGCTACCAGGCCTTCCTGCCTGATTAGCCAGGACAGCCACACTTCCAGCAGACAGTGGGAAACAAGTAACTAAGGAGGGGAGATGCCACAGCAAGGAACAGGTCAGAACAACATTTGATGCCAGTCACTAGGCAAACACCCCAGATCCTGGTCACTCAAGGTATTGTAACATGCCAGGTCAGGGAGGATTTGAAGGTGCAACGCCCTCACTTTACAAATGAGAGGCCCAGAGGGGGTAAGACACTAGCTCAAAGTCACACAGCGAGACAGGAGGAGGCTTTGGACTTGCCCCTGGCCGCACTCTTCCTACTGCACCAGGCTCCCCCTCATCAGGGGCCACGTTTGTTTTTTGTTTTTTGTTTCTTTTTTCTCCAGATGGACTCTGGCTCTGTCACGCAGGCTGGAATGCAGTGGCACAATCTCGGCTCACTGCAACCTCCGCCTCTTGGGTTCAAGCAATTCTCGTTCCTCAGCCACCCATGTAGCTGGGATTACGAGTGTGCACCACCACACCTGCTAATTTTTGTATTTTTAGTAGAGATGGGGTTTTGCCATGTTGGCCAGGCTGGTCTTGAACTCCTGGCCTCAAGCAATCCTCCAGCCTCGGCCTCCCAAAGTGTTGGGATTACAGGCGTGAGCCACCGCACCCAGCCAGAGACTACTGTTGAACTGGACTGACCGCAGGAGCAAAGCAGCTTGTTGAAGGCCCTGTAGCTCTGTTTCCCTTGAAAGATATCAAAACCCTTTCAGCATCTTAATCCCCAAAGGCATGACACCTGACATCAGTCTCTTGAGTGGCCTGCAGGGAAGCCATTGTCCAAGCTGTGTGCAGCCACCAAATCCACTGACTAAGCTCTGAATCCGCAGTCTCCTGAGGTTGCCGTTTGTTCTCTGTCTATGGACTGCTACTACATGTGCAGCTGCACTGTGCTTGAAACCTCAACAGCGTATCTCAGGGGTGGGTAAGGGAGGCTGGGATAAATGGAGCCCCAGCCTCTGAAGGCCTGACGTGGAGGTTGTGCAGCTCATCCCTGGGGAGTCCTATCTAGTGGGGGCTCGGGGGGCGACTCGGGGATCTGTACCATAAGCAAACTCCTCCAGGGATTCTGATGTGCTGCCATGTTGGGGACCACCAGCCTAATCCAGCCCTTCCCTCATGGAGTCCCCTCCTCCACACCCTCACAGAAGACCACTCATCGGGGGACTGGGAGCTCATCACCTCACAGGTGGCAGTGCCCCAGCAGTGAGTACACAGGCTGTGCCACGCTGAAATCTGCGTCCAGAATCCTCGTCTGCCCTCTGTGGCTGACCAGTCAAATGTCTCTTCTTCCTCAGGAACAAAATCAGACCCTATTGCAGCCCTGTGTCCAACCGCTGGCCGCCCAGATACTGTTCCTGCCCGGGGGGCTCCTGGTGTCCCCTTAGGCCTGACAAGGGAGAGACTCTCCGTGTCCAGCACGCAGGCTCCATTTGCGGGTAACTGCTCCTCCTCCTGCCCCACCCACACACGCCCATCTGTGCCAGACACCGCCGAGCACCAGGACACAGTGTCCTCCCCAGCCTGAGACCAGAGCAGGCCTGATCAGGAACACGCAGGACCCTGCCTTCTCTGCCCAGTGGCCTCTTGCTCCTGGTGCCATCGTGTCTACTTGAGATATTTCCAAATAGAGAATATAGAAACAATGAGCATTCCTCCCAAGAAACCGGGCTTGAAATCAGAACACCTGGGTCCTCCCAGGGCCCCCATCACTTCCAGCTATGGGACCTTGAGCGAGTCCCAGGGCCCATCTGGTGAATGGGGCTGCTGAGGGAAATTCAGACAAGCATCAGAGCCCACCGTGCCCTTCCCTCTCGGTGTCAGGTGTTTTCTGCCTTTGCCTGAGCCGTGGCCACACTCCCTTGCTAATCCTTCAGACGACTGACACGTATACAGCTGTTGCCCTGGCCTGAGACCCTGATGTGGCCTGACCGGCATGGGCCCCTACCCAATGCACTAACTAGCAGCAAATGAGCCTTATTAAAAAATATTTGAGGCCGGGCATGGTGGCTCATGCCTGTAATCCCAGCACTTTGGGAGGCCGAGGTGGGTACATCACTTGAGGTCAGGAATTCGAGACCTGCATGGCCAACGTGGCAAAGCCCTATTTTTACTAAAACAAAAAAAAAATACAAAAATTAGCCAGACGTGGTGGCGTGCGACTGTAATGCCAGCTACTTGAGAGGCTGAGGCAGGAGAATCACTTGAACCCGGGAGGCAGAGGTGGCAGTGAGCTGAGATCGTGCCACTGCACTCCAGCCTGGGCAACAGAGCAAGACTCTGTCTCAAGAAAAAAAGAAAAGAAAAAAGGCCAGGTGCAGTGGCTCTCACCTATTTATAATCCCAGCACTTTGGGAGGCTGAGGAGGGAGAATTTCTTGAAGCCAGGAGTTTGAGACCAGCCTAGGCAACACAGGGAGACCACATCTCTACAAAAACTTTTAAAATTAGACGGCTGTAATGGTGTGCGCCTGTAGTCCCAGCTACTCAGGGGGCTGGGATGAAAGGATTGCTTGAGCCTGGGAGGTTGAGGCTGCAGTGAGCCAAGATCGCACCACTGCACTGCAGCCTTGGCAACAGAGCAAGACTATCTCTAAATAAAAAAAATTTTTTTTTAATAATTGCATAGAGCTGCCTAGCACAGTGCAGGGACATGAGGGTTCAGTAAATATTTGTGGTATCTAATTTAGGAACACCAACCTGTACCCACCAAGGAGAATAAAAAATATACCTTAGTACTCACCTAGTTCAACCTTTTCATTTTACCAATGAGGGTTCCCAGAGAAGGGAAGTGACTCATCCCAGGTTTCCCAGCAACTTTAGTCCATAGTGGCTCAGTTTGCCCAGCCAGAAATCCCCAATGCTCCCATCGAAGGTTGTGGCGCTGACAACATCACAGCTGAGAGGAGGACTCCATGGTGCCCAGAACCCCCGCAGCGCCATTCACCAGAGGTGGACAACACTCCCTCCCGGCATCCCCCTGGGCCTGGCTTCTGACCAGAACCCTGCCCTGGACATCTCAAAAGCCCTCAGGACCTCGGTGCTGCCACCTGCTCACAGAGTGTGGCGGGTACGGGGGTGGACAGCCCACGTCCCTCTGCCAGGTTATTTATAAAGTGTTTTCAGATGAGTCAGGCACGGAGCTGCCCAGCACCACCAGGGACTACCCCCTAGAAATGCTAGAATGATCCTGAGCTCTGGAACCCCACCCCACCCCTTCATAGCCTGCTTCTCATGGAAAGCTAGAGGCAGGAAGGTGAGGCCAGGGCTCTGGGGCTGTTGTGATGCCCCCCGTGAGCCCGGGCAGGCCAGGCTTGGGAGACAGATGGGGAGGCCCCAGGAAGGAGAAGAAGGGCCTCGGACAGGCCCCCTCCGGGCCACAGACCACATGCCCCTTCCCCTTCCCCCTCCCAAACAAGAATGACGGGACAAGCCCAAGAAGACAACCCCCACCCTGTGCCCCAGGCGCTGGCTGCTCGCACCTCCATTCCTGTGTGTACTGCTCTCCGCCTCCGCCAGGAGCCCAGCTATTTCTATCTCTATGGAAAGGGAGCCCAAGCCTCCAAGCCTCCTGCCCCCCTTTCCTGCTCCTGGCAGTGCTCTAATTAACTCCTCAGCTGGATGCCGCCTGCCATGGGTACTCTGGCCAGGGCTGCCATGAATAACTGCACCTGCGCTCACACCCAGCTTCCCACAGAGGCTGGGCCCAGTGCCCCTGCAGAGAGTGTGACCACTGGGAGCCTGGTCCTGGGGGCCTGGACTCCCCCGGCTATGCACTCTCCTTTGGGAGCCTGAGCTGAGGGCATATGGGGGTCTTTGGGACCCACCCTCTCCTCTGCAGCCTCCACCACAACCCTGCAGGGGCTACTTGCTGGTTCAGCAATCCTGCTGTGTGCCTGGCATGGGGCTCAGACCTGAGCAGGGAAGGAGTCGGGAGGGCAAGGAGATGAATAAGCCTGTCCTCCCTCAAGGGAGGCAAACACATAAACAACTCATTATGCAATGAGAAGGAATGAAGTTAGTGCTAAATTAAGGTACAAGCTGGGCACCAAGACTGCAGGCCCTCAATTCTTCCCCACTTTTTTTTCTTATTATAAAAGCAATTCATACTCATTTTACAAAGAATTTATATATGCAGATAACAAAAAGAAAATTATAATACATTCTTTATCCATCCACTCAAGGACAACTTTGTCCATACCTGTGGCCCAGACTTCCAAACTTTTTTTAACAGAGCAAGGACAGGTCACAGATCTGAGGGTCTCTCCTCCAGGGACCACCCGCCTGGCTCTGGGACAGTCTTTCCAACTTGAAATTCACAAGAAATGCATAGAAAGATTTCAAAGCAAATAATATGGATAGTATGACAAGTTCATGTAAAAAGAAAAATCCCAAAACTCTATCAATGCCTGGAAAATGTCTGGAAAGATACTTACTAAAGGGTCAACATTTATCAGCTAGGGGGAAAGTGATGGAGGAGCAGATAGACTTTTTTCTGCTAGAAATGTCTTTGAATTGTTACAATAAGCATGGATTTATATAAACTTTATGATTTTTTAAAATGAAAACTTTTTTAAAAAAATTGCTCAAGGCATAATTTCCAAATTTTCTATGGCGTTGTCTTATCTTTGCACTTAGAATAATATAATATGAAAACTAAAAGGAGGTACAGCCACTGTGGAGAGCAGTTTGGCAGTTTCTGCAAAAGGTAAACAGAATTTCCGTATGACCCACCAACTCCACGCATTTGGATATGCTCGAAATGACTGAAAACAGGGACTCCCCTTGTTCACAAATGTTCATCACAGCACTATCCACAGTAACCGAAAGGTAGAAACAACTCAATGTCCATCAACGGCTGAATGGATAAACAAATCGTGTTATGTACATGCAATAGAATATTACTCAGCTATTAAAAAGAAATAAAGTGCTGACACTTGCTATAACATGGATGAAACTTAAAACATTACGCCAAGGGAAGGAAGCCAGACATAAAAGGCCACAGAGTCTATGATTCCTTTGAAATGAAATGAACACAATAGGTAAATCCATAAAGGGAGAAAGCAGATGAGTGGTTACCAGAGGCTGGGGGGAGGGAGAGAATGAGGAGTGATTACTTAATGGGCACAGGGTGTTTTTCTGGAGTGACGAAAAATTTTGAAACTAGTGGTTTTGAAACTGGTGGTTGTACAACATTGGGAATATACTAAATGCCACTGAATTGTATAATTTTTATTTATTTATTTATTTATTTATTGAGACAGGGTCTCACTCTGTTGCCCAGACCAGAGTGCAGTGGGGTGATCTCGGCTCACTGCAACCTCTGCCTCCCAGGCTCAAGCCATCCTCCCATCTCAGCCTCCCACCCCCAGCTCCCACACCACCACACCCAGCTAATTCTTCTACTTTTTGTAGAGACAGGGTTTCACCACGTTGCCCAGGCTAGTTTCAAACTCCTAGACTCAAGTGATCCTCCCACCTTGGCCTCCCAAAGTGCTGGGATTAGAGGTGTGGACCACCACACCCAGACTGAATTGTACACTTTAACACGGTTCCTTGTATGTTATGTGAATTTTATCTAAAAAAAAAAAAAAAAACAAACAAACAAACAAAAAAAACCACAATGAAACATTAAAAATAATAAAAACAAAAACAAAAGCAAAAAGCTTAGTCTCACTCAACTTTCATGCCCCCCAACCCCTGACCACCTGGCCTTCGAGGGTCTTGAAGGAAAAATCTTCAACCTGCCCACTGGCAGGGCCAAGCCACTTGGCTCCCAGAAGGCCTTGGAGAGGCAGGGGCAGTCCAAGGGAGAAAAGTACCCCCAAGTAAGAGAGGGGAGAGGAGCGCAGAGGCAGGAGCTGGGCCAGGCAGACAGAAGAGGGAAAGCAGCCATCCTGCACCAGGCACCACACTCCCGAGGAACCCTCGGATATCCCTGAGAGGTCAGAACTGCTATCCCATTCTTCAGATGAGAAAACCAAGGTTCAGTGTGGCTTGGAGGCAGGGCTGGGACCTCCTGACTCCAAGGAGGAGAGGCAGGGGAACCTGGCATAGCCCCAGGTTGTTTTCTATTTGTTCCATCTATTTTTTTCCCCTTTTCTGCCTTCTTTTGGACTATTTTTGATTATTCCATTTTATCTTCTTTATTGGCTTAGCAGCTGTAACTCTGCTATTTTAGCAGTTGCTTTAGTGTTTATAGTACACATCTTGACCTTTTCACAATTTACCTTCAAGTGATGTTGTGCCACTTCACATCGAGTATAAGAACCTTACATTTACAGAATTTACTTCCATTTCTCCCCACCTGGCCCGAGTTCCCCCTCTCTGGGTTGTGGCCGAAAACACTCTCCAGGTAGTAAGCAGAGACAACCATAGAGCTCTGTGGGACCCCTGAATCTTGTAGCCTAATGTCTAGTGTCTTGAAAACCATTATTTCATATGTTCTGTCTGTTTTTTAAAAATTGTTTCAGGCAGGAGTATAAATCCAGTCCCTGCTACCCTGTCTTGGCCAGAAGCAGAAGCCCCCAACATGCATAGGAGGAAACCAGGACTCAGAGGCTAATCCCCTCACCCAAGGTGAGGGAGCCCATAAGTGGACAGGCAGGAATCCAACCAGCCCTGGTGCTCTCTTCCCTGGCCCACTGCTCCTGCATGAACCAACTGAGAATGCAGAAACCACTCTCAGTAGGAGAAAGTGAACTTTTGTCACCACAGCAAAAAGCTGCTCACAGCATTGTTACTGCTTTGGAAGCCAGTGGGACAATTCTTTTGCATAAAGTTACCCATTAAAGAGCAACTTTCAGCATCTTCCAAGCCTCACCTTAAATGCTCTCTCTTTGCATCTACAGAAGCCTCTGTGGCATATTCCCCACGGTGTTTGCTGTCTAGCAGGATGCATAGGTCTGCTGAGAATGTAGGATCAGCCCCCTATAAAAGTACTCTGTAACCTATAATATGCTGTAACAGATGGAATTGTCTCCCCACTTACCCTCCCATGAGTATTTTCTGGCTCAATCTAATCACCTAGGTGGTGGAATTGCGGTAACTCTGAGTGTGTGTATGTGTGCATACGTGTGTGTGTGTGTGTGTGTGTGTGTGTGTGTGTGTGTGAGAGAATTTGGAGGCAAGGAGGAGGCCCGTTTTTATCACACTAGTCAACTCACTTTACGTTCAGGGATCTATTTGTCTTTAAGCAGAGGGAGAGGTATTTTTCCTTAAAATCACTTGAGGCAGCTGGCTGAGGCCAGATTCCGACAGAATCTGATGGGGGACGGGGCCTAAAATAGCCTTCAGCTCCTCCCCACCCTCTATCTTGCAGGCAGAGAGGAGTCGGGGCCCAGTTCTTTCCCAAGCCCTCTCCTCCACCAGCTGACCCCAGAAATACTTTATTTAGAAAATCAATCTGAAAGCAACAGGAAGGACTTTCATTCCTACCAGCACCTTGTCACACATCAATTTCATTTAAGGCTCTACAATTCCACAGCTGTGAGGCGCAGGCAAAGTCCTTAGCCTGGCCAAGACTCAAGCTCCTCATCTGTAAACTCCCAGGACTGACCGTTAAGTGGCAAACATGATGCATGTGGCACAGATTGGGAGCTTGAATCTTAGGCTTCTTTCCGTCCTCCTCATAGTCCATTCACCTTGTTGAATGTTGACAACAGCATTCAGCTATTGGTGTTACCAGCAAAAGTGTTACCCAGGCCGGGCACGGTGGCTCACTCCTGTTATCCCAGCATTTTGGGGGGTCAAGGCGGGCAGATCACCTGAGCTCAGGAGTTCGAGACCAGCCTGGCCAACATGGTGAAAACCCGTCTCTACTAAAAATACAAAAATTAGCCAGGCGTGGTGGTGAGCACCTGTAATCCCAGCTACTCGAGAGGCTGAGGCAGGAGAAACACTTGAACCTGGGAGACGGAGGTTGCAGTGAGCCAAGACTATGCCACTGTACAATCGGAATGAGTGAGACACCATCTCAAAGAAAAAAAAAAACAGCATTACCCTTAGAAGTCTGTGTCCTGCTTGTCGGTCTGTTGCTTCCAACTAAAACAGATGGAAGGAAAACCCATAAACAACACCCTCCCTGCTCCATCCAGATCAGAGGTTTTCAAAGTTTGCTGCCCATTAGAATCCCCTGGGGAGTTTTAAAAATCCCAACACCAGCTGCACCCCAGATTCATTAAATCCAAATCTCTGGGGATGGGGTCCTGGCATCAGGAAATGTTAAAGCTTCCCGGGGGCTTCCTGTGTGCAGCTGGGGTTGAGAAGCCATGGTCTGGTGTGAGAGGTCCTGAATGCTCTGCCTGCCCCACCCTCTCCTTCACCTGCAATCCCAGCACATCCCTCGGGCTCCCTGAGTGCAGTAACCAGGATGCAGGACCAGACAAGTTTGGGAGAGTGGGACATTTAGGGAGCCCGCATTCTCAAGTTCTGGCAGGAGTGGGTGGGGAGTGGGCCCTTCACCACCCTGAGAATGAGGGCCTCCCATATTTTGCTCCCCAGGAACCTCATTATTAAGGAAATGCTCTCTTGCTGGGCCACTTCAAGAACCTGAGCATAAGCGCCTCCTTACGTACGCCCTGGCCACCACGAGGGTGCCTCCCTACCCCTGCCCCTCCTTACCTACAAAGGGCCATGATTCCAGCCCCCTGGCCAGAGCCCAGCAACTGTCAGGCCACCTGGCTGAGAGGCAAGCACACCCATCAAAGGGAAGAGGAGACAAGGTGTCCCTTACCAGCCAGCCAGCCACCATCCCATTTCTCACAGCTGGCCCACTGCCTGGGTGGCAGTTCAAAGATTCTGGAAAATGAAAAGACTTGGCAAGGCCAAGCATGACCTTTCCTCCAGGTGCAGGAGCCAGAAGGCTGGAGAAGATGATTCTCATGCCCTCAGCTTGGTGGGGGCCCCAGCTGTGCCTGGAAGCAGGGTGTCCAAAACAAGACTCCATCAGGGGACTAGAAGGAGGAGTTGGGTCCCCAGTCTTGCCCTAGAAAACACAGTTTGTGTCAGACCCATGGCCTGCTAAGCCCCGGCCTCCTTTTCTCATACTTGAGTGAGCAGGGCATCACCTGGGGACCTTCCCTCCAGGCTCTGCTGCAGTGGGGCTGCATTTTGAACCAACACCCCCAGGTGATCCTAATCCAGGTAGTCCATACTTTGAGAACCACTACCCTGGGCCTTGGTGGGATAATATCTCAGCATCTTGCTCTCCTGCCCATTCCCCCTCCCCCACACTATCATCCTCTCCAGAGAGCATCTGCCGAGAAGAGCATCACCCTCAAGAGGAAGAGCCTGAGTAGGTTTGGACAGGCACCCTCCAACCGGTGACCAAGCCTCACTGCCTCTCCTGTGAGGCCTTCACCAACTCTTCCCATCCATTCAAATTAGCAGAGATATCTACATTTCTGTAGTAGCAGAAATGTACATACCTAGGCCAGCAGGTATGAGGCCAGAGGGATGGTAGGTACTGTAGCAAACTGGAGAAAGCGTGCCGTGCCCACTCCTACCTGCTGCTGTGTAGCAGGCTGGGGTTGCCAGATCTCCTGATTTGTCAGGAGAAGTCAGGAATCTAGTTTTTATAGGCAATTTCCAGGTTTTTAAACTATGGGAGCCAAAGCCAGCACATCCAAGGTCCCAATCTGGCCTGTGGGCCACCCGTTAGCAGCCTGTCTAGGAAGTGGGCCCGCGGGATGAGAGGCCCTGCCTGTGGGCATCCTCACACAGTTGGCGTTAGCACATTGCCTGCCTGCATCCCCGGGGTCCCAGGAAATACCCCTGACATGAACAAGTGAGTGAACACATGGTGTTGGCAGGCAGGCGAAAGGGATATTTTTGTAGGGAAGGGCGACTTCCCACCATACCACACCTAAGGTCAGCCTTGTCAGCAGGGGTGGGGTCTGTCCTCCGTCATTCTCAGTAGAGGGCCAAGCTAATGCCTAATTCACCACCCCACACTTAACTGCCACTTCTAACATTGTGGGTGTTCTGTGAGCACCCCCCATTGTGCAGACCTCTCTTGGGTCTGTAGCTTTATCCACTCCTTCTCTAAAGCCCCCCAGCTTGGCCTGACTTCAGGCCACTTCTCAGAAACCTTTGCCCAGGGCACCCCATCCCCAGCCCATTCCCAGCTCCTCCAAGCCCTGCAATGCAAGAGCCAGCAAAGCCACAGAGCCGCCCCTGGGAGCAAAGGCCTGGTCTCGGTGCCCGCAGGAATATCCCAGGACACACCCTGCCAAGGGAGGTACATCTGAGGCTTCTGCCACCTCAGGAGATGACAGTAGACAGTCACCAGTGATGTGCCAGGAGGGAGGAGCCCAGCCCATCAGAAGAAGGGCTGAGAGGCTGCTTAAAACTGATCAGAAAAAGACGTGAAAGTCCTAAGGGAACAATGTAAAGCACATGGTATATAATACCCGCCCCATGTGAAGTTCAATGGCAGCTGCTGCATGTGAGCACAAGCTGGGTTGATGGGGGAAGCGGGTGGGGGCATGGGGAACCCTCTGGAGTGATGGAAACCATCCATATCCTGATTAGAGCGGTGCTTGCACTGATGTACAAATATAGAAAAAATACATCAACTGTACAGCACATGTAAAGATTGGTGGACTTGGCCGGACACAGTGGCTCATGTCTGTAATCCCAGCACTTTGGGAGGCTGAGGTGGGTGGATCATTTGAGGTCAGGAGTTTGAGACCAGCCTGGCCAACACGGTGAAACCCCATCTCTACTAAAAATACAGAAATTAGCCAGGCATGGTGGCGCATGCCTGTAATCCCTGCTACTCGGGAGGCTGAGGCAGGAGAATTTCTTGAACCTGGGAGGCGGAGGTTGCAGTGAGCTAAGATTGCACCACTGCACTTCAGCCTAGGTGACAGAGAGAGACTCCATCTGAAAAAAAAAAAAAGAATTTGTAGACTTTACTGTATGTAAATTTTACCTCAATAATAAAAGAAAAGAAAATAGCAATGGACAAAAGGAAGAGAAAAGCTCCCCACATATACCTACAAACCCAAGAAGCTGGAGACCTCCTTACCTGCTCCTTGGGGAAGTTTAAAGAGAGGCACAAAAGCCAATGAGGTATAAGAACCTTGCTCCCAAATAAGCCACGGTCCTGATTTCTAACAAAGTGAGCCAGCCAGCGGGTGGCCAAGTTCAACTGCAAATACATAACTGAAAATCTGCTCACAGTAGAAGCCTTGAAGGCAGGAGGTAACACCACATTTAGAGTCCTCCAGCCTTCTCCCATAAAGCCACAGAGCATCCTCACAGCAACCCTGAAGCAGCAAATCATGTCTCCTATTCAGAGGGACATAAATAGAGGCCCAGGGAAGTTCAAGGACTTGCCCCAGGTCACACTGTCAGTGCTAGGACTCAAACCTGGGCTCCCAAGTCTGTGCCCTTCCTTCTACCTGCAGAAGAAAGCGTGCCCCTCCTAGGCCACCCTGCATTCGAAAGCAATGCGAATGCGCGGAACTGTCTATAAAAATGGCCAATTACTAGGGATAGTCATTTTACCCAAACTTGATTTGGGGAATAATTTTGTGGTGGGGGGCTAATGATCAGCCTTTTCTTCAGAACAATCTCTGTTCGCAGAGACAGTAGTCTTTGAGATGTGCCGGGGTGAGAGCTGTCTCTATCTCAGTCATTTGTCACCTACAGACTGGCACAGAACGCAATTCTGTGAGATTTGACGAAAGAGGACATGTCTTCCCTATGACAGATTTCAAAACAAAGTACGAAGAGGGCCTCAATAGCTACAAAGAGGGTCTGACAAAGAAGGGGGCATTCTCCTGAGGCTCTTCAGGCAGGCCAGGGGTGGGCCTGAGAAGTTGAGGGTGACATGGGAAATTAGAAAGACTGGTGGGCACCGTTAGTGCCTACCCTAAAGTCACTGCCTTCTCTTTATTGCTACAGACTCTGATATTTGTTCCAGCCTCAGAAGATGAATCATGATTGGGCTAAACAAACAAAGTAATCTCATTTGCTTTTCCCTGATTCTTACTTTTCCATTTTCCCTTGCCGTCAAGATACAGTTCCAGCCAGTGAAAAATAAAGACAAATCTGAGGGAGGGCTTCTTGCTTCCTGATAAAAGAGATAGACATTTAATGGAAGAAACTGTCCCTTTCTTCTCCTTCTTGCCTTGAATGTGGTTGAGTGAGGGCACGATGGCTGAAGCTGTGGCAGCCATCTTGCCATCAAAAGGTAACAAGCTTGTCCAGGCACTGTGGCTCATGCCTGTAATCCCAGCACTTTGGGAGGCCGAGGTGGGCGGATCACCTGAGCTCAGAAGTTCAAGACCAGCCTGACCAACATTGCAAAACCCCGTCTCTACTAAAAATACAAAAATTAGCTGGGTGTGGTGGTGTACATCTGCGGTCTCAGCTACTCAGGAGGCTGAGGCAGAAGAATCGCTTGAACCTGGGAGGTGGAGGTTGCAGTGAGCAGAGATCGCCCCATTGCACTCCAGCCTGGGTAACAAGAGCGAAACTCGATCTCAAAAAAAAAAAAAAGTAACAAACTGAAGAAAAGCAAACACAGTGAGGATGACTAAGCAGAGAGATGGAAAGAGCGTGGATCCTTTCAACATTTTTTATCTGCTCATCAACTCTGGATCAGACTTCTCAGATAATTCAGTGTCATCGTGGTTTAAGCCACTGTCCATGGGGTCTTCTGTTACCTGCATCCTATCCGACTCAAAGGGCAGAGGCAGACAGATACAGGCTGCAGGATTCAAGTCACATGAATGAGAGCAGGTTGAAGAAGCAGGGGCCGGCTGGTTGAAGACCTGGAGGGTGGCAAGAGACAGAGTTCTGCAGCTTCACCAGGTCAGGGAGAGTATTCTCATCATTTCCCAGGCTATCCAGCCTGCCAACAGAAGGCTGGACATGCTACACGGGCCCACTGCTCTGGTGGTATTCCAGATGTCTCTCATCGGCGATTACCTGAAGCTGCCATACAAAGAACTGTTGCCCTTTATAGCCACAGAGTTACATGGACCTGGGTTTTTAACATACTGTAACCTTGGACAGAGGAGAAAAGCTAATCTGTGAGGCAATGTGATCTCTTTTCAATTCAGTGCAATACAAAAAAAATAGCTAGATGCTTTGCAGCTGCATCCCATGCATTAATGAATAGGGCAGCCACTCTTTGTATTCTTTCCTGATGGTAAATTATCTTAAACTTTTTATATTATAATGACTTGTTCAAGTCAGGAAGTGCTGCAAAATCCACATGAATTAAAGATCAGACACAAGGCTTTAGACACCCTTCTCACTCGTAGCTGACTTGAATGGTGTTCACACGCCTCTGTCTCCAGGGGTGCTCTCAGGCAGAAGCTGGAGAAGCACCAATCCACAGCCACCTGTGAGCCAACTTATCAGCAAGGAGGTTCCACCCTCAGAGCATCAAACTGGGGCGGGTCAAAAAGGGTAGCTCAAGATCTTCAAGACCAGGGAGCCCAAATTCATGGCTAGAAAAAAGACACAATTCTAGGGACCAATTTAGGTTCAATAGGAAGCCTGAAGTCTGGGTACCAGGTCAGAGCTGAGCCCTGACGTCCAGAACCACATAGAACAAGAGCATAGCACAAGCAAGAAGAAGTAGAAGCATCCTGGAGGAAGATCTTTGCTAAAGAGTTTCTTCATGCCCACCTGAGCCTGCACCTGCAGCGGGAGGAAAGTGCTTCAGCTGGTTCGGGACAGGTGGCAGGATTGAGGCTGCAGCCAGGGTCCTCACAGTGGTTCATGTCTCCAGAGTAATCATCACAATGGCTTTCATTTGAGAGTTTGCCATGTACCAAGCACCATGCTCAATGGCTTTTCAAATCCTCACAAAGCCCCATGATTTAGCCCCTAGTATTATCCCCACTTGACAGATGAGGAAACTGGGGCCAAGAGAGGTTAAGTCCGTTTCCCAAGGCTTCACTGCCAGTAAGCGGTAGAGGCAGGTTTCAAAGCCCAAGTTCTAGGCTAGGTGTGGTGGCTCACATCCCAGCACTTTGGGATGCCAAGGTGGGCAGATCACTTGAGGTCAGGAGTTCAAGACCAGTCTGGCCAACCTGGTGAAACCCCCTCTCTACTAAACATATAAAAATTAGCCAGGTGTGGTGGCGTGCACTTGTGGTCCCAGCTACTCAGGAGGCTGAGGCAGGAGAATCGCTCAAACCTGGGAGACGGAGGTTGTAGCGAGCCCAGATCGTGCCACTGCACTCCAGCCTGGGCCACAGAGCGAGACTCCATCTCAACAACAACAACAAAAAGCCCAAGTTCTAAGTCATTTTGAATCCCAAGCCCACTCACGCTTCACCTCCCCTCTTCCTTCTCCCAGATCTCACCCTTCTCTCCTAATGTCCTGCCTGTCACTGTGTGGTTGGTGCTGTTACCTCCTGCTGCCATATGGTGACCTAATGATACCTGAGTGTGTTCCTTATCTCCCCAGGAGCCCTGTAAGCTCTTTAGGGACCATAAGCATTTAGGTTATGCTTTTGGCTGCAAGTATCAGAATGCCCAACTGAAAGTAGCTTATGTAATAAGGACACTTATAATCTCATACAAGAAGCCTGGAGGCAGGGGACATCCAGATTATGTTAATTCAGTGGCGCAACAAAATCAGGGCTTCGGGTCACCTTTTCTGGCATTCTCTGGGCTTACCCAACCCGGTCATAGAGGCCTGTGACAGTGACAAACATCTCATTCTCACGCAATAATATCCAAAAGACAGGAAGAGGCCTTTGTACGCCTTGCCTTAAAAGCCACTACAATTTTCCCATTGCTCTCTCGATGCACACATCTCCTGATGACTCATTGGCCAATTGTTAGACCGCTGAATACCTATCACATGCCCAGACCTAAGGCAACCACTAGCAAGAGGACTGGAAATATATGTAATCAGAGATAAGACAAATGGTATGGGCTTATTAATATATGGCCTTTGGAGCTGGAGAAGGGGTCATGAAACACAGTTACCTGATACCAGAACAAAATCTCTTTCAGTCTACAAGGAAGGAGGTTTGACTGTGAATTGACAGCTATAGGATCTGATTCAGGGGCCCTGTGCATCTGGGCCTGTGCTAGGTACTCAGTAAACACTTCTGGTAGGCCAGGTGTGGTGGCTCGCCCCCATAATCCCAGCACTTTGGAGGCTGAGGTGAGAGGATTGCTTGAGCTCAAGAGTTCAAGACCAGCTTGGGCAACATAGCAAAACCCTGTCTCTACAAAAATATGTATTTTTTAATTTAAAAAGCTAAAAAAACACTACTGATGGTATTGAATGGTACCAGTCACTCCCAAGGATGGTTTGAAATATCTTCCTGCACCCACCCAAGCAACAGCAATTTTGGTCATCTTACAGTATGTCAAGTTAAAAAAAAATTCCCTTTGATATAAGACAGGTATATTTGTCCATATATATATATGTCATATTAGGTGGGAACAGTGTCAATCTCTAATAATAATATCAATAATCCTATTATCCAATATTTCTTTTGGCTGCTAACTATGTGCTTAGCAGCCCTTGTGTTCAGCAGCGAAGCCCCTGATATAGGCATGATTACTAGGTGGGAAGGCAGTATTTGTCATCATGATTAAGAATGCAGGCTCTGCCAAGCATAGTGGCTCACACCTGTAATCCCAGTTGCTTGGGAGGTTAAGTCAGGAGGAAAACTTGAGGCAAGGAATTGTTATATTGCCTGGGCAATATAACAAGACCCTATATCTACAAAATTTTTTTTTATAAAAACTTAGCCAGGCATAGTGGCATGCACCTGTAGCCCCAGATACTTGGCAGGCTGAAGCAGGAGGATCCCTTGGGTCCAGGAGGTTGAGATTAGGTTACAGTGAGCTATGATCATGCCACTGCACTCCAGCCTGGGCGACAGTGAGATTCCCGTCTCCAAAAAAGTAATGTAGGCTCTGGAGTCATATCCCAGCTCTGTCACTTGCTGTGGTGTGATTTAGGTAGGTCCTTGACTTCTCTAAGCCTCAGTTTCCCTGTCTGTAAAATGGGGGTCATAATAGCACTCTGGCTTTGGTGTCTAGCTGACCTTAGGTTTAAATCCCAGATCTGGCACAAACTAGTCATGTAACCTTAGGAAAGTCTCTTCACCTCTTTGGACCTACCTTTGCTCAGGTAAAATGGGGAAAATAAAGCCAACCTTATTGGGATGCGGGGAGGGTTAAATAAGAATACATAGAAAGCACATAGCACAGAGTCATCATTCAAGGGAGTGCCCAGGAGAGTAAAGTGTCTAGAGATCATAATAGATAAAAACTGGTCAAAAAATCCAGGGATCTTGATATGACAGCAGCCTGCAGATGTCTGCGGGGGTGCCATCTGGAAGACACACTGGGTTTACTTGGTCTGACTCCAGTGGGCAGAACCAGAACCACAGGGTAGAAATCTCGGGGAAGGAGATTTAGTTTCAAATAAGAAAGATTCAGCCAAGCATGGGGGCTTATGCCTGTAATCCCAACACTTTTAGAGGGTAAGGCAGGAAGATCACTTGAGCCCAACATGGCGAACCCCGTCTCTACAAAAAATATATATAAAAATTAGCCGGGGACAGTGGCGCATGACTGTGGTCCCAGCTATCTGGGAGGCTAAGGTGAGAGGATCACCTGAACCAAGAGGTTGAGCCTGCAGTCAGCTGTGATTGTGCCACTGCACTCCAGCCTGGGCGACAAGAGTGAGACCCTGTCTCAAAAACAAAGAAAGATTCCAGCCGGGCGTGGGTGGCTCATGCCTGTAATCCCAGCACTTTAGGAGGCCGAGGCAGGTGGATTGCTTGAGGTCAGGAGTTCAAGACCAGCCTGGCCAATATGGTGAAACCCCATCTCTACTAAAAAATATAAAAATTAGCCAGGCCTGGTGGTATGTGCCTGTAATCCCAGCTACTCAGGAGGCTGAGGCAGGAGAATCGCTTGAACCTGGGAGGCAGAAGTTGCAGTGAGCCAAGATCATGCCATAGCACTCCAGCCTGGATGACAGAGCCAGACTCCATCAGGAAAGAAAGAAAGAAAGAGAGAGAGAGAGAGAGAGAGAGAGAGAGGTAGGGAGGGAGGGATTACCTTTTCTCCACTGTGAACAATGGCCTTGTAGGTAGTGACTCTGGCGACCTAGACCACATCAGGCAGAGGCCAGCTGAGCCCAGATCCCATTATCTCTGAAGGCTAAATGCATGCATCCAATCAAGGAGACCTAGCCCCAGCTCCCAAAATGTTAAGGAGCTGCTCTCATATATAGTAGTCTTCAAACTTTGACATACATTAAGAAATGCTTGAGAAACACATTCCAAAAACCGACTCCAGGCCCCCTTCCTAGAGATTCAAACTCGGCAGATCTGAGCTGGAGATCTGCATTTCCAACAGGATGATGCAGGTTCACGTGGTCCAAGGGCCAATCTTGATGACCTCTGCCCTCAACTCCCACCTGCTGCTGTTTCAGAAACTCAAATGTGGGGGTCGAGTCCACAGTTAGGAACACTGCACACAAAGAATTGCTTTGAACTAAGAAGACAGACCCAGGGGAATCGTCCCCACCCTTGGAGGTGCCCAAAACAGGTGCTAATGAATTCTGGTCCTAAATCAGGAGGTGCAGCACGCAGCACCTAAGAAGGAGAAAAGTTATTCAATGTGATCTCTAGAACAGGTGGGGATGAGACAGCGAGTCAGGATGCTCCTCTCTAACATGCACCCACAGAGCCAGCCCTTGGAGAGCATACTGGGGGAGATCGGGAACCAGTGGTTGGGAAGGGGGCAGGACCCAACCATATGGGGTGCCACTCGTCTTGAGGCCTCTGTGATGCCACCCCCTAGAGTTGTCCACTGCTGGGGGCCCTAAGGATGAGGCTACAAATACACAGATCAACCCCTTTTGCAAAGCATTCAAAGCCCCTTAGAGTTGGGCCCCAGCCCACCCTACAGCCACCTTTTCCCCTGAGTGGCCCCTCCTGGAGCTAATTTATTTGCAAGAAACTGGGAATTCTATGGGCAAACTGCTCTCCCAGAGTATTCCTGGCTCCTGCCACATGGTTCTTCCAAGCCTGAATTTGCGCAGCTCCCGCCCACTTCCAGACCTTCAGGCATGGGTGCCCTTCCCCAGCTCTACCTCTGTGGGCCTTGGTGAATCCCGCTCAGCATTCAAAACCCCATCAAATGCCTCCTCTTATGGGAAGCCTTTCCAGTGTCCTGGACACAAACACACACACACACACACACACACACACACACACACACAGGGCAATCTGGGTCCCCCAGCACTGTGCTGTATTCAAGAACAGAGCTTTATACATCACCATGTAGCCTCAGAGGGCAGGGACCTTTGTTTTGCACACTGGTCACTGGCATATCCCAACTGCCCAGGACAGTGCCCAGCACACGGGAGGTGCTGCATAAACACTTGTTGAATGTGGCCAGGTGCGGTGGCTTGCGCCGGTAATCCCAGCACTTTGGGAGGCCGAGGTGGGCGGATCACTTGAGGCCAGGAGTTTGAGACCAGCCTGGCCATCATGGCAAAACCCCATCTCTACTAAAAATACAAAAATTAGCTGGGTGTGGTGGTGCGCGCCTGTGGTCCCAGCTACTCAGGAGGCTGAGGCACGAGAATCACTTGAACCCGGGAGGTGGAGATTGCAGTGAGCTGAGATCGCACCACTGCACTCCAGCCTGGGCAACAGAGTGAGACTCTCTCAAAAAAAAAAAAAAAACACTGTTGAATGCATAAATTTTGCAGGACCGAGGCTTCTGGCCACTTCAACTAGGTGAACCAGCAACACGCCAGGCACCACCAATATTCTCAGCTGGAGGAAGAGACTCCTGGGAACCTCTCTTGGTTATGTAAAGGTGAGGCAAGTAGACACTCATTGCCCAGGACCTCCTATGGCCTGACAAAGATCACCACGCCCAATCTCCCTTGGTACACAGAAGTAATTCCAGAGGAGCAGGTGGGTAAATTTGCAAATTTCCAGGAGACCAAAAAGTTTCCTGGAAGAATGCCTTGCCCAATCCCAGCACCCTCGAAGATGGATGTGGTGACATCCACATTTCAGGACATAGCATCGTGGATCTAAGCCTCATCCCTGGCCTGGAAGTCCCAGGGAAGGGACATGGCTTGGGATCGAAGCTCACTACCTCTTAGGACTCAGCCCCTCGGGAGCAAAGTAAGCATGAACTAAAATAACTAGAACTTCAAGAACATGAGAATGGGGCAGGCTCACAGCCTAGCAGGCCAAGGCATCCCTGCAGCAGCAGATGAGGAGGCCCAGGAGTGCCCAGGGCTGGGTCCGACAGCTAAAAACCCTGAGCGAAGGGGCGGCTCTCTCCAAAGTCTTCTGACACAAAGCACCGTGGATTCTTAGGTTATTCAGGAATGGGGGAGGCCTCACTAGGGAGAAACCAGCTAGTGGATGTTTGCATGATTAATTGGAATAATAAGAGCCATGATTGCATTTTGGCAAGTTGATAATTTAGCACCCATTCAAACCATTGTTTGTAATTATTTACACAACACGTATTTAGCGAGGATGAGGAGAAACTGCTTTTCTCTTATAAAACTTGAATACCTTTCTTTAGGTTCAAAATAATGGATTTATTACATGCATTTATTATGGGCAATTTTCTAAACCAGACAGCTTCCTGGGAAGCACAGGCACCCTTTAAAATTTAGATGCTAAATAAATCACTTGCTCTGGTAAACAGCACTGTGCTGGCATGAATCCATTTCACCGGCTCAGCTGACTGGGGCTGTTAACGGGCGGGCGGTGGCCGGAGAGGCCTTCAGGGTGGGTGGTCTGGCTTGCGGTCTCCTATAACCAGCAGGTGCTCATCAGAAAAAAAAAAAAAAAAAAAAAACTCTACAGAAGTAGGTCAGCAGTGGTGAGGAGGAGTTTTGTTTTTTGTTTTATTTCCAGAAGAAGATACCACACTATCGTCTGTCTGAGCCAAACCAATAAACATAGGTCAGAGGTCAGCAAACTTCTACAAAGAGCCTGACAGTCAACGTTTTAGGCTCTGTGGGGCCAAGAGGCAAAATTCAGCAACTGTTCTAGGTGAAGGGCTACATCGTCTTTTTTTCCCCCACATTTTATATTTTGAAATGTGAAAACTATTCTTAGCTCTAGGACATATAAGACCAGGTGGTGAGCCGGATTTGGTCTGTGGGCCATAGTTTGCCAACTGCTCATTCCAATCAGGCAGTTATGGAAGGGGTATGGAAACCTGCATGCCCAGGCCCCAGGTGCATGACTCTTTAAAGAGAGGTTTTTGCTGGGCACGGGGGCTCACGCCTGTAATCCCAGCACTTTGGGAGGCCAAGGTAGGCAGATCACTTGAGGCCAGGAGCTTGAGACCGAGGCCAGTGGATCACATGACTTTAGGAGTTCGAGACCAGCCTGGCCAAAATGGTGAAACCCCATCTCTACTAAAAATGCAAAAATTAGCCAAGTGTGGTAGCATGCACCTGTAGTCCCAGCTACTCAGGAGGCTGTGGTGGGAGAATTACTTGAACCCCGGAGGCAGAGGTTGCAGTGAGCCGAGATCACGCCAACTGCACTCCAGCCTGGGTAACAGAGTGAAACCCTGTCTCAATAAATAAATAAAGGGAGGTTTTCATGCCTTTATTAGGATAATTTCATGGCTGATAACTCCTTAAAACAATTCTGAATAAAATACTATCTGGTGTTTGCAGAGCACTTTACAAGTTCTTCCCCAACTTAATATAAGCCACCACGGCCACTAAGCCAGAAACCCAGGAGTCATTCTGCTCCAGCCTGTGTTTCCACCAATCAGGGCATTCTGATGGCTCTACTCCAAAAGACCTCTTACAACCAACCACAGGACTCACTCAGATCCTTGCACACCCATGTTCACAGCAGCATTATTGCGGATGAACCTTGAGGACGTTATGTGAAGTGAAATAAGCCAGTTCCAAAAGAACAAATATTATGTGATTCTGCTTCTATAAGGCACCTAGAGTAGTCAAATTCATACAGAAGGAAAGTGGAACAGAGGTTGCCAGAGACGGAGGGGAAAGAGAATGGGAAGTTATTGCTGAATGGGTACAGAGTTTCCGTTTGGAGTGATGAAAAAGCTCTGGAAATGGACAGTGGTGATGGGGTTCAACACTGTGAATGTATTTAAACACCACAGAACTGTATATACTTAAAAGCAGTGAAAATGATAAAGTTTATGTTATGTATATTTTACAATTTTGAAAATTAAAAATAAAAAAATATTTTTAACCCAACTGTCAGCACCATCTGCCCTGCTACCACCCTAACCCAAGTGATCGTGATTTCTGTTCCCTTAACTGGACCCCTGGTGTCACCTCTAGTCCCTGACACTGGACTCTCCACAGAGCCACACAATTCAAGTCACTCCTTTCTTTTCTTTTCTTTCTTTTTTTTTCTTTTTTTTAGAAGGAGTCTGGTTTTATTACCCAGGATGGAGTGCAGTGGTGCAATTGCAATCTCGGCTCACTGCAACCTCCACCTCCCAGGTTCAAGTGATTCTCCTGCCTCAGCCTCCTGAGTAGCTGGAATTACAGGCACCTGCCACCATGCCTGGCTAGTTTTTGTATTTTTAGTAGAGATGGGGTTTCGTCATGATGGCCAGTCTGGTCTCAAACTCCTGACCTCAAGTGATCCGCTGGCCTCAGCCTCCCAAAGTGCTGGGATTACAGGCATGAGCCACCATGCTTGGCCTACGACTTTCTTACTTAAAACTCTCCAGTGGTGTTTACCCATGTTCTTCAGAGTCTGAGTGATAGGCCAGCCCCATCAGCATCTCCTGAGAGCATGCCTGAAACACAGAATCTCAGACCCCAGCCCAGACCCGTGCATCCTATGTCCTGAAAGTTCAACAAGCGCTAGTGTAGCTGAAGCCAAGGCTCACCCATACCCAACCTCCAGCCCTAGCTCTCCTGCCTGCCTTCATCTGAGGGCCAGAAAAGTTCATTCCTATACCTGACTCCCTTTTCCAGCCTCTCTTGAAGCTAAGAGCAGTTCTGATTAAGAAGAAGCCAGCAGACTATCTGGGATGTAGCCGTGATACCTGGAGCTGCTGCAGCCACTCACAACCAGAGGGGAAAGCCCAGGAATGACATACATCCCAGCCCCAACCTCCCCAAGCCACTGAGCCAGCACCAACAGCCACCCAGTTTCAGTCTCCTTTTCAAGTGAGAAAAATAAACTTCATTTGTTTGTGACACTGTCAGTTTAGTTTTCTGCAGCACGTGTATTTCTAAAATACACAACCCAGCTCCCATTCCCCTGAGAATAAAATCCAAACTTGGCTAGGCACAGTGGCTCACGCCTGTAATCCCAGCACCTTGGGAGGCTGGGGCAGGAGGATCGCTTGAGCCAGGAGTTCAAGACCAGCCTGGATAACATAGTGAGACTTCGTCTCTACAAAAAAAAAAAAAAAATTAAAAAATCTCGCAGGCATGGTGGTGCATGCCTGTAGTTCCAGCTACATGGGAGGCTGAAGTGGAAGGATCGCTTGAGTCTTCAAAGTTGAGGCTGCAGTGAGATGTGATCACACCACTGTACTCTCAAAAAAAAAAAAAAAAATCCAAACTCCCTGCCAGTGCCCACAAGACTCCGGCAGCCTGGCCCCTGCCTGACTCTGTACTCCCGTGCTTGCCCTCCCTCCACTTACTGTGCTCTAGCCACTGGTCAGACCCTCCTCCCATCCCTTCACCAGTAAGGTTCCTTACGTGGCTGGCTCCCTTATGTCAGTGGTCTTCAACTCTAAGCATCACCTCCTCACATCACCTCTGACTCCCAATCCATCTGACATAGACTGAGTCCCATCACCCTCTCTTTTTTTATTCAAAGCACTGAACATTATGAGAAAGAACATCGTATTTCTTTATGTACAATTGCATAAGTGTTGTATGTACAAATACATAAATTGTTGATTGCATGTCCCCCTACCCCCATGCTAGAGTTTAGGTCCTCTGAAAGCAGGGACCTTGCCTGTTCTGTTCATTGCTGTCTCACTGGGCTCTAGAAGAGTGACCAGCACAAAACAGGGACTCCATAAATCATCGTTGATTAAATAATAAATGAACCTACAAATACTTGTCACATGCCTCATTCAATTGATTCTAACTGCTCCCTGTGATGTAATCAGGATAAAAGTATTTAAAACTATTTTGCTGATGAGCAAAAGGAAGTTTGGAAAGGTAGCGTGGCTCACAGCTAACAAGTGTCATGCTCGTCCATGATGTAGCACGTGACCTGTGGAGGAGACACAGCAGGATGCAGTCCCAGACACCACCCTTTGCCTGCTGCAGTGACCTTGACAAGTCACCAGCCTTCATGGCAGTTTCCTCTCTGAAAACGACACCTTCCTCATAAGATTCTGGGAGAATTACAAGAGACCGTTCATAGATGTCCTTGGCACAATGCCTGGCACATGGTAAGTGATACATAAATAGTTGCTCCCCATATTAATTAATGTTCATTATTCATTGACATCTATAAAGATGACACCCTAATTATGACATTAGCTTAAATACTATACTCAATGATCATAAATGCCAAAACCAGGGCTAGTGCTTGGGTCTTCTGACCTCAGACCCAGCTCATCTGCCAAACGCCCCACTGTTCCCCAGCCACAGCCCCATCCTCCCCCTTCTCACCCAGTGGACCCCGCAGCGGGGTGAAAGGGGCCCCAGCAGTGGTTCTGTGCCTCCTTGCTGTGTGCCTGTGGGGCCCAGCCCTGCCCCCCTCCATTCCCCAGCACCTCCATGGCACTCTGTGGAACCTCCACTGGCAGGTCAGGACCCTGCACTGCTGGCTAGCTCCGGGGAGCCTGTTCATGGGCCCCTCCCTAAGGCCTGGGCAGCTTTCAAGAACATTTCTCTGGGTTGGGTCAGCTCCTCCCTCGGGCTCCTGGCACACATTCTGAGGAATAGCTGGAGACAAAAATCGAACAGTGCATGCAAGCCTACATCTGCATCTATGTCTGAACTGGGGCAGGTGGCAGACAGGTGGCTCTCTCTGAGCTCCTAGACCTACACTGGGCACAGCTGAGGCAGCTGGGGACTCAGATGTCCACCCCGAGTGGAGCCCAGCTGGACTCTGCTTGCTGCATGGCTGCTACTGGTCCACTCGCCACTGTGTCCCACCCCATCTTCCTCCAAGGACACTCACAGCCCTCAGCCTCCCTGTTGGTCCAGCCTTGGTAAGCCTTCTGAAGCTTTCTGCACAGGAGCTGTGTGGCCCAGATTCTCCATCACCTCCATCCCCTGCACTCCCCACACATCCCAGCCCCTCTGGGCAGAACAACAAATGCCAAGGCTGCCACTTCCCTCCCGGGGAACCCCTCTCTGCATCATAGGTTGGTGGAGAGCTTGCACTTTGAGGTAGGCAGGGCCTTGCCCACGTTGGCTGACTGTGGAACCTGGGGCAAACTGCTTAAATCCTCTAAGCCGCATCATATGCACCAGAATCTCCAGGGCCAGGAACAAAGAGAGCAGAGTTCCACCCAGAATAGCAACAACTACCACTTATTTATATGAACTATCATTATCTCCATTTTGCAGATGAGGGAACAAACAAGAGAGAAAGGTTAAGTAACTTGCCCAAAGTCACACAATTAAATAAGTGTCAGAACCAACTTTGAATCTAGGCAGCAAAGCTCTTGCGAGTCGCACATCCTCCCCTCTGGCTCCATGAGAACTCACTGGGGTGAGCACAGTGTGATCCAACTAATTGCCTCCCACATCCCAGCAGGGACCAGAAACTGAGAGCCCGCAGGAGAGGAGGCAGAGCCCCTGGGCACCGGCTCAGTCCCAAGGCCTCCTGGTCCTGGGGTTCTTTGATCAGCCCTGCCAGATGTAGCATCTGCTGCTCCAAAGGTCAGGCAGGCCCCGCTTATGAGGTCCCGCCGATGGACGTGGGAGCCACTAATAAGGGCATCATGACAGATGAAGGCCAGCGTGCCAGCTTCTCAGGAGATGATGCTCACACCAGCAGCACAGTGAAGGCCTGTGGAGGGACAGCGGGCCCCTGCTGGGACTAGGTGTTCTGGGTGGTTCCTGTCTCCACCCCTCCCACTCCTTAGAAAGTTCTGTCCTGGCCCCTTCCTTCCTTTCCCCTCTGTCCTTTCTCCCTGTCTGACCACTGACCTTGGAGACCAATGACCCTGACTCTAGCTGCATGATTCCTTTCTCCCTCTAAAGCCCAGGAGAACTAAAGAAGCAGATTTGCATTCCCCTCCTGTCTCCTTCCTTTGCCCATTTGGCAGATGAAGTTACTGAGACCCAAACATCATAGAACCACAGGCTCCCACAGAATGCCACTGTTAGGGGGAAATCTAGAACCACGATGTTGTCCAGGGGTTCACAACAGGCAGCAGCACTGTCCCCTAGAAGCAGGTAGCAAAGACCAGGGCTGTTGTGGTGGTAACGGAGCCTAGGTATGCTACTGACATTTAACACACACGGCCTGGGAGTGCTAAATGTCCGACATGGCAGAGGACAGTTCTGCACAGTGAAGAATTGTGCCACCCAACACAGAAGGCACTGCCAACAGTGCCTTCTCCCCAATTATAGGTGAAGAACTGAAATCCAATGACGAAAAGTGATCCGGTCAAAGTTACGGTGGCAGAAACTTCCAGTTGCCTTCCAAATTCCCTTTTTCTTGTCTTCCTTAGAAAAAGAACCCCGCAACCAGCCCAGTGCTACCCAGCTCAGAGGTTCCATTTCCCAACTTCCCTGGCAGCTCCATGTGAGTGGTATGCAAGGTCCAGTCCATGAGATTAAGGAGGTTTATTCTGCAGGACTGCCAAGAAGCCTCCTTAAATGTGAAGGTATGCCTTTCTCCAGCCTTTCTCCTCCCACACCTAAAATGCAGGTGCAGCTTGAGTAGCGTCTTGGGCCATAAGGCCCTGCACTAAGGATGAAGGAGCAGCAAGGTGGCTGGTGTCAGCACAAAGTTTATCTCCACCCCAAGAGATAAACCCAGCTACAAAGCTGCTTAAGCTCAGCTACAAAGCTGCTTTGTGGACTTTCTCTACCAGGGCTATGACCAGTGTTCTACTTACTTAAGGGCAAAAACACCTCATTATCATCAAAGAACCCATAGGATGAGTCACTTAAGGAATGCTCTGCCACATGCTTTTTCTTCTCTCCTGAGACTTCTTTTAAAAGTATGATAAGTCTTCTCACTCTATCTTCTATGTCTCTTACATTTGCATCTATATTTTTCATCTTTAATCTCTCTGTGCTGCATTCCAGATAGTTTCTTAAGACCTAACTTCTAGTTCACTAATTCTCTTTTCAGCTGTATCTAAACTGCTGTTAACCCCATTCTTTGAGATTCTAATTTTTTTTTCAGAGCTACAGTTGATCACAGCCTGGTCACAGCCTGGGTAGCACTGAGCTGGAGGTAGAGTTATTTTTCTAAGAATAAAAGAAACAATGGACAACAGAAATAGGTCCCAAAGTACATAAAATATGGGTATTATCAGGTAGAAACTAAAACCAACTAGGCTTAATGTATTTAAAGAAATAAAAGTCTTCTCACACATGTCTGGGTTTTTTTTAAGTCTAAGTTTTAAAATTTTGGCAGGGAATAAGTAACTATAAAAAGTGACATAGCAAGTCTGAAAAAGAACCAAATAGAAATTCTAGCTCTGAAAAAAAAAAAGTTAGGATCTCAAAGAATAGGGTTAACAGCAGTTTATATACAGCTGAAAAGAGAATTAGTGAACTAGAAATTAGGTCTTAAGAAATTATCTAGAATGCAGCACAGAGAGATTAAGAATGAAAAATATAGATGCAATTATAAGAGACCTAGAAGACAGAGTTAGAAGACTTAGCACACTTTTAAGAGAAGTCTCAGGAGAGAAGAAAAAACATGCAGCAGAGCATTCCTTACTCTATCCTATGGGTTCCTTGATGATAGTGAGGTGTTTTTTTCCTTAAGTAAGTAGAACACTGGTCACAGCCCTGGTAGAGAAAGCCTAAACTTTTCCTTCTTTGTCAAATCCCTCTCCTAATTTTCAACCTGCAAAAGTCTGGGCAGAGGAAGACCTCATTAGCCTCTGGCTGAAGCCTGAGATGGCAGAGTTTTGTAAGACACAGGAAGGGGCATGGGGGTTGGTACTCTGTTACCTTGGGCAGTAGAGAGGAGTATATGCAAGGACCGGGATAGGAAACCAGATGGGAAAGGTGCAAAGAGGTACCTATGGGAGGGGTCTGAGGAAGCCTGGGAGAACAGAATTCAGATCTAAGAGAGATCCTAAGAGCCTCTGAAGGTTTCAAGTGCACTTAACTGTTTCTCCCCAGAGTGTCTGATTTCCTGTGGCCCAGTCACCCTGACCCTCAGTTGGAATCCCACCACCCTTCCAGGTGGTTCCAGTGGAATGAAACTAAAGCAGCTCTAGACTGCATCTCCCTCACTCATGGCCTCATCTGGTCCACAGAGAACATGCACACCTCCTTTGCTTCACCATCCATAGAAGAGGAGCTGGCTCCCAACACAGGTTTTTTTTCACTTGCTGTCTTTGCTACACCTTTTCAGGCTGAAAGCCAAAGCCCTTCCCATTAGACTCCTTGGGTTCATGTCATGATCCTTGAGCCTCCCAAACTCCAAGAGACACACCCTAGGCTCCTCCAAGGGGTTTCCTTGTAGCCCATCTTATCAGGCTTGAGGGGAGGGGTAACCTCCCTCCCTCACAGGTTGGCACTAAGGGGTTGGGACTCACAGCATAGCCTTCTACAAAGAAATTCTCTCAAATTTCTCCCAAATCTCCAGATCCTGACCCCGTTTTGCCATCTCCCCAGTTCTCAACCACAGTGTGCTGCCCACAGCTCCTTCTGCATGTGGCACCTTTGTCTTCGTGCCTCAGTCAATACTGGAAGAGAAAGAGTCCTGACTTAATATCTCATTCTATGTGTCACTGCAAGTAAATAGAGAAAAAAATCAAGAAAGAGATGGATACTGCACAGTGCTAACAATAATAATCACCAGAAGTTGAGATTATTGGTGAGTTTTATTTTACTTTATGTAGTTTTCAGATTTTCTAAAATGCATTTTATAAGCAGAAAAATTAAATTTTATCTTTAAAAAAGATGTAGGCTGAGCATAGCACTTTGGGATGCCAAGGCAGGAGGATCGCTTGAGGCCAGGAGTTTAAGACCAGCCTGGACAACACAATGAGACCCCCGTCTCCACAAAAGTAAATAAATAAATTATCTGGGCATGATGGTGTGTGCCTGTAGTCCCAGCTATTTGGGAGGCTGAGGTAGGGGGATCACTTGAGCCCAGGAGTTCAAGGTTGCAGTGAGCTACATCACACCACTGCACTCCAGCCTGGGCAACAGAATAAGATCCTGTCTCAAAAAAAAAAAAAATGTGGTTGCCGAAGCAAACATTATTGGTTACCCACCCAACAGCCATTTCCTGACTCCATCCTCACTAAATAGCCCTTGCAAGAATTTTTTTCATGTATTAGGTTGTCAGAACTTCAGAGAAGGCTGGACTCTCCTTGTCCCAGGACTGATACTTGGTCACTCATGGTAACGTCTTTCCCCTTGCCAGCAACTGGCTTAGGAAGGAGCATGTGACTTGATTCTGTCCGATGAGACATGACAGGAAGTCAGCTGGGGAGACTTCTAGGAAATGCTTTCTTGCTCTTAAAAAAAGACACAGAGGATAGGTAAACTGTGGCCAATCAATGCAATCTTGTTATTCAACAAGAAAAAAAAAACGAGCTACCAAGTCATGAAAAGACATAGAGGAAGCTTAAATGTGTATTACTAAGTAAAATAAGCCAGTCTGAAAAGGCTATGTACTATATGACATTCTGGAAAAGGAAAAATGGTGAAGACAGTAAAAAGATCAGTGTTGTCAGGGGTTAGTGGAGAGAGAGGGGTGAATAGGTGGAGCACAGAGGATTTTTAAGACAATGAAACTATTCTGTATGATACTATAATGGTGGATGCGTGTCATTAGACATTTATCCAAACCCATAGAATGTACAACACCAAGAGCAAACCGTAATGAAAACCATGGACTTTGGGAGATGATGGTGTGCCCATGTAAGCTCATCAGTTGTAACACACGTACCACTCTGGTGAGCGGTATGGATAATGGGGGAGGCTGTGCATGTTGGGAGGGCAGCGGGTATATGGGGAATCTCTCTACCTTCCTCTCAATGTTGCTGTGAACCGAAAACTGCTCTAAAAAAATTAAGCCTATTAAAAATAAAAAGTTAAAAAGGGACATGAGAAAAGAAACAGTTCTCTTCTGCCCATTAACAAGGTCCTGTGAGATGGGATGCAGCATCCAGGGACGCACTGAGTATGGAAAGAACACCTGGATTGCTGGCAGGGGGCGCTGAGAGCAGGGCGCTGGGAGTGGGCCCTCCCAGGTGCAGGCAATATGGGAGTGTGCTGGTAGACAATTGGAAACATCAGTAAAACAAACCAAGGGGCCATCTACATGCTATTCTCACCAAGCAATTCCTTTAAGGTATATCAGTGATAAAATACCCTTCCCTAAAAAATCCTTCATTGGTCTAAGTTCTAAACAAGTGACGTGGTTATACTGCTGGGCTTTCATACAAGTTAACTTCCAATTAGCACACTTTCGTGATTTATTCTTTCATAAGCATCATATTCTACATGACAGTTAATTTAGAAAGCTCTCGGTTATTCGGGCAGCCTTAGACACACGCTGACTTAGCTATGCTTGTGATATATTTTTAATTAGTAAACTTCATTTTTAGAGCAGTTTTAGATTTATAGAAAAATTGAGTGCGGGTAGTTTCCCTTAATATTAACATCTTACACTACAGTGGTACATTTGTTACAATTGGTGAACCAATACTGATACACTGTTGTTAATGAAAATCCATAGTTTACATTAGAGTTCACTAATGACCAGCAAAAGCTTTGTACATTCTATGGGTTTTGACCATGTAATGATATTACTCGTCATTATAGTATCACACAGAATAGTTTCACTGTCTTAAAAATCGTCTGCCATCCACCTATTCATCCCTCCCTCCCCCAGCTCCTGGCAACCACTGATCTTTTTGCTGTCTCCATAGCTTTGCCTTTTCCAGAATGTCATGCACTGTAGTTGGAACCACACAGCATACGGCCTTTTCAGATGGGCTTTTCCCCTTAGTACCATGCATCTGAGGTTCGTCAGTATCTTTTCATAGTTTGACAGTGTATCTTATCTCTTTTGCTCACTGAATAACACTCCATTGCATGGATGTACCACAATTTACCATTTACTTATTGAAGGGCACCTTGCTTGTTTCCCACCTGTGTATTTGTAGGGTAAGTTCCTAACAGTTGAGAATCATTCAAGCTGGGCCGGGCATGGTGGCTCACGCCTGTAATCTGAGCACTATGGGAGGCTGAGGTGAGTGGATCACCTGAAGTCAAGAGTTCGAGACCAGCCTGGCCAACATGGTGAAACCCCATCTCTACTAAAAATACCAAAAAAATTAGCCAGGCATGGTCTACAGACTACAGACTACACCTGTAGTCCCAGCTACTCAGGGAGGGTGAGGCAGGAGAATCGCTTGAACCTGGGAGGCGGAGGTTGCATTGAGCGGAGATCGCACCACTGCACTCCAGCCTAGGTGACGGAGGGAGACTCCATCTCAAAAAAAAAAAAAAGAATCATTCCAGCTGGCTTCAAGTGCAGTTTGTGTCCCCAAATCATACAGTACTACACATTCCTGCATTTAAAGGGTATTTTATTTATTTAGTTCATTTTTTATTATTTTTATTTTATTTTATTCAAAATAAAAAATTATAGTCTATTGAGTATGAAAAAAAACAGAATTTGAGTTTCTTCAATTCTGTCATTCTATGGCACCACTCTATGGAGGTTTGTTTTGTGTTTAAAATGGATAACCATGATGTTAAGTATGAATGCTTTTGTCTGGTAAATACAACATTTGTTTATACACAAAACATTTTACTGAATTTGAACAGTATGTTTAAAGTTGACATTTTCTTTGTGTTTATTTGTTTCAAAATGAAAGAACAAGTTGTTTAAAAATAATTATTACTGATTATTACATGGTTATTAGTGAAAATAATTTTTGTCATACTGATAATTCTAAAATAGCCTCCAGGATTCCTACCCTGACTATGCATGGCCTGTATGATCTCTTCTTCCTTAGTCTGGGTGGGACCAGCAAATATGGAATGTTATAATCAGTTGACTTTAAGTTAATAGAAAGTGAGATGATCCTGGGTAGGCCTGACCTAATCAGGTGAGCCTTTTTAAAGATGGTGACACCTCAGAGAGAGCTCTCCAGCTGGCTTTGAAGACACAGTCTTCAAGAAGAAGATGCAGGCCTTGGTGCAGTGGCTCACGCCTGTGATCCCAGCACTGTGGGAGGCCAAGGTGGGAGGATCACTTGAGCCCAGGAGTTCGAGAACAGCCTGGGCAACATAGCAAGACCTCATCTCTTAAAAAAAAAAAAAAGAAGAAGAAGAAGAAGAGGAAGAAGAAATAAAGAAAAAGAGAGAGGAAGGAAGGAAAGAAGGAAGGAAGGAAGGAAAGGAAGAGAGGAAGGAAGGATCTTAAAGAGGTTGGGCTGGGCGTGGTGGCTCACACCTATAATCCCAGCACTTTGGGAGGCCAAGGCAGGAGGATTGCTTGAGCTCAGGATTTCGAGACTTCATCTTTATATGAAATAAAAGAAAGGGAAGGAAGGATGGGAGGAAGAAAGGGAAGAAGGAAGAGAGGAAGAAAGGGGAAGAAGGAAGGGAGGGAGGGAGGAAGGGAGGCAAGAAGCAGTTCTACATCTGCAAGGAAATTAATTCTGCCAAAACCTAGGAAGTTTGGAAGAAGCTCCCAAGTCTCAGATGACCCTACCCTGGCTGACATGTTGGGTTTTGTTTCGTTTGAGATGGAATCTCACTCTGTTACCCAGGTTGGAGTGCAGTGGTGCGATTTCATCTCACTGCAACCTCTGCCTCCTGGGTTTAAGCAATTCTCCTGCCTGTCTCCCAAGTAGCTGGGACTAAAGGTGCATGCCACCACACCTGGCTAACTTTTGTATTTTTAGTACAGATGAGGTTTCACCATGTTGGCCAGGCTGGTCTCAAACTCCTGACCTCAAGTGATCCACCCACCTTGGCCTTCCAAACTGTTGGGATTACAGGCGTGAGCCACCGTGCCTGGACCTGGCTGACACTTTGACTGCAGCTTTGTGAGACCCTGAGCAAAGGACCCAGGTAACCCAGGCCTGGACTCCCAACCCACAGAGACTGTGCGCTAATAAATGTGCGTTGCTTTAAATGCTAAAGTAACACACATTTGTAATTTGTTTCAGCAGCAATAAAAAACAAATGTATGTGAGCGCAACACGTCAGCTGGCAAGAGGTAGCGCTGCAAGAGGATGAACACACCACAGTCCTCGCACTATGTAGGAATCTTTATTACTGCTTTGCAGATGACAAAACAGAGAATTTAAGCATCTTAGCCAAGGTCACACAGGTGATAAGTGACTGAGCCAGGCCACAAGCCAGGCCTGTGTGACTCCAGGTGCTCCAGTGAATTAGTTCCATGGATAATCCTGCAGGTGACTAGTGGACTAAACGTCCTCCCTGCTGTCATGGCCAGGTCCTTATGATGACCTGTGGTGATTTCTGGTGACAATAGGAGCCCATGGCTGAGAGGGGCATAGTGGAGGAGGCAGTTCCCACCCACAGACTCACGGACTTGCTCCACCTCAATTCCACCTGGCCATCTGGGTGAGCAGTGTAGACATGGGTCCCCAGCTGCTGCCTCTCCCAGCCTCCTGTTTATTTCCTTTACCGCATGTTTGCCATTACTCCATTCATACATCTTGTCTTTGCCCAGCTTCCCTTTAGAATGTCAGCCCTGTGAAAGGCCACATCTGCCGTGCACTCCCAGGGCTACCACAGTGCCTGGCATACAGTTGGCACTGTATGAAATTAGCTGGACAGACTATGGAGTGCAGCAATGACTTCTTTGCCTCCCTGGATTGCAAGGGAGGCGGGGGCCGAGATCTGAGATCTCAGGCCCAGGAAACCCCATCCCTTCCCTTCCTTGAACATGGCCCCATCTCCTGGGCTCTAGAGAGCTGAGACTGGTCTTTTCGGAGGAGCTCTAGGATGCAGCCCCCACCCTTGCCAGCTCTGCTCCAAATCACCAAGTCACCCACTGGGCTAAGGGGCTTCCAGGACAAGAGGACCCCCTGCCAGGCAGCCACCTCACCTGGAGCCTCCCTGGTTCCCAGACACAGCACCTGCTCCCTCTGCTGGCGGAAGCAGACAAGTGCATGCAGATCCCTCCTTGCCGGAGACATGGGAGACACTGGGAAGGCAGGAGGGGAGGGCTCCGGGGAGCTCCCAGCCTGGACCCCCTGAGCCTAGGAAGAGTCAGGGCGGGGAGGTTAGGGAAAGTCCGTAGCCTGGCCGAGTCTGGCCCTCAAGCGTGGGGGCCTGGCCTCAGCCCTACCTACAGGGCTGGCAAAGCAGCACCATCACTTGGATTCCCTGTCTTTGCTGAACACAACCCGGATGGGAGTCCTCAGACCAGGAAGGGGGGACATTGCTTCCACCATGAGAACACACTACTCCCAGGGAGGGCAGCCTTCTCTCGGCCCAGCCTCAGGGCTACCTGGCCCCATCCCATGATAATAACAGCCAGTGCTGCATACCTGCTGCGTACACACCTCATCTAATCCTTGTAGTTGTCCTGCCCCATGGACATGATTGCTCCTACCATACAGATGAGAAAACTGAGGCACGAAGCAAAGTCAGAACCCAAACCCAGGTCAGTGTGGCTCTGAAAGTCCCTACCTTTCTCATGCCCTGTGCCTCATACATTACTTTTAATCCTACAACCAAGGAGGTCTCCTTACCGTAGCCAGTCCTGTGTGGCTTCAAAGCCAAGGCTGGATTGGGTGTGGCTGAAACTGGGTTGTATCTGGGGTGGGGAATGGCCTGGTGTGGTGGGAAAGGCCAGGCTCTGGGACCAGACAGCACTGTGGACACCCCCTGGCTGGTGGCCTTGGGCAAGATGCTTCATCCCTTTGAATCACTATATTCTCACCCATAGAAGAAACTTCATTCCTAACTTAGAAAGCTTTTGTGGGAATTAGAGATAATGTGTGTCCAGTTCCCACCACAGAGCATCTGGGCATAGAATAGCTGTTAATGTTTGTGGTGGCTTTAAAAGAGGTCCACAAATTCTGATACTCCTCCCTTCCCTTGGGTGTGAGGTGGAGGTAGTGACTTGTCTCCAATGAACACAGTAAGCAGAATTCATGGCGGGCAATTTCAGAGACCAAGTAATGAGAGGCACTGTGCTTCCCCCCGCCTGGCTTCCTTAGGTCACTTGCCCTGGGGAAGCCAGCTCCCATGTCGTGAGGACACTCAAGCTCCCCATATGGCCTCCAGCCAACAGTCACACAAGTGGACTTGGGGTCAGATCCTCCAGCCCCTCCCAAGTCTCCTGGTGGCTGCAGCCCTGGCCAATTTTTTTTTTTTTTTTTTTTTTTTTTTTTTTTTTTTTTTTTTTGCAGAGGCAGGGGAGACAGTCTCACTCTGTCACCCAGGCTGAAGTGCAGTGGTGTAATCATGGCTCACTGCAGCCTCGAACTCCCGGGCTCAAGTGATCCTCTTGCCTCAGCCTCCTGAGTAGCTAGGATCCCACACATGCCATCATGCCCAGCTAATTTTTTTGTTAATTTTTTATAAGGACAGAGTTTCCCTGTTTACCCAGGCTGGTCTCAAACTCCTGGGTTCAGGAGACCCTCCCAGCTCAGCCTCCCAAAGTGCTGGGATGACAGGTGTAAGCCACTGTGTCTGGCCCCTAGACAATATCTTGATGGCAATCTCGTGAGAGAGACCCTGAGTCAGAACCACCCAGCTCAGATGCTCCTGAATTCCTGAGCCACTGAATTATTTATTATAATTATTTGTTGCATTGTGAGATAATAAATGTTGATCATTTTAAGTACACTTTATAATCAGCATCCTTGGGCCAGCAGTTGCTTTGAGGCTGAACTGCCCCATCTCCTCCACAGCTGTGGTCACACAGAATCTGCTCTAACAAGGGTCCAGGCCCTATGGACCTGGCCGGGAAAGAAGTAAGAACTCACATTTACTGAGCACTTGCCATCTGCCAGGAATCGAGCTAAGCACTTTACATTTATCTTTCTAGCAAAACTTCCCAAAAATGACAAGGTAAACACTATTATCATGCCCATTGTACAGATAGAGAAACTGAGGTGCCAGAGGTTGAGGGACTCACCCAAGATTACACAGGGGAGAAGCAGACCTGGGATTTGAATCAAATGCCACTACTCCAGCACCTGGGTGCTTAACCAGCGTACTGCATGGCCCTCCAAGGTGCACAGTGGCTCAAGGGCCCTGTTACCCCTCCTGTACCCCAGCAGCACCCCCACCACCACCACCCACTTGCTGTCCTGGGTGACTAAGACAGGTGCAGGGACAAATCCCGTCCAGCCCACTGTCCCTTAGCCAAGGTGGTGCCTCTGCCCACACACCCTCTGCCCCTCTCCCTGCCGACAGGTCAGTCCATGCCTCACCTACCCAGGGCCAGGCATTGAGCACCTTTAAAGTGTAGGGGCCCTTCGTGTCATCTAGTCCAATCCCCCAACCCCCCATTTTTTCAGATGTAGAAACAGCAGCCCAAAGAGGTGCAGTGACTTATCTAAGGACACAGAGGGGGCCGGACGCGGTGGCTCACACCTGTAATCCCAGCACTTTAGGAGGCCGAGGCGGGTGGATCATTTGAAATCAGGAGTTCAAGACCAGCCTAGCCAACATGGTGAAACCCCATCTCTACAAAAAATACAAAAATTAGTCTGGCGTGGTGGTGGGTGCCTGGAATCCCAGCTACTCAGGAAGTTGAGGCAGGACAATCACTTGAACCCAGGAGGCAGAGGTTGCAGTGAACTGAGATCATGCCACAGCACTCCAGCCTGGGCAACAGAGTGAGATTCCATCTAAAAAATAAAATAAATAAAGGCACAGAGGGAGCTGAGGGAGCCCTTTAGCCAGAACCCAGGTCTCCCGTCTCGTCTCAATCCAGCCTGCCCCCCCTGCCCTTCCCAGCGCAGTGACCGCCCCGGTAGCCACTGTGGGCTCCACCCTCCCTACCCAGACACTTGGGATTGGAACCTGGGCCAAACTTCCCAGCAATCTCCACTGGCCCAGCCCCTGAGGGAGCCTGGAGGAAGGGGCTTATCTCCAACTGTGTTGTGGTGTTGTCTCACCCCACCCCCACCCCACCCTGCCAGGCAGCCTTGATTAATGGGCTGGTGCTATCTTATCTCCCAGCTGCATTGGTTAGAAATTAACGGGGGTGGCAGGGCTTAGGAAGAACACATTCTGCCCCCTAGATCAACCCGAGAACTCTGCAGGAGGGTGGGAGCAGGAGGAGAGCTCCAAGCGGACTGTTCACTCGCTGCCGTCCTGCTCTCCCATCTGAACCGGCTGAGCCACTGCAAAATAGGTAAAGCACCCAGGACGGTGCCCGGGACTTAACAGGGGCTCAGTGCATGGTAGCGTTGTTTCTGTTGCTGTTGTTAGTTCCGGGAGTCCTAGGCCAGCACCTGCTGCCCCACAAGATTCCTGAACAGCCCGTGCAGCAATGAGGAAGTCACCACCCCACTCCAGCCTCAGGCTCCATCTGGAACGTAGGCACGGGCTTGGGGCTTAGAAACGGGACTGTAGATCTTACTTTTTTTTTTTTTTTCATTGAGGCAGAGTCTCACTCTGCCACCCAGGCTGGAGTGCTGTGGTGCAACCTTGGCTCACTGCCACCTCCACCTCCCCGGTTTAAGTGATTCTCCTGCCTCAGCCTCCTGATTAGCTGGGACTACAGGCGTGCGCCACCACGCCCGGCTAATTTTTGTGTTTTTAGTAGAGACGGGGTTTCGCCATGTTGGCCAGGCTGGTCTTGAACTCCTGACTTCAAGTGATCCACCCGCCTTGGCCTCCCAAAGTGCTGGGACTACAGGCATGAGCCACTGTGCCTGGCCTGATTTTTTTAATGTGATTTTACTGAGTAGCCTAAGTGTGGGCTTAGAGGTCTATCCAGCTGGTCTATCCAGGCTTCAGCAAATCCTTCACACTTGGAGCCTCAGCTTCTCCATGTGTAAAAGGGACAAACTAACCTCACACTGTCCTCCACACAGGACTGTTAGGATGCGATAACTTCTGGAAAGCCCTTTAGGGACTATTCCACGTCACACGGGACCGTGGGCTTTGGGATCCCAGAAGGAGTCAGACACCAAACTCTCACCAAGCGGTTGACGCTGACGTGGGTTTCTACACACAGGACCAACCCCAAAATCCAGCTCAGCTCTGGGAGAGAAAGGATGCTAAGTCACAGGCCCTCTCAAGGCTGGGGCTGAAGGAGGAGGAACAAATGTCCCTCTCTGCCCAGGACAAATGTCCCTCTTTGCCCAGGACAGTCCCAGGCTACTCCCCTTGCCTGGGTGTGGTAACTCCTATTGTCAAGAGAACCCTTTCCACTCTCCAAAGCGTCCCCATTTGGACAAAAACTGACATGGTCCCTATGTTGAAGGAACAAGTTTTCTCCTTCCAGGGACAATGAGGCTCCATCTAACCTGAGTGAGTGGCCTGCATGTCTGAAGCCAGGCAATTAACTCTGCCAGGGCTACGTGGGGGCCCAGACTCAGAACCCCATGGCTGGGCTTGGCCCCCACGGGAAGAGCCCACAGGACTCCCACCCACCTCTTCCCTGGCTTTCTCAAGAAGCCTGTGCTTGCTGCATGAGGGAAAGGAAGATAAAAAAAAAATGTGTGTTGGGGGAGAGGGGCAAAAAGGATGGAGGGAACAAGGTGGGGGATGAACTTTCAGACAGATGAGCAGAATAAGGGAAGAATGGGCTGGGCATGGTGGCTCACGCCTGTAATCCCAGCACTTTAGGACATGGAGGTGGGGGTATCCCTTGAGCCCAAGAGTTCAAGACCAGCCCGAGCAACGTGATGAAACCCTGTCTCTACAAAAACTAAAAAAAATTAGCCAGGCGTAGCCGTGCACACCTGTAGTCCCAGCTACTCAGGAGGCTGAGGTGGGAGGATCACTTGAGCCCAGGACATAGAGGCTGCAGCGAGCCATGATTGCACCACTGCACTCCAGCCTGGGTGAATTAAATGAGGGGAGGGGACAAATGGATGAAAGGGGAGAATGAGTGAGTGGAAGAAAGAAAGGAGGGAAGGATGTCAAAAGGGAGGGATGAAGAGATGGACAGATGGACAAAGGGGGCATGAAGAGAGATACGTGAGAGTCTTGCCGGCCCCAGCTCCCATCCCTTTCGCAAGGCACAATAAAGCCTGGCAGAGGACTTAATTTCCAGAAGGACAGACAGATTGAGTCTTTGGGACCCCAAGAAGCCAGTCTTCCCTCCCTCATTCCAAAGACATTCCAAGAACGGCCCTTCCCCTTCGCTCTCTTTTGCCCCTTCCCAAAGGGCAAAGGGCAGCACAGCCAAGGAAAACTCTCTGCTGTCAGCCTCGGTTATCCCAGCCCTGTTTACTTTGGGTGGGCAATTAACCAAGTCTCCTTCCCAGATCAATGAATAGTGGGGGGCCTACAGCAGGCACCAGGAGCCCCGAACGGCCAGGTTACTCATTGATTAAACAATAGGGAATTGATGGAGGCTACTCCCTCGTCCTGCTCCAAGGTGTCCCATCGGCCACCCCTTCCTGACCCAAAGAGGCCCCCGTGTCCCAGGCAGTCCAAGCTCAGAAAGGCCAGCATGAGATGGAGTAGACAGCCCTGCCTCGAGGTGTGCAATGTGTGTGTATGTAGCTAGGGTCCTTGATTGGCCTTTACTGGGCAGCCCCAGAATCAGGCTGAATAGACTATGTAGCCTAGCAGTGAAGGTCATGGACTCGTGAAGGGACCACAGGTTCCTAGAGCCGTCTCTTTCCAATAACCAGCTATGTGACCCGGACGGAGCAAGCTATTATACTTCATCACTCAGTCCCGCTGTGTCACACAGGGATGATGGTAGGACAGACCTACACCAAAGGGCTGCTGTGAGGACACAGTGAGTTGACATCCGCAACACACACAGCCCAGTGCCCAGCCTCATGAGGCCCCAGAACATGCCAGATGCATGTCGGTCAGTGGCCAAGCTTTGGGCTCCTTTGGGGAACCTGGGATGCCCATCTCAGTCTTTTCATTCTCCGGCTCCTTCTCCTCTCCCATGGGGTTCTCTCTCAGGTGCCAGCAGGTATGTGGGGGCCCTGCTCCCTCACTTGCCCAGAAGGATACCAAAGGTTCCTGGTTGTCCAATACAGTAGGCAGCAGCTGCTTGTGATTATTTAAATTTAAATGAATTAAAATTAACTAAAATGAATATTATTCCATCATCAAAAAGGAATGTGGTAATGACACATGCCACAACACGGATGAGGCTCGGAAACATAAGTGAAAGAAGCCAGGTACAGAAAGTCCCGTACTGTAGGCTTCCGCAGGTATGAAATGTCAGAACAGGCAGATGCCTAGAAGGTATCACGGTGGCTGCCAGCGGCTGGGGGGAAGGGGGAATAGGGAACGACTGTTTAATGTGCACAGAGCTTCTTTCAAGGGTGACAAGAAATATTTTAGAACTAGATACAAGTGACGGTTGCATAACATTATGAATGTACTAAATGCCACCGGATGTTTCACTTTATTTAATTATTTTTATGTTGTGTGAATTTCACCTCACTAAAACAAAATTAAATTTAAAATTCAGAGGGCCAGGCGAGATAGCTTACACCTGTAATCCCAGCACTTCAGAAAGCCAAGGCAGGCAGATGCCTTGAGGCCAGGAGTTGGAGACTAGCCTGGGCAATATAGGGAAACCCCATCTCTACGAAAAATAATAATAATAATAATTACCTGGGCATGATGGTGCGTACCTGCAGTCCCAGCAACTGGGAAGGCTAAGGCAGGAGGATTGCTTGAGCCCAGGAGTTCAAGGTTACAGTGAGCCATGATTGCACCACTGCATTCCATCCTAGGCAACAGAACAAGACCTTGTCCCTAAAAAAACCTGTTTTTAATTGAAAAGTTTAAAATTCAGTTTCTCAGTAGCACTAGCCACATTTCAAGTGCTCAGCAGCCATGCGTGGCTACCGAACTGGAGAGCACGGAGGTAGAAGCCCTCTGTCATTGCAGAGATCCTGCTAAACAACACTGCTAGGCAAACTTGACCTCCACGTAACCAAATAATTACAAGGGTACAGCCTCTTCACATGTATTTTCTCACCTGATCCTCTCACCAGGAGGGTATTCTTTTCTTTTTTTTTTTTTTTTGAGATGGAGTTTCACTCTTTCGCCCAGGCTGGACTGAAGTGGCGTGATCTCGGCTCACTGCAATCTCCTCCCCCTGCTCCGCCGGGTTCAAGGGATTCTCCTGCCTCAGTCTCCCAAGTAGCTGGGATTACAGGCGCCCACCACCACGCCCGGCTAATTTTTTGTATTTTTAGTAGAGACAGGGTTTCACCATGTTGACCAGGCTGGTCTTGAACTCTGGACCTCAGGTGATCCACCTGCTTCGGCCTCCCAAAGTGCTAGGATTACAGGTGTGAGCCACCATGCCCGGCCTATTTTCCTTTAAGAGGGAAATTGGGACCCAGGGAGGGGAAGTGCAGCCCCGAGGAGGACAGGGAATGGCAGGCCAGGGACTCACACTGGGTCTTTAGGCATCAAGTCCACGGTCCCTTCTGCCTCCTGCGACATGGGCCTGGGCCCAGGATGTTGTCACCAAACTCCTCTCAGGCCTTCTGGTTCCTCTGCCACACCTCGCCTCTTGGTTTCTTATCCAGAGCTCCTTTCTCCTAACAGGGCCCTGGCACCAGTTTAAAGGAGAAAAGGGTGTGAAAGTGTGTGTTCTTCTAGTTGAAGGGTGCTCGGTTCCTGTTTGCAAAAACCGTGGGGAAGAGAACTTATTACCAAGTGATTTGGAATATTAACAAAAATTCCAGGAAGCCAGAAGCTGGGTAATACAAGTTGAAGGGAAAGAATGCACCTTTCCCTGACCCCGAGTTGCCTCGCCACATAACTAGGTCAACAGGGCATGGACCTCTTTGTCTCCAGCAGACCTTGAGCTGGCTTCAGAGCCCTCCAGGGTGGGTTGGTAGGGGACAAATCTCAGGCCTTTTCCATTTCTCTGATTTTGGCCCAATCTTAATTCATGGGGCAATAAGAAAAGCATGGCATCTCCGCAGAGTCAGGACTTTGTTCAACTTGGGCTCCATCACTTACTGGCAGAGAGACCTTGAGTAAGTGAACTTAACCTCTCTGAGCCTCAGTTTCCTCATCTGTAAAATAAGGACTGTCCATGCATGCCTCCCTAAGTTGTCATAAGGAAGAAACAAGGTCACAGATGTGACTCCCAAACACACCGTAATGAGCCTTCCTCCCCAGGACCCCAGCAATTCTCAGCCGCTGTTCCCATGGGATCTTTCCTTAAGCACCAACCTCTGGGAAGTCTTAAGACTCAAGTCCTCATTAATAATAATACTAACAGGCTGGGCGTGGTGGCTCACACCTGTAATCCTAGCACTTTGGGAGGCCAAGGCGGGTGGATCATCTGAGGTCAGGAATTTGAGACCAGCGTGGCCAACATGGTGAAACCCCGTCTCAACTAAAACTATAAAAATTAGCCGGGTGTGGTGGCTCACGCCTGTAGTCCCAGCTACTCAGGAGGCTGAGGCACAAGAATCGCTTGAACCCAGGAGGCGGAAGTTGCAGTGAGCCAAGATCATGCCACTGCACTCCAGCCTAGGCAACAGAGTGAGACTTGGTCTCAATAATAATAATAATAATAATAATAATAATAACAATAATAACAGCCCGGCATGGTGAATCACACCCGTAATCCCAGCACCTTGGAAGGCTGAGGTGGGAGGATCCCTTGAGCCCAGGAATTCGAGACCAGCCTAGGCAACATGGGGAGACCAGTCTCTATTTAAAAAAAAAAAAAAACCTCAAGTCCTCATTAATAATAATACTAATGGCCAGGCACAGTGGCTTACGCCTGAAATCCCCATGCTTTGGGGGGTCAAGGCAGGAGGATTACTTGAGCCCAGGAACTGGAGACCAACCTGGACAACATAGTGAGACCTCGTCTCTACAAAAAATAGGAAAACTTAGCAGGGCATGGTGGCGTGTGCTTGTTGTGCCAGCTACTTGGAAGGCTGAGGCAGGAGGATCACTTGAACCCCGGAGCTCAAAGCTATAGTGAGCTGTGATCGTGCTGCTGCACTCCAGCCTGGGCGACAGAGTGAGACCTTGACTCAAAATAGTAATAATAGTACCATGCCAGACTCATTGAAGGGTGATTATGAAAACCCAGACAGAGGCCAGGGCTGGCTGCCCTCCCAGTACCCAGCATGTGTGAAGTCGAGTCAGATCTACCTGGGAGACTCCCCATTCTGTGACCTTGGGCAAGTTACTCAATCACCTCTGAGTTCTCATCTGTAAATGGAGTGGGGGAGGGTGATAATAATAACACCCGTCTCTCGTAGCATTGTCAAGAGGTTTAAATGAGATGATAAGGCACTTAGCCTAGGGCCTGGGCACACTAATGTCTGCCGACACCATCATTAATCATAGCCCTGAGCTGGGCGCTGGAGCAGATAAGGTGGCTGTGAACCCAACTACTTACCCCACACAGAGGGGGACAGGGAAAAGGACTGTGGAGGGGATGCCAGGTTGTGTGCAGCTTCCAGAAGGAAAGAGTTCTCATTTCAGCCTGAAGGAGGCCCACTAGCAGGGCCCTGGAGGGAGGCTGTGGCCGGCTGGGGCAGGGGGAGGCAGCGGTGGAACAAGGAGCAGGCACAGCCCCCTGGGAGGCTAGCACTTCCCATCCTGGTCTGCAGCCCACTGCCTCAAAATTGCCTGGGAGTCACAGGTGTTGAACTGGAATATGTGCAGTGGCCCCGCAATCTAAATATATACTTTAATCAGCTTCTATAGTGATTGCTTTGCAATATAAAGTTTGGGAACCCCTCTCCTCTCCTGGCTGGGGGGTGTGCCCATGTCAGCAGCCTGGTCTCAGCCAGCCTGGTCAAGCCTTGGCCCAGGAGACCAAGGACAATTCACAGCCACAGGAAGTTAATCTCCAAACCCTGTCTGCCCATCCTATCTCTTAGATTAAACAAAAAGACAAAACCCTGCGGCATGTGCCAGGGTAAGGAGTAACAACCGGTACAGCACGGACATTGCCAGTTTCAGCAGATGCCCCATCAATCAGAACAGAACACCCAGAACCGCGCACACAGGGCACAGCCAGCTGCAGAGAGGCCCGGCTGAGGGCCTAGGGAGGGTTCCCACTGGGCCCCCCACCAGCCCTAACCATACTTGCCCCTTTCATCTGTTTTATCTGTCGAGTTCCCACAAGCCACATCGTTTGAAAACAGGATGGCGCTACCCTAAAAACAACAAGAGTGAAAAGCATCGATCTAGCAGTGCATCTCAACAGGGGCTCTATCGGCTCTTGGGGCATGGCAGTTCTTGATCCTGTAGGGCTGTGCTGAACCCAGCAGGAAGTTAGCAGCCCTGGCCCTTCCCCTGAGTGCCAGCCCCAGGGGTCCTGAGGACTGAGCCCATGCCCCACCCCAGGCCGGACAGGCTATCCACTGGGGGAGAGGCACTGCTGTTCATAGCTCAACTCTCTCACTTTACAGGTAAAGCAGCTGAGACCCAAAAGCCAAGCCAGCCGGCCACAGGGCAGCAGGGTAGAGCTGGAAACAGACAGCTCCAGGAAGTGGGCTGAGCCCTGGCCTCAGCGACCAGCCTAAACAGGGCTCAGGTTTCCCAGAAGTGGGCAGAAGGGAAGTGGGGGCCCCTCTTCAGAGAGCCTTGGGTGGGCATCCATACCCCAAACTGCCAACTGGAAGAAGTAGGACTGGGTAACCCCTACTGGGGCCTGAAGGATCAGCAGCCTGCACAGAGGAGCTATTCTGGGACCAGGCAAGGAGGCCAGGACCACCTCGGTGGCCCTAAGGGCAGGCATCCAGCTGTTCCCAGGCCCAGGCCCAGCTCCCTCCCAGCAGAGGACAATTGCTCCATTGGCTGGGGTTAGGGGGAAGAGCCTCAGTCCGCTACTTCCTCACCCTCACTAGCTGTGGCCATGCCGCTTCTCCACACCCTCACCCTCTCCTTAAGGAGGCCATTGTCTGCCCAGGATTCCCTGTCACTCCTGCCCCCACCCCTAACACTCCTGCCCTGGATTTCCCCTCCACAATCCTGCCCCCAGGGTCCTCCCTGGGGGTTCCTCACTTCCTCCCCTGGCGCCCAGCACAAAGTAGCCTGAAGCCTCTCTGACCTATTGTCCCGTGCCAGCAAGTCAGTTCCCCCTCCCAGCCTCTGTTTTTTATATTAATCAGAGATGCAGGGACTGCCAGCCGACTTCTGTTCAGCATGAGAGGAGTTCCATCCTGAGAGCTGTAATTCAGCCAAAAGCAAAGAAGTCTGCTGTTTTGTTTACAGCAAATGAACCCTTCTGTGTTGATTTGGGGAAACATGGAGAATCATTTATGAACCTTTAGTACCGCCTTCACAGCCCCTGGGTGGTCAGGAGAATATAGGAGAGCTTTCAGCTGCAACATTTTATAAATCTGGGGTCCCAAGGGCCCCACATAGCCATAGCCAAGGCAAAGCGGTGGGGGGGCCATGCCGCCCACCTCTTGTGATTGTACAAAACCCTTTGAATACTTAACACTAGCAGTTTTAAGCACTTTCAAGTACCTCTCATTTAATCTTCCAAAAAAATCTACAAAGAAGTTCTTCCTGTCCCTGTTTTGCAGATGAGGAAACTGAGGCACAGGGATTCATGTGCCTGAGTTCCCACAGCCCAGAAGTGGTAGAGGCAAAGCCTAATAGGCATAGGCAGCTCTCACTCTGCATCTGGTGCTCTTTCCAGCTCCCACAAAGAGCAGGCCCTGGGGCGCCTCTCCACCCATCTCCCAGGAAGTCACCCTAGTTGCAATGATAAGCTATTTGCGTATTTGTATATCAGCTGGCTCCCCCTCTACCTCTAGACTGTGAGCTCCCTAAAGGCAACAACCCAGCCAACTGGGTCAAACCTGCTGCAACCTCGGTGACTTGATTATCATGGAAGGGTCTGCTCCCCTAGGGCTGCCTTCCCCAGCATGCCAGTTTGGGTCAGTGTTCAACAGAGTGGCATTACCCCCAGTCACTTCTCATATCCACAGGAGGAAGTCCTGGGTTCAAGTCCTGACTCTGCTGCTTCTTGGCTGTGTGACTCTGGGCAAGTTGCTGACCCTCTCTGAACCTCAATTTTCTCATATAACATGGGGATAATAATGCCTCCCTCACAGTACTATCCGGATGATGAAATGAAATAATATACGGGAGAGCAGGGAACATAATACCAAGCACCTAGGAGGCCCTAAACAAGTATTCATGAAAGGAAGGAGAAAGAGAGGTCGACCCACACTTAGGGAGCATGTCCATCACTCCCCAGTCGGCAGCAAGCACCGCAACTGACGTATCACTCCACTCCACTCGGTCCTCACCAGCTCCCTGCTAGAATTTTCCTGATCTTCCTTGGGCCTCTCAAGAACTCCAACAGGTCCTGAAAAAGGTTCTGGGCTCCCGCCTGAGCCCATCTGGCTCCAAAGATTCCTTCCTTCTACTACTTCCTCCCACCAACTATTCATCCATCCGTTCAGTCATTCATTCACCACACATTTATGGAGCACCCATTATGTGATTGACAGGGGTCTGGGAGCAACTGAGATGAACAAGATGAGGGCATACCCTTGTGGATCTCTCAGTCCAGTGAGAAGCCAGGACGTTGATAAAATAAACACAGTTATATAATGACCAGTGTCATTATATATGCAAAGGGAGCTTCACGCTTCCAGACAGTGCCCAGCAAGGGGACCTGGCCTTGGGTAAGAGCTTTACCCAGAGCCTGGGTAAGAACTTTACCCGAAGAACAGTAAGAGCCACTGAGGGGCTTGAGCTGAAGGGTGAGACCATCAGGTTTGCAGTTTGAAATGATCTTGTTGGCTCTTGCAGAGTGGAAAACTGAGACTGCAGAGGGAGCAGGGAGGATGTGCGGAGAGCAAAAGGAGGGAGAATGCTGGGGGATATCAGAGAAACTGGGAGTGAAGAGCTACAGGATTTGGCGATGGTCTCTAAAGACCACTGTCATGCCCACATTCAATAATATTAACTAACAATTATACAGTGCTTACTGTTCACTGTCCTAAACAATTTTTAAAATTAACTCTAACCTCAACAATTCTCTAAGAAATTATTGTTATTAATATCCCCATTTTACAGATGAGGAAACTGGAGCACAAAGAGGTTAAATAACTTGCCCAAGGTCATGTGGCATTGCTAAAATCAGAACCCAGTCTGGCCCCAGAGTTCACGCTCTTAACCAAAACATTAGACAGCCTCTCCAATGTGCTTCTAACCAGTGTTGCCAACTGGCCACAGCCCAGGGACTCCAGGTGCGCTGGGAACCCAGGCAGAAGAGGAGAGCAGTATTCAGCCTTCTCTCCATCCATAGCCCCAACTAGAGAATGCCAGCAGTGCTCATCCCATCCCACCTGCCTTCATGCTTCAGACGGGCACACTTTGAGCTGGACTCAGCCCCCAGGCCCAAGAGAAGCCTCGCCTCTGCTTTTGTTCCTCAAGCCATGTGAGATCAGGACAAGTCGGAGAGCCTCTCAGTGGCTAGGCTCATGGAAGGGAGGACCGAGGCTGGCCCCCCTCGTCAGTTGATTCAGTTGCCAGTAAGTCTCGCTCAAGCCCCTCTGTAACCAGCCTACCCAGCGATGCTGAGCAGGCCTGCCTGAACTGCCAACCAGAGCACAGGCTGCTCAGCAGGGAGGCCCTGCACAGCTGGGGGCCTCTGGGACAGACTTTGCAACCGACAAAAGCTAAAATGCAGGAAAGTAAAACAACTGGAGGTATGGTAGGAAGAGCTCTAGACTGCGGGCTCAGGAAGGCCAATTTTTAGTTTCCTTTTATAGAAAATGGTGGGGGACCAGGAGGGTGATGCCTGGGGACAGTAGGTGCCTGCCAGCACTGATAGTTTCATTAATTAGACCACTCACCCCAGTTTTTTAATGGGCACTTAATGGCAGCTGCTATGAAGACACCACCCTAGCAGAGGAGCACTGGGATTGTAAAAGGCAGACAACTGGCCGGGCGCGGTGGCTCACACCTGTAATCCCAGCACTTCGGGAGGCCGAGGTGGGCGGATCATGAGGTCAAGAGATCAAGACCATCCTGGCCAACATGGTGAAACCCCGTCTCTACTAAAAATACAAAAATTAGTTGGGCGTGGTGGCACGCGCCTGTAGTCCCAGCTACTCAGGAGGCTGAGGCAGGAGGATCGCTTGAACCCAGGAGGCAGAGGTTGCGGTGAGCCGAGATCGAGTCACTGCACTCCAGTCTGGTAACATAGCGAAACTCCATCTCAAAAAGGAAAAAAAAAAAAAGGCAGACAATTCCAGGAGTCTGAAATAATGACAAGACCCTGTCTTACCACTTCAGTCATCCCAGCCCTCCTGGGGGCCCAAGCAAGCCTGTCCTGGCAAGGCCTCCTCATAGCCCGGGACAGGGGAGGCAACAGCGAACCTGGGGGCCTCCTTCCATTCCTCAGCCCCACCTCCATCATCATCCCAAGCCCCTTCCATTATCTCACTGGATCCTCAAGATAAACCCACAGAGAATGCAGGGCAATGTGGTCCCCGCCACCGCACAGATGAGGCAACTGAGACTCAGGGTCTCAGTAAATTAAAAGGTAATTAAATTACTTTTGCTAGTAAATTAAAAAGGTGTAACTCAGGATCTTTTGAATCCCAGCTTGGTGTACTCCCCACTGCCCCACACTGCCTCTCCTGGGGGCCTTGTCAGGAGGCATAAACAGGGCAGATCTCCTGGCTGGCGGATCTGCTGCAGCACTGACCACAGAGCTACTACACAGGGCACTCTGCAGGGTGCTGCTGTCACTCATTATCTCAGGAAGCCTTCAGCAACCAGCACTACCAGTACATAGATGCTATTAACTCTATTTTACAGATAAAGAAACTGAGGTTCAAGGTCCAACATACACAGGCCCAAGGACACACCACTAGGAAGTGCTCAGAATTCAGCACAGGTCAGTCTGACTCCAAAGCCTAGACTATGCCTGCCGCACCACATACGCTGCCTTCCCGTGCCTGTGTACTCCACACCAACAAGGACCAAGTCTCTTTCACATCCATACCTGGCCCATAGCAGGTTCTATTTAAGTGTTGGTTCATGAAATCATTATTCTTAAGGCCTAAGGCATTAAAAGAAACAAAAAAGGATATTTCATACAGATAGAAGTTACAATTCAACCAGAAGCTATAATAATCATGAAGCTTTTATACACCTGACAACATAGCATTAAGGTATATAAAGCAAAAATTGATTTTAAAAAAAGGAAAAATTGCCAAACCCATATGCACAATAGATTTCATACACCTCTATCAGAAATGCACAGATTAAGTAGCCCAGCAGTTCTCAAACATTTTGGTCTCAGAACCTCCTTGCACTCTTAAAAATTGAGACCCCAGGCTGGGCACGGTGGCTCACACCTGTAATCCCAGCAGTTTGGGAGGCTGAGGTGGGTGGATCACCTGAGGTCAGGAGTTTGAGACCAGCCTGGCCAACCAACATGGTGAAATCCTGTCTCTACTAAAAATACAAAAATTAGCCGGACATGGTGGCATGCACCTGTAATCCCAGCTACTCGGGAGGCTGAAGTGGGAGAATCACTTGAACCCAGGAGGCAGAGGTTGCAGTGAGCTGAGACTGCGCCACTACACTCCAGCCTGGGTGACAGAGCGAGACTCCTTCTCAAAAAAGAAAAAAATTGAGAATCCCAAAGAGATTTTGTTTACGTGGGTTTATACCTATCATTATTCACCATATTTGGAATTAATAATGAGGAAAAAGTTAAATGCATTAATGCTTTAAAATAATAAATGTTTATATGTTAATATAAATTTTTATGAAAAATAATTGTATTTTTCAAAACAAAAAATAATTTTAGTGAGAAGAGTGACATTGTTTTACATTTTTGCAAATCTCTTTAATGTCTGGCTTAACAGAAGCCAGCAGATTCTCATATATGCTTCCGCATTCAGTCTGTTGCCATATGTTGTTTTGGTTGAAGTATATGAAGAAAATTTGGCCTCACACATAAATGTAGTTGGAAAAGGGAGGAGTATTTTGATGGCCTTTTCAGTTAATTGTGAGTATGCTTCTTTGATACTACCCCAAAGACTGACATGTGTAGTTTCTTTCTTTTTTTTTTTCTTGAGACAGGGTGTCGCTCTGTCACCCAGGCTGGAGTGCAGTGGCGTGATCTTGGCTCACTGCAACCTCCACTGCCTCCCCTCAACAAACCCCACTCCCCAACCCCCACTCAAGTGTCGATCCTCCCACCTCAGGCTCCTGAATAGCTGGGACCACAGGCACACACCACCATGCCTGGATATTTTTTTGTATTTTTAGTAGAAACAGAGTCTCACCATGTTGCCCAGGCTGGTCTCAAAACTCCTGGGCTCAAGCAACCCACCCACCTCGGTCTCCCAAAGTGCTGGGAATACAGGCATGAGCCACCGCGCCTGGCCTGACATGTGTAGTTTCTTAAATGTAATGCAGAATCTGAAACCATATCAATAAGCTTCTCTTACCCAATTACCTTAAAATCCATTGGACTATCTTGTACCTTGAATGGGCATTTGAATTATGTACAGTTTTGACCCTGTATACCCCTCCGGAAAGAGTCTCGGGGTCCCCCTGGGGAACACTGACCATACTTTGAGAACCATTGAAATAGACAATAAAAGAGTGAAAAAATGTAGAATTTGATAACATAATTAGCAAGTTTGATCTAAGAGGTATTTATATAGAACTTTGCTCACAACAAACTACGAATACACATTTTTTTGAACAAATGGTCCCCTTTATCAGCTGGGGGAAAGGTCTGGACAGGCTGTGGATGCTCCAAGATGGACAGATGCCCGGCACAGTGCCCAGGTGTTCCACCTGCTGCTTAGGCCCTGGTTCGGCCTCAGCAAGAAGGGGCACTACATCAGAGAGCAGCCTTCTCCTGCCCAGGCTGCAGAACCAGGTCAAATGGCCACAGAGAGAGAGCTCCCCTGACAACAGCCCCATGGTGCAGCCCTCACCTCGGCTTGGTTCCTGTCAAGTTTCCCTCCTTGCATTCACCCTGTCCCGTGTCAGGGGCCCCCGGGGGTCCCCACGACAGAGCTGCCAGGTAAAGAGTGTCCATGCTCCTCTTCCAGGAGGCTTTCAGCCAGTCCCCTCTGCCCGTTACAGCCCTCGGAGCTGTCAGGTGTGGACTCACAGCTCTCTGATCATGCGCAGTTCTTACATAACCACCAGTAGAAACAAAGCCCTGCTCTGTCCAGGCCAGGTACTGGGACGCCAAGAACAGCACAGCCGACCAGCTGCCCAAGGAGGCAGCACTTTGCACAACCACCTGGGAGGCTCTAACACACCGTCAGTGCCCAAGGCCATACCTTCCCTGGAGGGCAGGAGCCTGCCAAGCCTGGAGGGGTGGGAGAGTCAGGGTGCAGGGGCAGAACTGCTGTTCAGAGCCCCAAACCAGAGCCAGAACCAAGGCATCCAAGGGCTTTCAGAACACACACCACTTTCTTTCTTTTTTTTTTTTTTTTTTTGAGACGGAGTCTTGCTCTGTCTCCCAGGCTGGAGTGCAGTGGCATGATCTCAGCTCACTGCAACCTCCTCCTCCTGGGTTCAAGCAATTTTCCTGCCTCAGCCTCCTGAGTAGCTGGGATTACAGGCACGCACCACCACGCCCGGCTAAGTTTTGTATTTTTAGTAGAGACAGGATTTCACCATGTTGGCCAGGCTGGTCTCAAACTCCTGACCTCAGGTGATCTGCCCACCTCGGCCTCCCAAAGTGCTGGGATTACAGGCATGAGCCACCATGCCCAGCCACCACTTTCTTTTTTTAAGAGACAGGGTCTTGCTCTGTTGCCCAGGCTGGAGTGCAATGGTGCAATCACAGCTCACTGTAACCTCGAACTCCTGAACTCAAGCAGTTCTCCCACCTCAGCCTCCAGAGTAGCTGGGATTGCAGGCGCATGCCACCATACCCAGTTAACTTTTCTAATTTTTGTAGAGATGGAGTCTTGCTGTGTTGCCCAGGCTGGTCTCAAACTCCAGGGCTCAAGCGATCCTCTCACCTCAGCCTCCCAAAGTGCTGGGATTTACGGGCGAGAACAACTGCACCCAGCCCATACAGCACATTTTTACCTCAAAGTCACACGTCCCTTGGGGATCTAACATTCCTAGGTGTTCATTCTGTGTGTTGGCACTGTGCAGGGGGCTTTCTTTCCATTCACCTTATTTGCTTCTCACAGTAACTGCTGAAGAAATTCCATTTTACAAAGAAGGAAATGAGGTTAAGTACTTGCCCAAGGTCATACAGCTAATATGTGGCCAGGATCTGAACCTGGCTCCATCGTCTGCAGAGCCCAGGCTCTCGCACCATTGCTACACTGCACTGCCTGGCCCTGCAGAGACCAGTCCTTCACCTTCTGAGTGGCCATCTGCATAACCTCTTCATGCTGGGGGCTGGGAGAGGGAGAGGGGAAAAGAAGGCCAAAGTTTACTCTACCTGGACCCCACTAGGTCATCCTGGACATCAAACACGGCTTGTCCCACCCTTGGGGCTCAGTGAGATGAGGCTTCTCCTGCCTCCTCTGCCTGCCTTGTATCTTTTTCTTACAACTAGATCAGAAGGAACAGAGCCATGTCTTTTGCACCTCTGTGTCCCCATGCATACCCTACCCCATGCCTTGCAGATAGTAGGTACTCTATGCATTTTCTGTGAATATTAAGGAGTGGCCCCTCACCCCTCTCCACTACCACTGCAAGGACAGACCCAGAGGAAGACAGGAGCCCTGGAAACATCCATTAGTGGGACTAAGGGGAGGAGCAGAGGGGGAAAGTGCCCAGTACTCCTGCCTTCCAGCAGAGCCAGCCCCCAGCTCCCCACGCCCTCCTAGGAGACACCTCCCCAAGGTACCCTCCCCACCAAAGACTGGGAGGTCAGGTGTCAGGCTAGGCTCTCAGGAAGGAATTCCCCTCCCTTCAAGCCTCCAGTCCAAATTCCTCTCAAGGGAGAGCCAATGAAAGGCAGGACTCAGACAGGAGAGAAAGACACCAAGCATGGGGCTCCTGAAGGTCCCCTCCCCTCTGATGCTTGCCTGGGTGCCCTGCTCAGACACACCATCAATTCCCCCTCTTCCCACTGTGTTCCCTACCATGGGTTGGAAGTTATCTTACCACAGAGTGGTTAAGCCCTGGCCTTTGTAGCCCAACATCTGGATTCAAATCCTAGCTCCTTCACATATGAGCTGTGTGGCCAAGGGCCAGTTACTCCACTTCTCTGAACTCCCTATCCCCTTGGTCATTAGGCCTACAGACTCAGAATCCAGGCCTCCTGGTTGTTTCTGGGCTCTGACTCTCGAAAAAGACTATCTGGGTTCAAATCCCAGCTCTAATCTGTGCTTAACCTCTCTGCCGCAGGATCTTTATCTGTAAGGTGGGGACAATAATAGTACCTACCCACCATCTAGCCTTATTGTGAGAATTAGCTGAGGGAGTTTATGCAATGTGCTCAGATCAGACTTGGCACACAATTAGCACCCACTAAGTATTGGCTATCATTAGCAATAGCTGATAAGCTTGGAACGTACCTTGCACCGCACCTTGCACCGCACCTTGCACCTTGCACCGTCCCTGGCAGGTAGTAAGAGCTCACTAAATAGAAGCTATGATTACCTTCACCCCCACTAGACTATCCTGGCCCTGGAGGTGGGTTCTGGGTCATATCCATCTTTGATTCCCCAGCAGCCAGCATGGGGCCTGGCACCAAGCTCAATGAAGACCTGCCAGGAGGACCAGAAGATCCAGGGTGTGGGGTGGCACGAGCCTCCCACCAGGGAGAAGAGGAACCGAGGTGTCGGGGAAGAGAAAACAGAGCAGAGGGAGAAAAGCCAAGGCAGAGAGATAAGCAAGTGAAGTGAGTGAGAAAAGGAACAGGAGAGGCTGTGGCGGAGAGAGATAAGGAGGAAGGATGGAGAAGGCGAGGGTCGAGGAAAATGCCCAGGGAGGCAGGGAGCCCTGGGGAGAAACGCTGGGCGAGGCCAGGGCTGCGGCAGGGGAGCCGAGCCGGGAGAGGGGCGCAAGACCTGGCGCTGGGCGGGACGCTCGGGCAGGGTGCGGGAGGGGCTGAGGGCCGCCCCCACTGCCTCCCCGCCTTGGAGCTGGGGCCAGGCGGCCGGAGATTGGCTGGGGCGCACGGCGAGGCCCGGGCTGGAGCCCCGAGGTGGGAGGCGCCAGGATCAGTCGGGGCGCCCGCAGCGCAGGCTGCCACCCACCTGGGCGACCTCCGCGGCGGCGGCGGCGGCGGCTGGGTAGAGTCAGGGCCGGGGGCGCACGCCGGAACACCTGGGCCGCCGGGCACCGAGCGTCGGGGGGCTGCGCGGCGCGCACCTGGAGAGGGCGCAGCCATGCGGGCGGCGGCGGCGGGGGGGGGCGTGCGGACGGCCGCGCTGGCGCTGCTGCTGGGGGCGCTGCACTGGGCGCCGGCGCGCTGCGAGGAGTACGACTACTATGGCTGGCAGGCCGAGCCGCTGCACGGCCGCTCCTACTCCAAGCCGCCGCAGTGCCTTGACATCCCTGCCGACCTGCCGCTCTGCCACACGGTGGGCTACAAGCGCATGCGGCTGCCCAACCTGCTGGAGCACGAGAGCCTGGCCGAAGTGAAGCAGCAGGCGAGCAGCTGGCTGCCGCTGCTGGCCAAGCGCTGCCACTCGGATACGCAGGTCTTCCTGTGCTCGCTCTTTGCGCCCGTCTGTCTCGACCGGCCCATCTACCCGTGCCGCTCGCTGTGCGAGGCCGTGCGCGCCGGCTGCGCGCCGCTCATGGAGGCCTACGGCTTCCCCTGGCCTGAGATGCTGCACTGCCACAAGTTCCCCCTGGACAACGACCTCTGCATCGCCGTGCAGTTCGGGCACCTGCCCGCCACCGCGCCTCCAGGTAGCGCCGCCGCCGCCGTCCCCGCGCGCTCCGACGGCCCTGCAGCTCCCCTAGCACAGCTCTGCGAACCCCCCAAGAGGTGCAGCTCCCCCCCTCCGCCCACACACACACACACACGCTGTCCTAGCTCAGCCCAGCGTCCCCGGAATTATCCCCCGCAGCCTTCCCGCCTTCCCACCTCCCCAGGGAGTGGCAGCATAGTGCCTCCCGGCGGCTCCAGACCTTCCCTCTGGCTCTCGTTCCCTGGAAACCCCTGGCACCCCTCTCAGTACCCATCCAACCAAGCTGCTGAGAATCCCCCAATGCCGTCCCCCCAATCCTGGGACGTCCTGATAAATGCCTTATGACCCCTCTCAGCCCAAGAATGCCTGGGGTCGTTAAACAATGCCTTTCACCTGGATCCCGAGGCACCAAAGCAAGCATCATCCCCACTCCGTGTTGGGACCTTGGGAAGAGAGGAGAGGTGAGGGAAGGGATGTGGAGAAAGACTGGGGACTAAGAATGTTCTGGACTATGATCTGCGTCCCCGTTTTCTGTACCTGGAACCCTAAGATCTCCACCCTCTTCCCCAGTTCCCCTGGCTGGGAGTCATTCGGGTAAGGCTCAGTGCGGAAGGAAGAGCAGATTAGGCTCTGCCCCTGAAGAGAAGCCCTTAGGCAAGTTGCTTGACTTCACTGAGCCTCAGTTTCCCCATCCATAAAATAGGAAGCCATCCCAGGCTCATGAAACCTATGAGGTCCTAAGTCCCTCCTCCCACCCACCCCTCAGTCCCCTGAACCCTAATTTCTCCCTGGTCTCAGCCTCCCCTTTTCTGTGCTGGTCCACATAGCTCTTCCAGGCTGGCTCCATGCCCTCTCCCCCTTCCTCCCCGTCTGCTGTCAGACTTGAGTAACCGCTCTGGGCCTCGGTTCCCTTTTCTCCAAAATAGGAGTAAGGGCTGGGCGCAGTGGTTCACACTTGTAATCCCAGCACTTTGGGAGGCCAAGGTGGGTGAATCACTTGAGGTCAGGAGTTCTAGACCAGCCTGGCCAACATGGTGAAACCCCGTCTCTACTGAAAATACAAAAATTAGCCGAGCGTGGTGGCACACGCCTGTAATCTCAGCTACTCGGGAGGCTGAGACAGAAGAATCGCTTAAACCTGGGAGGCAGAGGTTGCAGTAAGCTGAGATTAGAGAGCCACTGCACTCCAGCCTGGGTGACAGAGCGAGACTACATCTCAAAAATAAAATAGGAATAAGAATCCCTATTTCATAGGCTGAGGATGAGAGGAGATAAAATTTAAAAGACAATGCACATCATGGCTGCAGCCGCCAGGGTCATGGGGCAGTCACTGTGCCCACCTGGCAGTTTTGTCACTGCACAGCCTGTCTGGTGATTGTCAATCACTCTGTGAGCAGGTAGTGATATGATTGCCATCATCCCATCTCCTGATAAGGAAGTAGAGGCTTGGCAAGGGGAAGTGGCTGGTCAGTGAGGAAGCCTGCACCCCAAGTGGCTCTTGGAACTCCAATCCCCTCACCAACTGTCCCCCAACCCCACCCCACTTTCTCTCTTCAGTGACCAAGATCTGCGCCCAGTGTGAGATGGAGCACAGTGCTGACGGCCTCATGGAGCAGATGTGCTCCAGTGACTTTGGTGAGTGTGGGGCCCACGCTGCCACTGCCCCGACATCACCCCCAGCCCCTCTTTCTTGACGCACACGGGAACATACATGCCCACATCCATCACAGTGAATCCCAACAGTTTTTGCATCATGGCTCCCGTTTAGAAGCCAATTATAACCATAAACCCTTTCCCAAGAGAAATGCACCTCTTTCTGCATCATCTCAGGACCATCACAAGTCCCCTAAGGCCATGGGCCTTGGGCCTCAGAAACCACCCCGGCCAGGGCTCCCACAGCCCTCCCTTGGTGTCATTTTCAGAGGGCCCTCCATGACTGGATCATCTCTGTGGATAGTGCAGGCTTAGCCCAGAGATGGATGGAGCCAGGTGGGGAGTGATGGCTCTAGGATGGAAGTGGAGCACCCTTGTCCATGGGTACCTCCACCTGGGACTCAGCACACCTCCTGCCAGCGGAGCTGTGGTCACCTGTCCCCACAGCTTCATCCCAGAGCCTTCCCATTTTCTGGGACAATCCAGCCAAGTCCGGTCAGGACCTGGCTCACACATGGGCCACGCAGTCCAGTGTGTGATCTTTGCCAAGTCAGTTCCCTGTTTTGTGTCTTAGCCTCCCTGTCTATAAAAAAAGAAAAAAGGAGATGATAATGAAGTCCTTTCTTCAGAGGAGTCTTTTATGTTGGTAGCCTGTTTGGAAAGAGAATACTGCTATTGCAAGGGGTGTATGTGTGTGTCAGAGAGAGAAAGAGAGGGGGAAGGGGACATAAAGAGAAGGAACAAGATTTTATGACAATTTCCTGCCAAGAGTGGGCAGTTATTCTCTGACTTCTCCCTGGCCCCACAGAGATGGGGGCCCAGAAGCCTGAAGAAGGGAGAGACCAGCCCGAGGGACTCCCCACCCCACCCTGAGGCCCAGGACTCCTTAGGCTCTCTACGTCCACTGTAGGGTGACCTGCACCATGGCTCTCTGGGCACAGACCCTGCCTTCATCCTAGCCCCCCAAAGGAAAGGAGTTAGGGTCTCAGTGCCTCCAGCCACACCCCCTGCCCCACTCCTAAACATAGCACAAACACACTCCCACCCACCGTACAATCTCTCTCTCACACACATACACATTACTGTACAGTGGTGTGTTCACACCAGCAACAGCTGAACTGTGTGTATCTATTCCCAGCTCCACACCCAGTCATGCGGTCAGTTATGGTGGGAGTATTTACCCCATGGATGTCAATGAATGCAAAGCAGGGCTCCCTGTCCACAGAGCCGGCTGTTAAATATTTGCCAGCCCACCACTGTTCCAACCACACTCACCGTGTGTGCATGCACACACATATACACACCCCATATATACTCCATACCATACACTCACACACAGCCAGAAATCCCAGTGGGAATCATCCCCAGAGATCAGGAAGTCCAGCTTCCCTCCATCACAAGGATCCCCTTCCAAGCAGTCGGCCCCAGTCCCATCCACTCCTTATCCCCTCCCTGGGGAGCCCCACATGCTGCTCCATCAAGAGCTCTCCACCCTGCCTTTGGTGTCTCAGAAGGGCTTGGACTCTCGATTCACGCAGGTCACAAGCTCTCTACCCCTCAATTCCCCTCTTCTGTACCTTGAGGATGAAACGTGATGCTGTCCTTGAGAGTGCAGCATGATAAGTGCTTCATAAATATGAAAATGTGCCCTACGAGCTCCACCCTTCCAAGCCCCGCAGGGCATCAGGCTCCCCCAGCCCGAAGGTCCAGAACACACCAACTCTGTGCCCACCAGCATCCCACACAGATCTGACCATTCCCAACTTGCCCCTGTCCTTTCTTCCCACAGTGGTCAAAATGCGCATCAAGGAGATCAAGATAGAGAATGGGGACCGGAAGCTGATTGGAGCCCAGAAAAAGAAGAAGCTGCTCAAGCCGGGCCCCCTGAAGCGCAAGGACACCAAGCGGCTGGTGCTGCACATGAAGAATGGCGCGGGCTGCCCCTGCCCACAGCTGGACAGCCTGGCGGGCAGCTTCCTGGTCATGGGCCGCAAAGTGGATGGACAGCTGCTGCTCATGGCCGTCTACCGCTGGGACAAGAAGAATAAGGAGATGAAGTTTGCAGTCAAATTCATGTTCTCCTACCCCTGCTCCCTCTACTACCCTTTCTTCTACGGGGCGGCAGAGCCCCACTGAAGGGCACTCCTCCTTGCCCTGCCAGCTGTGCCTTGCTTGCCCTCTGGCCCCGCCCCAACTTCCAGGCTGACCCGGCCCTACTGGAGGGTGTTTTCACGAATGTTGTTACTGGCACAAGGCCTAAGGGATGGGCACGGAGCCCAGGCTGTCCTTTTTGACCCAGGGGTCCTGGGGTCCCTGGGATGTTGGGCTTCCTCTCTCAGGAGCAGGGCTTCTTCATCTGGGTGAAGACCTCAGGGTCTCAGAAAGTAGGCAGGGGAGGAGAGGGTAAGGGAAAGGTGGAGGGGCTCAGGGCACCCTGAGGCGGAGGTTTCAGAGTAGAAGGTGGTGTCAGCTCCAGCTCCCCTCTGTCGGTGGTGGGGCCTCACCTTGAAGAGGGAAGTCTCAATATTAGGCTAAGCTATTTGGGAAAGTTCTCCCCACCGCCCCTGTACGCGTCATCCTAGCCCCCCTTAGGAAAGGAGTTAGGGTCTCAGTGCCTCCAGCCACACCCCCTGCCTTCCCCAGCTTGCCCATTTCCCTGCCCCAAGGCCCAGAGCTCCCCCCAGACTGGAGAGCAAGCCCAGCCCAGCCTCGGCATAGACCCCCTTCTGGTCCGCCCGCGGCTCGATTCCCGGGATTCATTCCTCAGCCTCTGCTTCTCCCTTTTATCCCAATAAGTTATTGCTACTGCTGTGAGGCCATAGGTACTAGACAACCAATACATGCAGGGTTGGGTTTTCTAATTTTTTTAACTTTTTAATTAAATCAAAGAAAACAATAACTGGTTTGGACCAGGTGGTTTCTTTGTCAGCTGGTTCCCAAGAGGTGGGGGGAGAGGGAGGTTTAGAATGGAGCTTCAAAAAGAAGCCCTTATCTTAACCCATGGCCTGGCCACATAGACCTCCTTGGAATGCCTAAGAAAAGCAAGGCCTGTGTTTTTGTAGTACATAGCAAGGGTCACCCTGTCATTCTGACCGCTAAGTGAGGGATGGAGATGGCCGTTCTTTTGTCCCTGAGGAGGAATGGAGGTGCCAAGTTCCCAGCTTCTCCCACAGTCAGAAGACTCCCATGGTCCTGCAGCAGCTCCCCGAGGAGGTCAGGGCCTGATCAGAGGAGTCCAAGAAGGTGGGGCCACAGGGAACTATCGTGAAAAGCCTGAGGCCGAAGACGTGTCACTCCTCCCCTTCGGCTTTCACACACCGCGGGCACTGCTCCTTACCTGTCCCTGGTCCAGCAGCATGAGCATCACCTGGGAGCTGGTTAGAAAGACAGCATCTGGCCGGGGGTGCGGTCGCTCATGCCCATAATTCCAGCAGCTTGGGAGGCTGAAGCGGGAGGATCCCTTAAGCCCAGGAGTTCAAGACCAGCCTGGGCAACACAGTGAGACCCTAACTCAACAACAACAACAAAGAAATGCAGACCTGCTGTATCTGAATCTGCATTTGAACACATAAACATTAGAATCATCTAGGGAGCTTTTATAGAATCCTGCACCCTACTCTAATGCAATTAAATCAGAATCTCTATAGGGTGTTCAGGAGTTGGTGTTTTTAGATGCTCCCTGGGGTGATGTGTAGCCAGGATTGAGAACTACTATCTAGATAAGGTGACAACTGAGACAGGGAGAGGGCAAGGGGCTGAGGGGGTGCCCCAGTGGGCTCAGAGCAGATGGGGGCTGCTGCCTTGAGGTAGATGGACAGGGAGGGGAGACAGCTTGGGAGGCGAGAAGCCACCCCCACTCTAATGGGCAGACTATGGACAGGGCAGTGCCAGGAAGGAGCTCCCTGGGGGGGTCTGTCAGCAGATGCCAGATGTACCTAGAGCAGGGGGCTAGGGGCACCCCCTGAGGGGCTCTCCCCACCGGTGGGGGTAAAGCTGGGATGCTGTCCAGTCAAGGCCTGGTGTTCCTCCAAGACAAAGGAGCCTCATTCTCTGGAACTGAGGAAAGCCTTGGCTTCCGCTCCCAGAGGTGAACGTCACCTCAGGGAAATGACTCCAGAGGGGCCAGGGGCTGAGTTCTTCTGTGGGCCATGAGCGCACATTCGCCTGAGGTCTGGCTAGCAGGTGGTCCGACAGCGCGCCCATAAATCACCCCGGGCAGGCAGGTGGCCTCGCCGCAGGTCAACAGCTGCACAGGCCGCCTTGCTCCTCCCTCACCCATCCGCGCCCAAACCCTGCCCAGTGCACCTGGCTCCCTGAATCTGCGCCTTGTCTCCCAGCCTCCTACCCTGACCAAATGTTTACGGACACTTCTGTGGTCAACCAGGACCAGGGATGATTTTCCATGGCACACACAGGACTGGGTCTGCCCTGGCTGAAGTACTACACTGACTTCTGCCAGATGCTGGCAGCTGTGGGGCAGCAGGGCGAGGGGAGGACTCCCTTAGCCCATCCCGTGAAGCCCAGGAAGGCACTCCTCTACCCCCACAAGGGGTCAGGGCCCAGCTTGAAACATCTGCTGTCCCCCAACATCTGCTGTCAGACTCGCCAAGAATCTCTTTTCTGGGACCAAGAAGAATCTTCCCAAAGACCAGGGAGGTCCTTCCAGGCTTGAGCCCCACCCTTCATTCCCTTCAGTCACACAAGACTCCCTCCCGCTGGCTGGAGACCCAGCAGCTGTGCTGCCCCAAGAGCACCTGGGTGCAGTGAACGATGCGGCCCCCAACCACACATAACAGAAACCCCAGGAACCGAAACCCCAGCTTCTCCACACAAGAGGGGTGGAGGTGGACAGGTGGGAGGTCTATGTCCAACTGCCTTCCTGCTCTGCCATGGGGTGACGTTTGCTCTCGTGGTTATAGACAATGCCTCCTTCCAACTTCTCCACCACATTCCAGACAGCAAGGCGGGGAAGGGCGAGGAGCACAGCTTGTCAGCTGCCTCTGGCCCCTTTGATCAGGAAAACAGAAATTTCCCCAGCAATCCCACCTAGTAGATTTCCACTTCTAGCTCACTGGCCAAAACTAAGTCACATGGCCACCCCTAGGTGCAAGACAGCAAAGGAAGTCAAGCTTTTTCAGCTGGGGACAAAATCAGAGTTCTAATAAAGAACAGGACAGACAGGGGAGGAGGCAGCTGAACACTCCGTGTTGGGGTGAGAAGAGGCAGATACAGTCCAGTCCTGGCTTCTAATCCTGTGACTTAGTGACTGCGTGACATCGGGAATAGTGCCCAGCTGTAAAATGGAGTAAAAATGTCTATTTCACAGGGTTGCTGAGGGTTAAGTGGGAAAATGCATGAAAAGTACAACGCACAGCATGTAGATGTCCATTAAATGGTAATGACTATTTTTATTAACCAAAAGCCATGACCTAGCAGTGCCTGTCCATAATAGGTGCTCAGTAAAATTCCTAATTGATTGATTAATCAACTAAGAAACAATATCGGCAGGAAGGCAGGGAAAAGACAAGAGTATCTTATCTAAAAGCCAGAACGCTACTTTCAGAAGAGAGCTAGAACCTACATTTGGGGTTTTGCTTCAGAAATACAGGTGGTGGTGTAAGCCAGTATCAAGCCAATATCAATAAATATCAAGGCCATGATGGGTGGCAGGCACTACTCAAAACTTTTGCATATGATCTTTTCTCTTTTTTCTTTTTTTTTTTTCTTTTTTTTTTTTTTTTTGCCTGGGCTAAACACAGTATTACAATCGTGGCTCACTGCAGTCTCAACCTGCCAGGCTCAAGCAATCCCACTGCCTCAGCCTCCCAAGTAGCTGGGACCACAGGAGCATGCCACTATGCCCGGCTAATCTCTTATTTTTCTTAGAGTTGAAGTCTCATTATGTTGCCCAGGCTGCTCTCAAACTCCTGGACACAAGCAATCCTCCCTCCTTGTCCTCCCAAAGTGCTGGGATTACAGGCATGAGCCACTGTGCCTCACCCAGCTTTTGCATTCTAATTTAAGCCTCCCAACAGCCATTTGAGGTAGTGGCATTTCAGTGATGGTGGCTGAGGCTCAAAGAGGTTAAGGAACTTGTTGGAGGTCACACAGCTTGCACATGGCAGTGCTAGAATTTGACTTCATGCTCTTAACCACTATACTACTATCGGTAGGGGCAAAGCCAAGGCTCAGGGGTGCAGGCAGCCATGCTTCTGCCAGCCTGCCTCACAGGAAGATTTCTGGGAGCCCTGTTCCAATCCCACTCCAAGGGTCCTGACAGAGGCAGAGGAGCCAGTGGCTTTTCTCCTAATTCCCAAAGACAGCCCACCCCCAACCCCTTCTCCCCTCTCAGCCCTGCCAGCATCCAGCCTTAGGTCTCCACAAAGGAAGCTCACATCCCACAACTGTTTAGTCGCCTGTAATCCTGGCTGAAGTTCACTCCTGGGGAAATGTAACATGGGGGGGTGGTTGCTGCTGGAATGTGTGTGGCTGGGACCCCATGTCCCAGCCCAGACAGCAGGCTCTGCTGGGGCTGTGAAGAACACAGGCAGCCAGGGGAATCCGGAATCCCCAGCCCCCAGCTGTGCCAGAGAATGGAATGTGCTGCTCTGGGGTGTTGAAACATACCCGACCAGGCCGGAGGTGGGGTTGCTGGGAGCTGGGGGAGCTCCGGCCACAAGGCTGCCTCTGTTCTTGTGGCTGAGCCCATTTCGCTAGGGCTGGGGGTGGGAGGGAGGAGAGGAGAGAGGCCATGCTTAGTGGGTAGGCCTTCTTGTTAGCTCAGTGGCTAGCTCCTGGAGCCAGTGGGGGCCAGGCAGAAAGAGGGGGAGGGTGGCACCCAGGATTGCTCTGTTCCTCCAAAGGTTCTCTTATGAGGCCCCTGCAAGCTCATGTGGCATAATTCACATCCCGGCTCCACGACTTACTAGCTATGTGACCTTGGGCAGGTTCCCTAACCTCCCCACACCTCCTTTTACTCGTCAGTTAAACAGAGTTAACAACAGAACCTACTTTTGGAGATTGTCATGAGGTCTCGATGAGATGATGCACTCAGCATGGTGCCTGGCACAGGTGCTCCATCAATGTAGGTGTTATCCTGAGGGCCACCAGCTGTAAGACAGATGCTGGGCCAGGGCCTCTCTTAGGGGGTGCCTCAAAGGTTCCAGGGAGACAAGGGGATGAAGACAGAACTTCATATGGCTTCAGCCCCGAGGGCTGAAAATCCTGAAGATCCCAGAAACCACTGCCAGCTCAAGGTCGGCCATGGCTCACGGGAGGCTGCTCAACACAACCAACCACAAAAAGGATTGGCAGAGCCCTCAGCCCACGCCAGGCTGTGGGAGCTGGAGCCCCAGACCTGCCCCAGCAGGCACGAGGGCTGCAGCAGTCTGGTTCCCCATCCCCTCCTCAGGGGCCTGAGAACAAATTGGTTTTTTTTTCAAACATGGACAGTTTGTCTTGTAGGCCACCCACGTGCAGGTCCTCTCCATGCTGTGGACGCAGCCAGTTGTGAAGCACAATCCCTCCGTGACTTCGCTTCCCAGCGGTACCTGCAATTTAAAGTTATGTCCCCTGCCTACTCTCAGGGGCACCTCAAGGGGACAAGGCCCTCTAGCATCCCCTTCTCGGAGGCTGTTACCCAAGGATGGAAACTCATGCTTCTCCCATCTCTGTAATCCATGCCTGCAGGCACAGACTTCAAGTTACTGCTGTTATGGTTGAGATTTCACCAACATTTGGCATTTTCATTTTCCAAAAATAAAATGCATTGACTGCTTTTCCAAACTACACTTGTGCCTCTCTGATACTCTTCTCTGAAGAATCATCTAAAATTACACTCTGGTTTAAAAAAAATAAATCACTGTTCTAAGCCACCCAGGACAGAGCTGTTTGTCCTCTGAAGGTGGCCAGGATGACAGGAGCCAGCGTGTCCAGCATGCCAGGCACCGGGCCCCATGCCTCCCGTCGACTCTCTCATTTCTCTCACAGCACCCGCACAAGCTATGCATCACCATCAGGTGCACTTTCCAGAGGAGGAAAGCACAGTGAGCCTGGGGGCAGCATCCCTATGCCAATGGGCCCCAGCACCGCTCCAACAGATGGTAAAGGGGTCCAAGCATGGAGGTGGGCCACAGCAGGCGCCAGGCACCACCCTCTACTGCTGCAGGGACTCTGCTCCTACTTCAGGGGAACAGTGCCTACCTCAGAGTTGCTGTGAGCAATAAATGAGATACTGCACGCAAAGCCCTCACCAGTGCCCAGCACCCAGCCACCCACCACCCACCTGCCCCAGCTCAGGGCATGGCTTGCACTTCCCATCTCATGTCCAATCCTCTTTCCTGCTGCTCTCAGCCTCCCTGAAGGCTGACCCTTTCTGGCTTTCTCAGAGGGATTAGTTAAAATCTTTCCGTTGTAAAGCCTGCATTGTTTGGGGTTTACCAAGTTCTAGTCCCAACCCCAACCCCCAGTGCTGGGCCCTCACAATTGGGTCACAAGACTGGGCCTCAAGTCAATCCGACAAGCATTTGCTGAGCCTCTCCTGCGTGCAAGGCACAGCTTTCCTCCTCTTGGCCCCCAGCTCATACCCAGACCAGGCTGCAGCCCCCACGCCCCTGCCACCATGGTGCCCCAAAGGCCCGCCCCTCAGCCTGGTCCTGCAGGAATTGCCCAGGCCTGCAAAACTCCAGCAGTGCCAGAGAGATCTGGTCTTCCAGCCTCAGGGAAAATGCCAACACAAAGACATGACAAAAACAAGAAGCTTGAGGCCTTTTTATTGACAATTCTCCATAGACACAGAGATCCTTTTAGTTCCTCTCCAGTGTAAAGAAAGCACGGGGTACTGAACTCTCCTCTCTTAAAAGGACACAGAGGCGATACGATACCAAAGCCTGTCTGGCTCCCCAGGGCTGTGGCACCTCCACTGGCCTGGGTAAGCCCCTGGCTGCACAGCCCCAGCTAAGCTGCTTGGCTCGGCAAGAAAGCGGGCCTAGGATGGGTCCCTTGCCTCCCCAGCCTGCCTCTCTGGACCCCTGCTCCTCGAGTGTAGAAACCTCTCAGCCCCCTCATGGGTCCTGGGTCCCAGGCAGCCCATGACTCCAGGGAAGAGTCCTAGGTAGAAGACCCCCACCCCCAATTCCTCCTCATCCCATTACTTGTGCCACATGTTCCCAGGAACCATGCAATAAATAAATAAATACTTGAGAAAGGCAGGGCAGCTCCAGGGAAGGGAAGGGATGCCTGAGCCAGCTCATGGCTAAGGGAGAGATACTGAGCCCGTAAGAGTCCAGTAGTGAACATGAAACTGTTGGAAAGAAATGGAGACCCCCAGGGGGCCTTATCCCATAACTGAGACTGTCCTCCAGGGAATAGCCCTGGAATCCAGGACCCAGCCCAGCGAGATCCTACACTACCCAGGCCCCCAGGGGTCAAGGGCTTCAGGACCTCTGCTCCACTCACCTGGCCTCCCACTCCATTGGACAAGAGGCAGGGAAAGGAAACTGGAGTGCTGGGCCAGTGGAGGACTGCCCTAGACTCTGGACAGAGGGTGCAGAAGTTGTGATCCAAGTGCCCTGCAGCTGCTCCAGCGGAGCTGGGGACACTGGGGCATTGTGTGGGCTGAGAGTCTGTGAATTGAGGTGTCTTCGAGGGGAGGCCGAGGTCTGTCCAGCTATTGGGGCTTCCCCAAGCTTTCCTCCACTTAACGCTGAAGGACTCAGCCAAACCCTCCTATACACATTCTCCTCTCAGGGAATCTGGGAACTTCAACCCTGTTTCTAGAAGCACCCATGGTCTTGTTAGGCCTGGCCACACCCTCTGATGGGGAAATGATGAGATCCTGGTGCCTGGAGGGACATTCAATCAGCAGAGATGGGGTGTGGCACTCCCAAGCCCTTCTGCAGGCTCTCTGAGGCTGAGGGCCTGGCCCAGTACCCTGCAGGAGAAAAACCTCTTTTCCCAACCTCAGGTCTGGAATTCCCAGGCACAGCCACACTGACCCTGATCTTCAGACCCCAGTCAGGCCTGGCCTAGTTCGCTGCTGCCCTCTGGTGGCTACTGCCTGCCCAGCCCTAAGTCCACTCGCTCAGTCCCAGGCAGAGCAGGACAAACATGCCAGGCCCTCCAGGGGCTCTTCTCCCTCAAGGGATTGAGAGCAGCCATTGCCAGCCACTCTCATGGATGGAGAACAGCTCCAGAATCCAGCTGGAGAGAGTGAGGAAGGAAGGGGAAGCCTACCTAGCATTCAGGCCACATTTGCCCAGCACACACCACAGTGGGCCAGGGGTGGGGAGAGTGGGGGGTCTACTGCTGGTCCCAAGGACGGGTGCCTGGTTGGACCCTGGCCTCTCTTCTCACTTGCTCAAGGTCTGGTTACACGAGGCACACACAAACACAGTCTCCCTCTGGGCTTCAGGGGCTGAAAAGGAGGAAGAACTTGGTGAGACATTTCCTTGCGCCCTTTGGTTCATGGCCCCAACTACTAGAAGCACCCTCCCAAATGCCCCACACAGACCCCCCACCCAGCCCACACCCTCCCTGCCCAGCTTGCTAGCCTGCCCGCAGAGATTCTTCTTTCCATGGGAACTGGGGATCCTGGGGGTGATGATGCCAACAGCAGGCCACTCCTGTGCTATGAATTAGACATTATTGTGGCACCAACAGAACACCTTCAAAAATTTTTAAATAAAATATTAAATACAAAAATTAGCCAGGCATGGTGATGCACGCCTGTAATCCCAGCTACTCAGGAGGCTGAAGCACAAGAATTGTTTGAACCCAAGAGGCGGAGGTTGCAGTGAGCCGAGATGGCGCCACTGCACTCCAGGCTGGGCGACAGAGCGAGACTCTGTCTCAAAAAAACAGAATAAGTAAAATATCACAGTGAAATTTCCCAAAATGTTTTAACAGTGGTTACCTCTGGGTGGTAAAATTACAGGGTTATTTTTCTCTTCCTTCGTCCTCTGTATAATAATTTCCAAATTTTCTAGTTAGTAAGCATATGTTACTTGCATCGGAAGAAAAAAGAACTTGGGCTGGGGGCGGTGGCTCACGCCTGTAATCCCAGCACTTTGGGAGGCCGAGGCGGGCAGATCACCTGAGGTCAGGAGTTCAAAACCAGCCTGACCAACATGGAGAAACCCCGTCTCTACTAAAATACAAAATTAGCCGGGTGTGGTGGCGCATGCCTGTAATCCCAGCTACTCGGGAGGCTGAGGCAGGAGAATTGCTTGAACCCAGGAGGCAGAGGTTGTGGTGAGCCAAGGCCGTACCACTGCACTCCAGCCTGGGCAACAAGAGTGAAACTCCGTCTCAAAAAAAAAAAAAAAAAAACTTGGTTTAACATTATACTACAAAACGGTACATGAAATGTGACCACATTTTTCAGGAATATGCATGTGCTTTTATTCTACATGCAAGCTAATGAGCAGCAGGGTCCATGCCCGATTGTTCTCTCAGGAAGAAATCAGGAATTTTTTTTCCTTTTGCTTATCTGTGTTTTTTATTTACAATATGTATAGGAAATATTTTATATTTTATAAAAGGAAAAAAAGGAATTTTTAGTTTTGTTCAAAGTGCCAAGGAAATAAGAAAAAGATTAAAATTGCGGCTGGTGATTGACTCCAGGAAGGCAGGAGCAGTGCTGGGAGCTGCGGGGGTGTTGCCAGGGCTCTTGTTTTTCAACTTTAGTGAAGCAGCCACAGGTATTCATCTTGTTATTACCCTTCACAATTCACAGGTACATCATATCTATTCTTCGGCATGTACCAAATGTTTCAGGATTTTGCTAAAGGGGATGGAGGAAACGTTCCCGTAGGCCTGACTACAATCCCAAGTTCCCTTGACCTCTGACACCCTTGCCTCTGTGCCACAGCGTGACATCCCCTGGGCGGGATACCAACCAAGCCCTCCCACCACCTGCACCACTCACCTGTGGCCCCCATGGAGGACTTGGGCACCTTGAAGGAGCAGCATCGAGAGCAGAAGCTGTTTCCACAATTACTGCAGCTCCGCTGCAGACAAGAGCCAAGGTCAGATGTGTCCCTCACCCTCAGGTACCTGGAGTTCTCAGCACCTCCCTCCTTTCCACCAGCTGATCCCACCCAAGGAAACTGGGCCTGGGGGGTGCCCAAGTGGAGCAGGAAAGAGAGCAAATGGAATACCCCCTGGGGAGGCTGGTAAAAGGTGGCACAGGCGCAGGGGAGGGCACACTCACTCCAGAAAGCCACTGCCAGGCCCAATGTGACCCGAGCCAGACTTTCTCAATGACTCCCCTCAACTCCTCCCCACCCGACAGTCCCAAGGACACTGTCCCCAACAAATGCACCCTCACAGACACTCACCCTCTTCTTCAGCACTGAGAAGGTGGCCGAGCAGCCCGTGCAGTTCCCTGAGAAACAGAGGCAGCAGCTCAACCCCCGCCCATCCCAGGACTCTCACGCTCACCTGCTCCTGGCGCTTCTAAATGGGACACTCAGGACACCAGCCCAGCCTCCTTGGCTGGACACAGTGAGCCAGGGAGCAAGGCCAGATTCAGAGACAGAAAGAAGGACTCAAACTAAGAAGACTGATAGCCCCTGAGGACTGATGTCTCCAGCCATACATAGCTACCAGTCCCTGAACCCTTCCAGAGCTGAGTGGCCCTACCTACAGGTTCAACAGAAATCAAAGAGCACCCAGCAGAATCCACTCCAAGAAAGCCAGCTAAGCTGGCAGGGACCTGACCACAGGCATCCCCAAATGACACCTGCCTAACATGACCCTTTCCGGAGCAATGCCTTACAAATACTCCACCCACAGGCTAAAGACAGAAACTCCTAAAAACCTAAACTCCTGCTTTCTGTCCCCTGAAGACTGCAGGAGAGAAACTCAGAGCCAGGCACATTCCAAGAAGACATGAAGGGTAGAATGCTCAACTGTAAAGACACGAAGGGTAGAATGCTCAATTGTGGTGGGCAGTGAGTGGCATGGGGGGACGCAGAGCAGGGAGAGGTCCTGCCTAAACCACCAGAGATGCCAAGATGGCCAAGTGCCCGGCAACAGTGGAGGGGCAACGGCAGCTTAGAAAATGGCTAGAAGACAACAAGGGGGTGTAAGGGGAGAGGAGAGACAGAGAATGAGGTTTCTGGGATGTGGGGCCCATAGGCCTGCTATGACCCAGCCGGACCACCTGTCTGGGCAAGTACAGAGCACCAGGCCTCACTTTCACAGAAAGGCCCCAAAGCTTTATTGACGGCTACATGTGGTCCCTTCCTCTGTCCAGCCAAAATCACCTGAAGTTCTTGCTAAAGGAGACTCCCTAGGTTCAGGGAAAGGAAGACCTCTGCTAGAGCCAGGGGAAATCTGAGGCCAAGGTGCTTCAGGTAAATGCCCACCCTGTCAGTCAGCCAGGGAAAGAGAAGAACAAGCCTACTGCTGGTGCCAAACCAGGAAACTGGCTGCTCCAAGATTCTGTCCCTACACCAAGAATTTGGGGAAGGCAGCCTGCCCCAGCCTCTCCTTAGCAAGGGACACAAGGGGAATGGGACAGGCAAAAGGAGCTACTCAAAGACTGACACTGACCTGAGCCCAAGGTCTCCTCTAAACTGAATGGAATGTCAGGGCCAAGCACCCCAGGGCAGCCAAGTGGGCTGGGGAGACAGCTGTGAACCCACTCACAGACCGGAGCCAGGGAGGGCTCTGGGAGCTGAGAGCAGCTCAGCCAGGTGACGTTCCCTTCCAACACCTACCAACTCTTTCTGCCCCTTCTCAGCAACAGCCTGGACTCACCCATCCTCACTCACCACGTGACGATGCCACCGAGGCCATGACAGCAGGGGCACTAAGGCCCAGTGGGGCCTGCCAGGGCAACAGTCATGGAGCCTCCAGGACAAAGGGGGGCCCTCCCCACCAAGACCTCTCCCATACGGAGGCCACAGAGAAGCTCCTTTGCAGTCTGCCCTCATTCTCCCCATGCACCCCCTCATCCACTGGCAGGGGTAAATAGAATAGCCCCCACCACAGTCCCCTAACATTCACATGTGGAATCCTAACACCCAAAGCAGGGCCCCTGGGAGGTGACCGGGTCATGAGGGTGGAGCCCTCGTGAATGGGATTAGTGCCCTTATAAAAGAGGCCCCAGAGAACTGCCGTGCCCCTCCCACCTTCTCATGAGGACACAGTGAGAAGGTGCTGTCTATGACGACGGAAATGGACCTCACCAGAACCTGATCCTGCTGACACCCTGATCTTGGACTTCCAGCCTCCAGAACTGTGATGAGAGATTTCCATTATTTAAAAGCCCCCCAGCTTAGTGTATTTCGTTATAGTCGCTGAAATGGAGAAAGCCCCCAAAGCAGCTCCCCTCGCCCTGCTCTCAGGACCCAGGTTCAGGAGCAGAGGCCGCAGGAGCAGAGCTGCTACACCTGCCCTCATGGCAAAGAGCTTGGGAACATCTCAGAAAAGGGAAAGTAGCAAGTGGTCTTGAAGGATGAGGAACTAAGAGGAGTTTAGGAAAAGAAGCACTTTCTGCCCTTGCCATCCTTGAGGGAGGCTGAAAAGGCCTCTGCCCATGCTGGTAGAGATTATCCAAACCAAAAATCAAATACAAAAGCGGGACAGGCATAAAACAAGGGACTTCACACGCAAGGGCAAAGGGAAAACAGAGAGGGAGGATGAAGAGGTAGAAAGAAGACAAGAGCCGAATCAGACAACCTGAATTTGAGTCACAGCTCCACCATTTCCAGGCCAAAGTCTCTGGGCAAAGCACTCTTTTTACCTCAGGTTATTCATCTGTAAAATGGGAACAGCTAAGTACCTTTACTTAGAAGTTGTAGAAATAGACAAATTATTTGCTGGACCAGAGTAATACTTCTTGTGTGTAGTGTTACCGGGCACTGCTGGAATCTGGCTGCTCTGAACCCTTAAGAACTGCCTGCTCCTGTCACACCTACGGTAAGGATGAAATGAGATCACACATGTGCAAGTATGGAGGGTAAACAGATCACTGAACATACAGAATGCCCTGCAGAAGTCAGCAGGCAGCATAAATAAAACAAAGGGGCCGGGCGTGGTGGCTCACACTTGTAATCCTAACACTTTGGAAGACCAAGGTACAAGAATCACTTAAACCCAAGAGTTCAAGACCAGCCTGAGGAACAAAGTAAGACCCTGTCTCTACAAAAAAAATTCAAAAATTAGCCAGGCATGGTGCTACATGCCTGTAGTCCCAGCTACTCGGGAGGCTGAGCTGTGAGGATCACTTGAGCCCAGGAAGTCGAGGATGCAGTGAGCTGTGATCATGCCACTGCACTCCAGCCTGGGAGACACAGTGAGACCTTGTCTCAAAAAAAAAAAAAAAAAGGGATCTTGAATAACTGGGGGACATTCACACAGCAGAAAGAAAGAGCCTGTCCAGGACATCTAATCCTGAGAAAACAACTGCCCTGGCTGCTGCAGGGGTAGGAAGGCAGGACCCTGGGGGCCCTGAGTCAAATTCCTCAAGATAAACTCCATTGTCTTCTTCCAGGGCACAGACCCTAGAACTCACTCAACACCAGAACACACAGTACTGCCCCCTTACCCTGCTCCCATCTGACAGCAGGCAGGAGGGCCCTTCCTCAGGAGCACAGCAGCTCCCAGGTCAACCTAGCTACTCTAGGTTTCCACCATAATTGTATGTGGCTCAGCTCTCAGCGCTGCTGATCTGAGCCAGGTCTCTAAGCTGTGCTGTCAAGTCCACCCTTCTCCAAAGCTGCCTTCCTTGACCGCTCTCCCCCGACCCTCAGTAAAATAAGGACTGGCTGGGGAGAGGTGAACTCAGGGCTCTATCACGTCCAGAGAAACAATGTTTGCTTCAACTTGCTTCCAGCTGGATAAGAAAGACCAAGACAGGATCCTAGGAACCCACAGCGTGGGTCAGGGCCTCCCACATTAACCGCACCCACTACTTACTATGAACCAACCAGCACTGTGCTAGCCCTTCGTAAGTACTACTGTCTCATTTGACATGAGACCTGTAACAACCCTATGAGGTAAGAATGATGATCCCCCTTTTACAGAAGGGGAAACTGAGGCACGGGGTGTGAAATAATTTGCTCAAGGACACCTGGCTGAGCTGGGATTTGCAGCAGGCAGTGAGACTCTACTCTGTTCCTCACCATCATGCTACACTGCCTTCTGAAGTTCTGTCAGGATTATGGTTCTCTACAGTCCTGGGATGGCATTTCCCAAACTGAGTTCCTTGTCTTCCCACAACTGAATGTCCAATCAGGATGGAGGGACAAGAAGGAACCCACACCCACTCCCTCAGCAGTCCTGCCGGGCATCTGCTAGCTCCCCGGGGTCCCGCGGACACACCTTCACTCCCTGCTCTTGTCACAAGTCAGTACCCACAGTTCTGAGACTCTGCCCCTGTGGCTGGGTGTTCCCCACTAGAGTCCCAGAAGTCCACCCCCACTCCCCCACCAGCCCAGCCCTGTCCCCTGGCCGCACCGAAGTTGTTGGTGGGGTAGCGCTTGCGGAGCCGCTCCGTGAGCCGAGACACCTTGCTGCGCAGCACCTCATTCTTGCTCAGGAACCCGTTGTCCTGCAGGGCCAGCTCATCCTCTGCTGGGCACGGGGCGCCCTCATCATCCTCCTGTGGGAACAGCTCCTTCCAGTCCTGCCCACCTCTTGCAAGGCTGCAGGACCCGTGTGCAGAGGCATCCTGCGCGGCAGCCCCCACGAGGTGTGGCAGCAGCCGGTTCAGCCACCCTCCCCAGCCCAGCCCCTGCCCACCCACCAAGGCTTCCACTTACCAGCACCACCAAGTGGGTCTCCTGCCTCCCAAGGTGCGGGGAAGAGGAGAGAAAACAGAAAGAAAAAGATAGCAAGAAGAAAGAAGCTACCTGGAGGGGCCCCCAAGCAGAAGGAAGCATGGAAGCGCTGCTCTGAGCTCTGCGCACTTCCCAAATGGTGACATTGACAGACGCCCCCCACAAGAGGATCCCAGCATCAAACAGCCTTGGAGAAAGCTAGGTACTACAGTTTCTCAAACTGGGTGAAAATAATTTAGTAGGTCTTTATTTGAATAGAACAGAAAAGGAAAGAAAATATCCCTTACAACGTATTTTCCGGAAACTTTTGTTTCACTTAAGTTTTACATATTTTATAGACCTAAGTGTGACCTGGGTCAAGATGCAAAATGTGTTCCTTACTATGGGTCATGAACAAAAATGCTTGAAAACCCCTGCTCTACATATTCCCTCCACCAAGATTCACGGTCTACAATCATATATCAAAGTTTTGGAGCAATCTTTTAGCCATCAGAAAGTCAAATGCCTGCATGGCCTGGGCTGATGTATGATTGAGGTGAGTTGGGGTAAATCACAGGCCTGGTGGAAATCCACGAGGTGTTTTTCTTATATCTCAATTTCCCACTTTACAAAGAGAAATAAATAAAGAGAAATGATATCCTACTCTAAGAAAAACAAAAACGCAAATGTGACAAATGGCAACTCCCACTTGACCTCAGTGACAAAATACAGCAGGGGGTGTTGAGGACCACCTGTAGCCACAGCATGTGACCTGCGTAAAGGGGACAGCAGCTCCTTAGCTACACCTACTGCTGCAGACTCAGGACTACCAGAGAAACTGGAAACCTGCAGTTCTAATAAAAATCTCTCCATATTTAAACATTGGCTCAAAAAATTATTTTGAAACTTTGCATGCCAAATAAAACACTTCTGCAAACTACCAATTTGAATTACCATCCTAAAATCAAGAAAGCTGTTTAACTTCCTCTGACCTAGCACTTGGCCATGCAACTACTTTCTCCAACCTCCCCTCCCAGCCCCGCAAAGGGACATCTTACGGAACTCACTCTGCAGAAGAGCGGAGACCCAGGGCAGTAGCCTCCTCAAAAGCTGCCTTTCCTATATCAAAGGCACCAAGCCCACGGTCTCCAGCAAAGGCCAGAAATCGTCCAGCTCCCCTAGCAGGGCATTACCCGGAGACTTCCAGAGCCACTCTTGCCCTGGGCACCCAGGACAGCTGGCTCAACCAGAAACAGGAGTGGGGAGGGGTTCAGTGGCACTCTTTCAACCAGTGAGTTCTAGCTCACAGCAAGTTTTAGCTTCTCACTTGGACATTAAAAAACAAAAACAAAAAACAGCTCCAGGACCACCCAATTTCTGGCCTGCTGAGTAGAGGATGCTGGGGAAGGGCCACCCACCTCAATCGCATCTTTAAACTCTTCATCTGGCTCAGCCTCCTCAGCCTCCTCCACGCTGCCCGGTGTGAGGTCCTGGGAAGAGAGACTCTATGACAGAAGGAGAAGGATGGCAGCGCTGCTCCCTAAGGCAGAGGACCACCTCCCCAAGCCAGCATCCAGGCTACCCAAAACACCACGAAATGGCACAATGGCAAGAAAGAAGGAACTCACAGGAAGGAGCAACCTCTAGCCTGGCAGGGCGGGGGAGATGGAAACACGAGCACAGCTGGCCCTACAGTGGCCACATCGCACAGTGGTTGAAGGCACGAGCTCTAGAACCACAGGGCTGGGGTCTTAGACCCAGCCCTGCCACTTACCAGCCACTCTGTGCCTCAGCCTTCTCTTCCACAAATGAGAATGATCTCTTTCTCAGAAATAACCAGCCTGGTGCAGTGGCTCACGCCTGTAATCCCAGCACTTTGGGAGGCCGAGGCAGGCACATCACTTGAGCCCAGGAGTTTGAGACCAGCCTGGGCAACATGGCAAAACCTCATCTTTACTAAAAATACAAAAAAATTAGCTGGGCGTGGTGGCACCTGCCTGCAGTCCCAGCTACCCAAGAGGCTGAGGTGGGAGGACTGCCTGAGCCCAGGAGATGGAGGTTGTAGTGAGCTGTGATTGCCCCACTGCCCTCTAGCCTGGGTGACAGAGGGAGGCCTTATCTCAAAAAAAAAGGAAAAAAAAAAAAGAAAAGGAAAGAAAGAACCTGCACTCCATGATGTGAATATCTATCTATAAAGCACTTGGAGCAGCATCTGACACAGGGTAAGCACTCAGTGAAGCATGGAGTAGCTGTTTTTATTACAATTATTATTATTGAACACTTCAGGGGAGTTAAGGCCTGGGAAATAGCAGGAACTACAACAGAGGCCAGCCCAGGAGCCAAAAACAAGCTGATAACAGGGGGGCCCACAAGCGGCCACAGCAGGCTCTGCCCTGACAGTGGCACTTACCTCCGTGGGTGTGAGGGCAGGCGTGCTGTCCATCAGACCATCCTTCCCCCCAACATCTGGTGGTGGAGGACTCTCAAAGGCATGCTCTTCCTGCTTTGGGTTCATCCTCTGCTGCAGAGATGCCCTGTACTCAGACACAACTACCCAGGGAATGGAGAACAAGGTAGGAGGCAAAAATGAGACACCGTGAGTGGCACTTTAGGGGTACCCACTTCTGCAGCTGGCTGGCCTCTCTTCCCTTCACTACAGGAAAGAGTCACCCTCCTAACTCTGAGCGAGTCACCTAACTTAAGCCTCTTAAACAAAACTTAGATACCACCACCTGCCCCAGACAGCTACAGAGATTAAATGTAGTAAATGCTCAATAAATCATGGCTTCTGTAATAAATAACTCTACCACAGGGAGGAAAACAAATACAGCAATCACCCAAACATATGTACAGACTCGGGCCTCTGCGACTCAGTGCCTCTCCAGACTGCCTCAGCGCTTTAGAAGCCAGACAACAGAGGGGTATTCTGGGATCACACAGAGATGTGGTAGCAACTCCAGGTGGCTGCACCCCAGGGGATGGGTGGCAGCTTTGGGAAAAACATCCTTCCCTCATCTTCCAGAAGCCATCATATCATATAAGCAGTGATTCATCTGCCTTGGGAAGGGAGCGAAGGGAGATGGGAGCCCAATGGTAGCAGCCTCCCCTGGTGAGATTCCAGCTTCATCTAACATCTCAGAGATGCAGAGCCCATGAGAGAGGACCCCAGTGTGGTGTTGCACTTGTGGAAGCACAGCAAACTGATGATTAGCTGTAGAGACAGAAGAACTGGGGAGCCTAGCCTAGCCCTCAGAGCCAGCTTGGGCCCCATCTTTCAGGCCCTTCAGGGCTTACCTCGGAAGAACTCCACATTCCCCAGAAAGAGCGTGCTGTTTAAAAGGGTGAGAACCCAGCAGAGTGGCAGCAAATACAGCATGCAGACTGTGCCCAGAAGAGCCCCATAGAACCTGGATGACAGGGAAGAACCACAAGATCAGAAATTCGTAACAGCAGAAGGAGACGGGTTTGGAGCACACCCACAGCAGGGTCCAGGTGAGACACAGCTCTGGGCACATTAATAAACTGACAAGAGCCGCTCATCAAACCAGCGGAAAATGGCGATGAAGACTGAGAACTATCCCAAGTCACCGGTGCAAACACCTGATGCTGGTGAGGCCAAAGTGGTGTCAGCTGGTGGCACATAAACTGGTTCAACCATCATCACTCCTTAAGGTCTAGACTCTGAAGTCTAGAGTAAGACAGACTGGGATTTGAATCCAGCTCTGCCACTTCTCATTCTGAGAAGTCTCTTGGTTCTCTGGGCACAGCTCCCTTCCCGTGTAAGATGGGGACTGAAGTAGCGCCTACCTAATAGAGTTACTATAAGAGTGAGATAATACAGAGGGAGTGTTGAGCAGTGCCTGGCACCAGGTGAACACAACAAACATTAGTTATCACTATTATTCATATTAAAGAGCCTCAAAAACACCCATTCTGTTTGATATGGTAGTTTCATCCTTGAATTTACTCCAAGAAAAATTTTCTAAAACATTAAAGCTAAATCCATAAAAATGTTTACCATGGGGTTAGTAATGAAAAGGGAAATTGACTAAATCTGTAACAGAATGGTTTCACAAATTATATTTGCCATCTATATTAATCTGGTATTATAAATAATTCCAAAAGCTATATAGCAACAAAGAAAATCATCTTTAATATAATGATAAGTGGAAAACAAAAGAAAAATTGAACATACACTATGAAACTATACATCCGTAAAGTAGATGCATGTGACAAATTCTAGCAGGCAAAACAAACAAGAGATTCGGCTGCATGGTGGATTATATGGTGAGTTATTTTTCTATTATTATTTTTACCACACATAAAAGCAAGCATCTAAACAAAAGCAGTACATTAGAGCCCGCAAGCATATGTGCAGATATACACACAAGAGCCCAGGAGGCGAGCTCTTCCCCTGAGGTAAGAGGGGCAGAGGTCCTCTCAAGGCAGCTGGCTTTGCTCGGGCTCAAGCTGCAAATTCCTATAGGGTGGTGGCGGGAGAGGAGGGGTCACTCACTGTGAGGACACGACGGGGTTCTCCCAGTGCAGCACGCGGTAGGCGGCTTCACATGTGCAGCACAGGCGGCTCAGGAAGGCCTCCAGCTGGATCAAGCTACAGACACAGGGGCTTTGGTGAGTGGGCAGGACAGAAGCCCTGGGAAGTGGAGCCTGGGGCCTTGCAGGTACAGTTGGCTAGGGATGGTCAATCTCTTTAAACACACTCACCATGTGCTTAAAGAGAGAGGAGTCGAGAGAGCATGGGAGAAACAGGCCTGGCTAAGCCACCCCAGCTACATTTCAGTCCCCTTTTTGGAGCCTCTTGCTGAGGTGGAAACAGTATAAATGTTCCTGCTTTGGTCTTCTAACTGTTGATGTCAGGCAGGCTACTGAAATTCTCCAGGGCTGTGGCTTCTTTATCTATAAAATGAGGATCAGAGGACCCACCTCACGGGTACACAGCAGCTGTCAGAATAAATGGCATGATATTCTCTACCTGGGATGTGAAACAGACTCACTTGGGGAGTTCTGGTTGTTGTTTTTTTAAACATGGATGAACCACAGAAGCCATGAGCACAATCTGAACCCAGATCTGGGTTTCTGAAGGGAAACCAGGAAACATGGAGATAAGCTGATTCCAGGGCTGGGGCAGGGAAGTATAAGATGAATTTGACCATCCTGTTGTACCATAAAGGAAGCATTCAAAAATGACAGGGACCAATGCAAACAAGAGCCAACTCAAAAGAGCTCCTACTGGCCAAATCTAGGACAATTTGAGATCAAAATAAATAATGATAGTAATAGATTCTAACTCATCAAATAAAATATAAATCTATGAGTTCATACTGATAATAGTAAGAAAGAGCTTCCTTATAGTAGAAAGCCAGCTAAAAAAATGTCGATAGAATAATTAGAAGATCATCTTTGCAACCATCATAGTAATAAACTGATTAAGGCAAGACCCATCAATGGATTTTTAAAGCAGTGGATAAATGTTTGATGAGGAACAAGATATTTACATAGTCTCAAAGTATCTCCCCTCAAATTACTACTAATGAAGAGTAAAATGATAATTTACAGTATGGATGCCTTAACCAAGTGATCAAAGTCAGTATTTCCTGACATCAGGTGCCTCCTGATACGGATGTACTGAACATGACACATCACTTGTCACACTCTAAATCTGATCACAAGGAACCAAACAATCCAAAAATTAGGGAGATTCTACAAAATAATAAGCTTGTACTATTCAAAAATGTCAAGGTCACAAGAAACAAGGACTGAGGAACTGCTCCAGATTAAAGAAGACTAAAGAGACATAAAAAAATTAAACATGATGTATAATCCTGAATTGGATCCCAGATCAGGGAAACTGATACAAAGAACTTTATTAGGACACCCACACTGGCTCACACCTGTAGTCCCAGCACTTTGGGAGGCTGAAGCAGGAGGATTGCTAGAGCCCAGGAATTCAAGGCCAGCCTGGGCAAGACAATGAGACCCTATCTCTACAAAAAAATTGTTTTAATTAGCAGGGTATGGTGCATGTGCCTGTGGTCCCAGCTACTCAGGAGGCTGAGGCAGAAGGATCACTTGAGTCCAGGAGGTTGAGGCTGCAGTGAGCCATGATCATGCCACTGCATTCCAGCCTGGATGACAGAGCAAAACTCCGTCTCAAAAAGTAAAAAAAAAAAAAGAAAAAAGGAAAAAAATTAATAAAAGAAGAAAAAGAACTTTATTAATACAACTGGTAAAATCCGATTACGAATTATACATTAGTTATCAACGTTAAGTTTCCTAATTTTGATTACAGCTCTGTGGATATTTAAGAGAATGTCCTTGTTCTTAGGAAATACACGCTGAAGTATTAAGTCACGTTTGCAACTTACTTTCAAATGGTTTAGGAAAAAGAAAAGAATATGTATATGTAGAGAGATAGACGAAGCCAACATGGCAAAATGTTAATAATTGTTCTATCTGGGTAAAAGGCATTCTTGGTATTATTCCTGTACTTCTTTAAGTTTAAAACTATTTCAGGCTGGGTGCGGTGGCTCATGCCTGCAATCCCAGCACTTTGGGAGGCCAAGGCAGGCAGATCACCTGAGGCTGAAGTTCGAGACCAGCCTGGCCAACATGATGAAACCTCATCTCTACTAAAAATACAAAAATTAGCTGGACATGGTGGCACATGCCTGTAATCCCAGCTACTCTGGAGGCTGAGGCACGAGAATCGCCTGAACACAGGAGGCAGAGGTTGCAGTGAGCCGAGATCACGCCACTGCATTTCAGCCTGGGTTACATAACAAGACTCTGTCTCAAAAAAAAAAAAAAATATATATATATATATATATATATGTGTATATATATATAAAACTATTTCAAAGTAAGAAAGTCTTTTTTAAAAAAACTACATATCCAGGCCCCACTCCAGATAACTGACTCGGAATTTCTGGGGTGAGGCCCAGCCATCTGTTTGTTTATAACTTTTCTTGCCCCTATTCTATTTCAAGAGAATGCAGAGACCCCACTCCAGGGAAGGGAGGTGTAAACGTCCACTGCTACTGAAGTTGTTAGATGAATATTTTTCAAGTCTTAAAATGCTTCCTCAGAAGTACCAGCTCTGTCATGTTTACGAAGTTTCTCCACAGTGTAGTGATGATAACTAATATCTACTCAACACTTCCCCAGTACAAGACACCTGTTCAATCTTCACAACCACCTTCTGAGTAAGCCCTGTTATCATTCCATTTAACAGATGAGAAACTTGAGACACACAGAGGCTAAGCAACTTGCCCAATGTTACACAGCAAGTAAATGGAAGAGCTGGGATTTGAACCCAGGCAGTGGCTTATACATGCACATGCTTAGTCAAGACCCTAAACTGTCTCTCCAGCAGAAAGAACAGGGCCAGGCGTGGTGGCTCACGCCTGTAATTCCAGCATTTTGGGAGGCCGAGGCGGGCGGATCACAAGGTCAAGAGATCGAGACCATCGTGACAAACATGGTGAAACCCGGTCTCTACTAAAAATACAAAAAATTAGCTGGGCGTGGTGGTGTGTGCCTGTAGTCCCAGCTACTTGGGAGGCTGAGGCAGGAGAATCGCTTGAAACCAATGGAAGGCGGAGGTTGCAGTGAGCCGAGATTGCGTCACTGCACTCCAGCCTGGACAACGAGAGCGAAACTCTGTCTCAAAAAAAAAAAGAAAGAAAGAACAGAAGCTGTGAAAACAAACAGCTAGATCGAGATTCTCATCCCAGCTTGGCCACTTTCTAGCTAAGTAAGTCAGCCTTTTTCTTTACCCATAAATGGAAGATGTTAATATTAACTACCTCCCGGAACTGTTAAAAAGGTTAAATGAAGTAACAGCTGTGGTTTGCCTAATATGATGTCGAGCACACAAAGCTAGCACTTAGTGTCATGGCTGCTGTTACTGTTCCCCCACCTCCCTGGCCTCTCTTCCATACTCACAAGCTCTTCACCTCAGCCACGGCCTCGGGACGAGACAGGCGACCTCTCTGCAGGTCCTCCTGCCTCACGCTATGATACTTCCTCCGCATCAGCTCGGAATCAGGCAGCCGTGCCCGGCAAACCTCCTGAAGGTAGCCCAGCAGGGCGGGCACTGAAATCATCAGGGCACCTACTGAGTACCATGCACCTGCAGAATCAAAAACACTGCAGGTAACACAGGTAAGCAAAGACCAGGAGTCGGCCCACCCAGACGCCCACTGCTTGTTCCTCACCTCCTCCAGGGCTCTGCCAGTCAGGCCTTCCCTGATAGCTCTGTACGACACAGTGTCTCACCCCTACTCTCCAGCCCCCTTAACCCAGCTTCATTCCTCATAGACCTTATCACCACATGACACATTGCAGGCATGTCTGTTGTCTCCTCTAATGAAGTAAGCTCTTGAGGGCTGGGACTTTGTCCCTTTGGTCACTGCTGTGGCCCCATCCTCACTTTTAATACGTTTTAAGATGCTGCTAGCACAGAGGAGGCTCACGCTGGAGTGTGACTGCCAGGAGCTCCTGATGCCTGACACTCGGACCTCTGGGCCACTAAGGAAGCTAGAAGCCTTTCGTTCAGCTTTTAGGACACTGCAGACGATTGTGCCTTGAGAAATGGCGAAGCCGAGATAAAATTCAAAGAAAGAACTTCTTCCATGTAACATGGCACCCCAACAACAAGCTAACAGAGCAGCGGGCCCATAATAAATGCTTACTAAACATCTGTCATAGGAACTGACTTACTTTGGGAGCATATATAGAAAAATCAAACATCCTAGGAAGTTTTGAACAGGTAAAGATGAGTCCAACTAAGAAACAGAAAATGAGATCTTATATGAACTGGATTTATTTTCAACCTACTCAATCCCTATCTCCAGAGGAAACAAAGAAGACACCTGAGAAATACAAGGTAAGTAAAAGAACAAAAACATGAATAATGGCCCAGCTCCTCCAAACATTCTGTCCCAGACTCTTTATTCTCACCCTGAGGGGTTTGGCTTTTTATGTGGCCATCTGCCAGCGCCAACCACGGATAGGGTAGGGTCACGGTATGCACTGTAGTAAGAGGTTCATAGAAGACATTACCCATGACCCCAACAGACACCCATGTGTCCACACTTCTATCTCAAAGGCTTCATGCCACTCCTCACTGCTGGTGACTGCCCAGCAGCTCCCGTTAGGCTCACTAGCTGAACCAGAGAAAAGCAACAGATATGGCAAAAATCCCTTATCAGCTCCTCATCCCAGTACCTTTACTCATGCCATGTCCCCAGATGACCCTTGAATCAGCTTAAAAACCAAAATGGAAAAAGGTCAATGCATCCTCAGCAGGAAGTCAAGAAGGAAACAACGATAATACTGAGAGCAGCTACAATGCACTGGCTGCCTCTTCCACGCCAGGCACTGTGCTAAGTATTATGCCTAGACTGCCGCATTCCTCACAAATACTCTAGGAGGAAAGCGTCATTTTTATCCTCCCTCTAGAGGTAAGGAAAATTAGGCCTTAACAGGGAAGTTCAATAATCTGCCCAAGGTCACAGCAGGCAGCTCAGCCTGGATCGTCCCTCTGGAGGCTGTTTCTGACTCCAAGCAGACACAGAGGAACACTAACTCCAGGGCAACAAGAGCAGCTCCCACACATAGGGTGGGGCTGCATCCAGGTGTTCTTCCCCCACATTCGTTCACAAAAACCACTGGCCCCTGAAGGCAGTTCTTACCCTCATTCAAAGTGAGGAACAAGACGTTGAGGCCCAGGCAGGTCAGCAAGGAACACAAAGGCATCTGCCACCTACAATACAGAGAGTCCTGATCACTACAGAGAGTCACTCCTCCAGCTGGGGAGGGGAGACCAGGCAGCACAGACGGGACATCAAACCAGAAGAGGAGGCCTGGAACACAGAAGGTCAAGGAGAAACGAAAAGGGGGCCTCTCACTTGGACTGGTGACCAGGAGAGGCGGTAAGATGTCACACATTAGCACCTGGGGTGAGGAAACTGGTAGGTCTGTAGTGCTTTCTCCCAAAAGGAAGAAGAATTTATAAAATATCAGTTAAGAAACCCAGTTAATACCATTTAACCTGTGTTTTGTAAGGTTGTATTCTCCTTAAGAGGTGACACTGACAAATGTTCTTAATATTTTCCTCTATTCTTTTTTTATAATTTCATAAGAATATATAATCATTGCACAAGATTCAACTAATACAGAAATCAAGAAAAAACAAATTGTGGACTTCTTTGGCCCCATTTGTGCCTTTATCTTCTTATGTCCATGTTTTTGAAAATTTGAGAGTTTATCTGAGAGTTTATTTTGAATACCTATTAATTCAAAAAGAGAAACAATAGTAAAGATTTTATTTTAATATATTAAAAATCAAGATGAAAGTAGGGTGCAGCATTCACTTAGCAATCACACCTTAAGTGAGCTGGAACAGACAGAAGCAAACACAGATACATCACTGCCACCACCACCACCACCACCAAATGGCAATGCAGAAGCCCCCAAACAGGGAACAAGGAAGACCAGAGACTCAGATTGCTGAGAACAAGCAAATGCTGCTGGCTCCGTCCCTGATAAAGGACATTTAGTAGGGAAAGAGGAGCACAGATGCAACAATGAAGCCACGACACCCAAATTCTAAAGGCAGTGTCAATATATAGGTGAGCCACTAGGAGAGAGACAAACATCAGAAAAATAAACAGGTAAATTGCTGGCAAGCATTGAATGTATTTTCTTTTTTTTTTTTTTTTTCTTTTGAGACAGAGTCTCGCTCTGTTGCCCAGACTAGAGTGCAGTGGCACAATCTTGGTTCACTACAACCCCCGCCTCCTGGGTTCAAGCGATTCTGTCTCAGCCTCCCTAGCAGCTGGGATTACAGGGGCACGCCACCACACCTGGCCAGTTTTTGTGTTTTCAGTAGGGATGGGGTGTTTCACTATGTTGGCCAGGCTGGTCTCAAACTCCTGACCTCAGGTGATCTGCCCACCCTGGCCTCCCAAAGTGCTGGGATTAAAGGCGTAAGCTACCGTGCTGGGGCTAAATATATTTTCTTGTGCTCTGGAGTATTTCAGAGTTACTGAATGAGGTTAACTAATTCATGCAGGGCTTTTACTTTTTTTTATTATTATACTTAAAGTTCTGGGATACATGTGCAGAACGTGCAGGTTTGTTACGTAGGTATACACGTGCCATGGTGGTTTGCTGCACCCATCAACCCATCATCTACCTCAGGTATTTCTCCTAATGCTATTCTTCCTCTAGCCCCCACCCCTCAATAGGCCATGGTGTGTGATGTTCCCCTCCCTGTGTCCATGTGTTCTCACTGTTCAACTCCCACTTATGAGTGAGAACATGTGGTGTTTGGTTTTCTGTTCCTGTGTTAGTTTGCCGAGAATGATGGTTTCCAGCTTCATCCATGTCCCTGCAAAGGACATGAACTTATCCTTTTTCATGGCTGCACATAGTATTCCATGGTGTATATGTGCCACGTTTTCTTTATCCAGTCTATCATTGATGGACATTTAGGTTGGTTCCAAGTCTTTGCTATTGTGAATAGTGCTGCAACAAACATACATGTGCATGTGTCTTTACAGCAGAATGATTTATAATCTTTTGGATATATACCCAGTAATGGGATTGCTGGGTAAAATGGTATTTCTGCTTCCAGATCCTTGAGGAATCGCCACATTGTCTTCCACAATGGTTGAACTAATGTACACTGCCACCAACAGTGTAAAGGGGCTTTTACTTTTTAATGAAATTTATGAGTAAGGGAATGAAATGACATCTGTGTCTTTCTCCTGAAATTCAACACACTCCACCTGTACCACCCTAATTACGCCTCAGAACCTCTAGTGGCAGCTACCAGGGTAAAAGCGAAATAAAAGCCAATCCCATTTTGGAAATAAAAACACCACCACTCAAGTCACTTTCATTTTAAAGCCTCTTCCCTTCTATAAAATGTCTTTACTGACACTTTGGTCCCAGGAGACCCAAGCAGTAGAGTAGCTGATCCCAGGAGAGAGTCTGTTAACAATTTACTGCAGCTCTAGGCTTCAGACCTAATAGCCAGAGCCCAAGATTAGGTCCCTCTTCAAAGTCAAATCCTCTTTACTAAGAAAAGAACAATCAAAAGCACAAACTAACGTGACAGCCACTTTCATGGACCAGTGCTCCCTCTCCCAGCAGCACAGAAACTGCAGGCTCCTGGGGGCTTTTAAGTCCAATGCTCCTCCTGCATCCTGCTTTAACCAATCCTACCACATCCTCCAATTTTTAATTCCATAAAATGGAAAAACCCTAACACATTAGTGTGCTAAGACGCACTACGGACTAGTAGAGGAAAAGGAGACGGGCAGGACAGGATACACTTAACTTTCGTACTTTGCCACAAAGAGCAACACACACATACAAAGAATGTGCCGGGGGCACAGCCTCTCTCCTAAAGAAGACCAAACTTCACATCATGCTGAGATTATAAAAGGAGAAAACAGCCTCTCCTCATACTGTCTCCCTACCCCTTGTGGGAAGAGCACAGTGATCTTACAGTAGAGAACACAGCTCTGGAACACTGACTAGCTCACCTCTACGGATACAGACATAAATTAGGTGAACAAGAAAAATGTAGGGCCTTTGCCAGAGAACTAGTAACAAAACATCCACTATTTCCAGACTGAGGCATGGATAAATACTCAATGGCATCCTCAGAGGTTAACGTAACTCCACTCACCCTGCTTCCTACCAGTCTCTCTCATGTATTTCAGAGGACTGAGGGTCTTTATGAGAATCTGATGAAAACCAGAAGCTTTTCCCTAGAAATACACACATGTGCAGACACATAATTTTACATGCAGTTTCAGGGGATTCACTGATCCCTAAAACTCACCCATAGGCTCCAAGTTAAAAACCTCTGCTCTTTAGGACAATCAGGTTTTTGTGTGACTCCTGATGCAATGCAACACCAGGGGCACAACATTTACCTTTGCAAAAAAAAAAAAAAACACTTTTCTAACTTCAATCAAATCCAACCTTTAAATCTAACTTCTAGTCTGCACCACAAGGAAGAAACCAGACAAATCTCGGTAGTAAATTCTCCAGGAAAGTCAGTTCAGGCTCAGTCTCTTCAGCAAATCAATGTCACGAGAGAGATTGTCTTAGACTGAAAAAAGACTTAAAAGACATAATAAGTACAAACAATGCACACTCCTGGACTGAAATGTGATTTAGCCAAAAGAGATGGTACAACTGAGGAAATGGAATATGAACTGAGTATAGGATGATATCAAGGAGTTATTAATTTTGTTAGGTATGGTGTTACTTTGATCTTGAAAGAAATGTCCTTATTTAGAGATAAAAACTGACATATTTAGGGAGTAGAATGCCATATAAGTAATTTAAAATAATTTTAACATAATAAAATGAGTCAAAAGAAAAAATGAAAATTATAGAGAATGAAAATCAAAGCAGGATAGGAGGGAAAAAGTTAAGATCCATAATCTCAATAAATTAGTAAAAATGGGCTGGGCACAGTGGCTCACACCTGTAATCCCAGCACTTTGGGAGGCTGAGGCAGGAGGATCACTTGAGCCCAACAGTTCAAGACCAGCCTGGGCAACACAGTGAGAGCCTCTCTACAATTTTTTTTTTTTTTTAATTAGCCAGGCATGGTGGCTGAGGTAGGAGGATCGCTTGAGCTGAAGAGGCTGAGGCTACAGTGAGCCATGTTCACACGACTGCATTCCAGCCTGGACAATACAGCAAGATTCTGTCTCAAAAAAAAAAAAAGTAGTGAAAATGGTATCTGCTTATTCACAGGTTTTTGTATTTCTTTAATTTTTGTTCAAAATTATACCCTAATTTTTTAATATTAATTATGCTAATATTGGGGGCAAAGGAAAAAATTAAGCCTGCTCTAAGCTGTAGAAGGCGTGATGTTCAAGGTTGTCCAGCAGTCCAGAGGAAGGAGCTTATTCAGTCACAAAGAAGAACCTTGCTGAAAGGCAGGATCATTCCCAGTATCTGCCTCTCCTGGGCTGGGCCTGAGACACAGGGTAGGCCTAGATAAACCCAGAGGCCGAACAGACCTCCCAGAACTGCTCCTCACTAGGGCAGAAAGGACAGCCCAGCCACTGCCTAAATGGTCAGTGTTAGTTACTACAGAGCAGGACGGCAGAAGGCAGAGCAGACCAGAGCAACTCCACAAAGTCTGTACCTGAGCAAGTATCGAACACCATCACCTGCATCCTTCAAGGGTTCCAGGTAGATCTCCAGCCTCTTGTAGGAGAGAACCAAGTTGAAAAGGTCAAACGCTGGGGACTTGGTAGGAAAAGGTGGAGACTCCAGGGGAGCCTCGGGCATCACGCTGGGGCTCAGCTCCGGCCCACTCCCCTCACGTTCTGATGTCTGCATCCTGTAACCATAATAATTCCCAACATTTGCATTGCACGTCTAGTCCTCAACACAATTCTACCTACAGATTCAGGTGGTGCCAACAGTAAACCTGTGAGCAAGGGAAAGTGAACTATTCAGACCTAAAATCCTGTTCTTTGTACTCTCCATCCAATGCTCTTTTCCCCAAAGATCCATCAAAACTAAAAATCATAAAAACCAAGCATAAATGATCGCTGCAGCGAGGCAGCCCATGGGCTGAAATGAAATGATGTCCTGGAACATTTTTCTCCCACTCTTTACCTGGTTAATTCCTACTCATCCTTCAGGTATCAGCTTAAACATCACTCCCTTACTCTGGGAAGTCTCTGCCAACACCCCCAACTCTGGACTGGGAGACCCTCTCCGATGCTCCCAAAGGATCACGTACTCACCCTAACAGAGCACTTATCACATCACATCGCTTCTTGGCCTTGTGGCTAAGATCAAGTGCAGAGCACTGACCACGTCAAAGTAAAACTCCCTGCTCTTAACTGGCCTCCATTCACGACTGCTTCTGTACACAGTGGGTGCTTAACAAATGCCTGCTGAATGAGTGAATGAAATACCGTGCTCCAGGACTCTCGCCCGATCCTCTAACTCTTCCCACTCCCTTCGGTTCCCAACAACTTCCTGGGCCATCTCTGCCCCAGGGCAGTCGGCATCAGAACGCCCCATTCCCGTCTGCCCTTTCTGATGAGGAAACCGAGGAGCCTTTACGGTCTTTCCCAGTTCAAAGTCCTATCCTGAACTCTAAGCAGCAAACGAGGGGGCGGAACCTCGGCGAAGAGCAACATAAACCAGTCCCAGGCAATCAGCCGCGACCTGATGGGAGGGTGAGGGGATGGGACAAAGGGGCCAACGGGACCCCGAAATCCCCGCAGGCCGAGCCAAGGCGAAAGGGCACAGAGCGGCGCCAGGTATGAGCCCAGGAAGGGGCGAGGTATATCGACGCCCGCACTGGCCTTGGCCAACACCTCTGCAGCCAGGGGGGCCTGATGGAGCCCGTGAGGCTGGACAGGGAAGGCCATGCCCGAGGTCGTGGGGCCAGCATGTGGCGGCCCCCGCTGCGCCCAAGCACCCAACTACACACAGCCTGCGGAGACACTGGGACGCGGGGGGACGGCACCTCACCTACCCGGCCGCTGGCTCCGTGAGGGAGGCGGCAGGGTCGGGCAGGAGCAGGGGTAGAGCCACTGGGCCCCGGAGCGTTTCTTCAGGCCTCCCCCGGCTGAACGCCGCTCCTCCTGCCAGGGTTGTTCGGAAGTCGCAGGTCCGAAAATCTCCTCCGCCTACGCCGCGGCCGCCACCGCCGCTTCCGGGACGCGAATCGCTCTGCGGCTGCGTCCTCATGACGTCATCCCGCTCCGGGTTTAGCTCCGCCCACCCCAGCACAGGCAAGCACCCTTGCCAGCAGTGCGCCTGCGCGTCTTTCCCGCGCGCTCCAGGCTGGAGTTAATTCTGTCCTTGGCCGGCCGCCGTTCACAAAGCCTTGAGGACCCTTGGAAGCACGTGCTTGGCGACCCTGCAGCTCGTTGCCCTGCCTTGCCGCAGGGAACAGTTGGCGAGAGGCTTAAATGAAGAATTTACGTCTTCATCCTCTTTCCTTCCAACTTTGGAACTGAACTGGGGACTGTGTGTGAGCCCCGGAAAGACACCGTATCCTGTATGAGATGCCCAGCAGAGCATGCAGTTGTTTCCGGAGTAGCTAGTGTGTACAAGGTCCTGTGCAGGCCTCTCCCAGCTCAGTTCACTTCACACCGTGTGGCCCAGTTAATTTCCCTTAAAGCACACATCCGATGGCTTTATATTAGTGACTTAGCGCTCAGGTACAGAGGAGCCAAGCACTGAACCGGACTGAGCTCTTTTTAGACATTATCTAGTTCTCCTCCAACGACCCTATTAGGGTTGTCGCCATTTTACAGATGGGGAATCTCAGACGTGTTAAGGAACTTCTTTAGAGTCACAGCTAAGAAGCAAATGGGAGCTGGAATTTGAAGCTTATGTGTCATCTGACCCCAACGCCCCAACCATACCACCACCCACCTTGGTCTGCATTTCCTGGTCTTGTCTCCTGCCATCTTTCAGCTGCCTTTAACTTTGGCCAACTGAACCCCTCCACTGTTACCCTCAAATGCCCCTGGCACTCAAATGTCTGTATCCCTTCCTTGAGTGCCCCAGCTGGAAGTAATCACTTCCCTCTTCAAGTAGCCACAGAGCTTTAACTGCATCTCTTCCTCCATTATCTCCTTTCAGAAAGACAGGCCCATCCCTCCAGCCAGGACTTAGCTGTGCTCCAGGGTCCAACTCTTATTTCCTTAGGGCTTTGCTCTAACAGGCCTGAAATCTTGACTCTCGCTAACTCTTAATCATCATTCTAGAGACAAAATTCATGGAAAATTTCTCCTTTAGCCTAACTTTACCCCCTCTTTCCTACATGAGTTGGAAGACTCACTGTGAAGTGCTCTCTACCGCTGCTTCCTCGCCCAATTCACTCCTCACTGCACTGTGGTCCTGCTCCCCTCCATATTTCTGGGCTACCTGCCTGCTCACCTGTGACATCCTGGCTGCTAAATCCAATGGACACTTCCCAGTCCTCCTTGCAGATGACCTCAGAAGCACTGGAATCTCTTTCCTTTTTGGCACCATTGTCCACCTTAGCTTCCATGACACCACCCTCTCCTCTCTTTCCGACCTTCAAGGTCTCCTTAGGGCTTTTCTTCCTACCCCTCAAATGCTGGGGCTCCTTTTGCTACCCTTCTTTCTTCTGACTCAAGGCACTCCGTGAGGATCTCATTCACTCTTGTGGCTTCTGTCAGCTAATGTTTCGTTTCCCGTGTCTATGTCTCCAGCACCTAAAGCAGTACCTGGCACATAGTAGGCATTCTGTTAAGAAGGGTTGCAAGATGTTACCATTGGGGGGTAGTCTGTGGGATCACCCTGTGTTAGTTCTTATAACTATGTATAAATTGACGATTGTCCCAAAAGTAAATGCTTACCCTGTGTAGGTATTTTTCTCAAAGCTCCCTGCTTTAGTTGACTTTGTCAATTACCCGGCATGCGCCAGTCCCAACATAAGTAAGGTAGGAGGGCTTCTCCTCAGATGAATTGCTTGGTTGGTTTTTCCAGCTGTAAAATGGGGATAACCATAGTGGTACCCTCAGTGTGGGGCTGTGATGAGAATTAAATGAGCTAAAGTATGTAAATTCCTGACATGTTATAAGTGTTCAAAAATCGTTAGCAATCATTGTGATTTTTATTTTTACTCAAAGCCCTACCACCACCACCCCTAGCCCAAAAATCAGACAAGAATCCACGAAAGGCCAAAATGTAGAAAGATCCAATTCCCACACATATCACTAAGCCATATACAGAAATCCACTCACCACCCCTTAGAGAAATGGACTGAGCTTTGTGGTGGTCCAGGCCCATCTGCTGGACTCTGCCTCTCCTCCCTTAGGATGGGTCTTTTCCCCGAAAGCTCCTGGGTCTGTCATGCAGATAGCCTCTGAAGGCCCCTCTTCTTCGTTTCCTAACCTGGCCTCAGGTCTGAATTCCAGGATAGGCCATCGCCACTCCCCACCCACTCCCATCCCCCACCCTGTCCACCCCTCTGTACCTTTCTCAGACCACTCTCTTGGTGGATAGTTTCAGTGGCCCCCTGTGACCTCCAGGATAAAACCAAAGCCTGGTGTATTCAACTCTGGCAGTTCTCGGATATGTCACACCTTCTCCCATTACTGTACCTTTCTACAGACTACTCTCACCTTTTTTTTTTTTTTTTTTTTGAGATAGAGTTTTGCTCTTGTTGCGCAGGCTGGAGTGCAATGGAGAAATCTTGGCTCACTGCAACTTTTGCCTCCCAGGTTCAAGCGATTCTTCCGCCTCAGCCTCCTAAGTAGCTGGAATTACAGGCATGCACCACCATGCCTGGCTAATTTTTTGTATTTAGTAGAGATGGGGTTTCACCATGTTGGCTAGACTGGTCTCAAACTCCTTACCTCAGGTGATCCACCTGCCTCGACCTCCCAAAGCGCTGGGATTACAGACGTGAGCCACTGCGCCCCATATTCTTTAGTTGGCCAGCTCTTATTCTTCCTCCAAAATTCAGCTCAGATCTCACCCCTGAAGAAAGACTTCTCTGACACCTTCCCCATCAGCAGCCACTGTCTGGATTACGTGCCCTTCTGACTTGGCTCCGTGGGCCTGCCCCACCCCAGCACTTGGTGCCTCCTCCTCTCTCTAGACAGTGAGAGTCCTGAGGGAACTGCCTATAATTTCTGTGTCCAGCATCTAGCACAAAGGAGGTACCAACAAATGTTCCTTGAATGAGCGCATGCGTGTCAGTTTCCTCTTGGAGCACAGAATTCACATCTCTTTCAACAAAAGCCCCAGAACAATGCCCATTTCTTTTTTCTTTTTCTTATCTTTCTTTCCTTTTTTAATGTAATTTTATTTTATTTTTGAGATAGGGTCTTCTGCTGCTGCCCAGGCTGCAGTGCAATGGTGCAATCATAGCTCACTCTAATTCCTGGGCTCAAACAATCCTCCTGCCTCAGCCTCCAGAGGAGCTGGGACTACAGGTGCACACCACTAACACCTAGCTACTTAATTTTTATTTTTATTTTTTTTTGAAACGGAGTCTCACTCTGTCATCAGGCTGGAGTGCAGTGGCACGATCTTGGCTCACTGCAAGCTCCGCCTCCCGGATTCAAGCGATTCTCCTGCCTCAGCCTCCCGAGTAGCTGGGACTACAGGTGCACACCACCACGCCCAGCTAATTTTTGTATTTTTAGTAGAGACGGGGTTTCACCATGTTGGCCAGGATGGTCTCGATCTCTTGAGCTCGTGATCTGCCTGCCTCAGCCTCCCAAAGTGCTGGGATTACAGGTGTGAGCTACCGTGCCTGGCCAATTTTTTTTTTTTTTTTTTTTTTGTAGAATGAGGTGTTGCTATGTTGCCCAGGCTGGTCATGAATCATTTCTTAAAACAATGACTGTGAAACCAGCAAGAATGAACTGGACAGAAATTCTACCCTCTATGAACTCTTAGTTCAACAGAAGACGCTGACTTGACTGAGCCATGATATAAAGCAGGGGATTCTACTGTAACCGTAGGAGCAGAGAGAAGAGGCAGACTTAATCTAAGTGAGAGGATGGGGAAAGTTTTGTGTTCAACAATGTAGTATTTAAGCTAAGGAGTCCCCACCCTTCTTAAGAAAAATAAATTTTTTTCTTTAATAACCTAAGTACCGGTCAGGCACAGTGGCTCACACGTGTAATCCCAGCACTTTGAGAGGCTGAGGCGGGCAGATCACCTGAGGTCAAGAGTTTGAGACCAGCCTGGCCAACAAGGTGAAACCCCGTCTCTACTAAAAATATAAAAATCAGGCCGGGCGCGGTGGCTCACGCCTGTAATCCCAGCACTTTGGGAGGCCAAGGTGGGCAGATCATAAGGTCAAGAGATCGAGACCATTCTGGCTAACACGGTGAAACCTGGGCTCTACTAAAAATACAAAAAAATTAGCCGGGCATGGTGGTGGGCGTCTGTAGTCCCAGCTAGTGGGGAGGCTGAAACAGGAGAATGGTGTGAACCCAGGAGGCGGAGATTGCAGTGAGCCGAGATCATGCCACTGCACTCCAGCCTGGGCGACAGAGCTAGACTCCGTCTCAAAATAAATAAATAAATAAATATAAAAATTAGCCGGGTGTGGTGGCGCGTGCCTGTAATTCCAGCTACTTAGGAGGCTGAGACAGAAGAATTGCTTGAACCCAGGAGGCGGGGGTTGCAGTGAGCGGAGATCGTGCCACTGCACTCCAGCCTGGGCGACAGAGCAAGACTCTGTCTCGAAAAAATAATAATAATATATATATCCTAAGTGCCTGAAATTCTCACACTGGTAATTTACTCCAAAGGTAAATTTTAGTTTCTTTGCAATTCCTCCTCCTTGGCCTCAGTCTGACAGTGGAGAGTAATAGTATTTGTTTTCTCTTCCAGCAGCTATAGAATTGAGAGATATTATTCAAGAATTTCTAGACATTATCTGGAGGGAACATTGGAGGATACAAGAAGGCTTTAAAAACCAGAAAGGGACAATAGTCGTGGCCTGTAGCGATGAATAAAGGCCTCCCCTTATAATTAAGAGACGGACCAGCTTGACTGTGCTCTCTCGAGTCTAATTCTGATTTTTCCATAATCAAGTTCTAGTTCCTTCTTTCCCTCCTGCAGCATTCTGCCTCAACTCCTGGTGCTGCTGATGTTTTCCCCTTGGTAGCAGACAGGTAGAAGAGACTAAGGGAGAAAATTAAATAATCACTGAAGATAATATCTTACCTTGACATTTTGCAGAGGTTAGTATTTGCTTCAATAAGCAAGTGTGTTTATGGCCCACATACTTGACTCATAAACCTCACTGTGGCCCTTGGAGAAATACTAGGTGGAAATGCTGAGGAGAACAGGCTGGAGAAATCAGGGAAGAGAGAAGGGAATGTCTAAGCATGCCTCCTCCACCAGATGGCTCCCTTGCCCACTCTTATGGAGAAACATGGCATTTCAGAAGCATCTCTTTCAACTCCAAGTTTCTGGCTTTAACCTCTCGTGCCAGCCTCAATGCATTTCTCGCCATTTCCACACTATGCCAGATATTTTCATGCTTCTAGCTGCATTAGTTATCTCTTGCTGTGTAATGAAGTATTTCAAAACTTAATTACTTAAAACAACAATAAGCATGTATTATCTCACAGTTTTTTGGGTTCTGGGTGTTTTTAGTCAGAAAATCAAGAGCAGCTTGGTGATGGTTTTGGCTCAGGCGCTTTCATAAGGTTGCAGTCACATGTTGGTCAAGGCTGCAATCATCTGAAGGCTTAGTGGGGCTGGAGGATCGGCTCCCAGGGTGGCTTCCTCACACAGCTGACAAGGTGATGCTGGCACTCTCCAATAGTGACAAGATGGCAGAAGGTGCCAGGTCCTCCCTCGGGGCTCTCCTGAACGCTTCTTGAGTGTCCTCCTGACATGGCGGATGCCTTAACCCAGAACAAGAGATCCACCAGGGAGCCAGGAAGGAAGCCAAAAGTCTCTTCTGATGCATCCTCAGAAATCACACGCCGTTTTCTTTTTTTCTTTTTTTTTTCTTTTTGTTGTTGTTGTTGTTGAAATGGAGTATAACTCTGTCGCCCAGGCTGGAGAGCAGTGGCATGATCTCGACTCACTGCAACCTCTGCCTCCTGGGTTCAAGTGATTCTCCAGCCTCAGCCTCCCAGGTAGCTGGGATTACAGGCGCCCGCCACCATGCCCGACTATTTTTGTATTTTTAGTAGAGATGGGGTTTCACCATGTTGGCTAGGCTGGTCTCGAACTCCTGACCTCGGGTGATCCACCCACCTCAGCCTCCCAAAGTGCTGAGATTACAGGCGCGAGCCACCACGCCCAGCCTCCATCTCTCTCTCTTTTTTTTTTTTAACTTTTATTTTTGTTTTAGGGGTACATGTGCAGGTTGGTTCCATAGATAAATTCCATGTCATGGGGATTCAGTGTCCATATTATTTTGTCATCCAGTTAACAGGCATAGTATCTGTGTATTTATAGGTAGTTTTTCAATCCTTAGCCTCCTTCAACTTTCCATCCTCCAGTAGGCCCTGGTGTCTCCCTGGTGTCTGTTCCCTTCTTTGTGTCCGTGGGTATTCAGTATTTAGCTCCCATCTATAAGAACATGCAGTGTTTGGTTTTCTGCTCCTGTGTTAGCTCACTTAGGATAATGGCCTCCAGCTCCATCCATGTTGCCGCAAAGGCTATGATCTCGTTCTTTTTACGGCCTTGGTATATATGTACCATATTTTCTTCTTCTTCTTCTTCTTCTTTTTTTTTTTTTTTTTTTTGAGACAGGGTCTCACTCTGTCACCCAGGCTGGAGTACAGTGGCACCATCATGGTTCACTGCAGCCTTCACCTCCTTGGGCTCAGGGGATCCTCCCACCTCAGTCTCCCAGGTAGCTGGGATTACAGGCACGCGTCAACAAGCCCAGCTAATACTTGTATTTTTTTTGTAGAGCCGGGATTTCACCATGTTTCTCAGGCTGGTCTCGAACGCCTGGGCTCAGACTATCCACCTGCCTGGGCCTCCCAAAGTGTTAGGATTACAAGCGTGAGCCACAGCATCCGGCCTGTACCACATTTTCTTTATCCAATCTACCATTGATTCCATCTCTATTAGGCACCTATCACCTTGCATTTCACTCTATCTCTTGAACATGACTGTTTCTCCATTGTTTCCTAAGTTCTAAGAGCAGGGAAACAGATTTAACATTTTGGCAGCCTCAGTTTCTACCAAGTATAGAGCTGTGGCATAGTAGGTACTCAATGAATGCTTGTTTAAAAATGAATAAATAACATGGAAAATAAGAAGTTAGTGGGGGCTGGGCATGGTGGCTCATGCCTGTAATCCCAGCACTCTGGGAGGCTGAGGCGGGTGGATCATGAGGTCAGGAGTTCGAGACCAGCCTGACCAACATGGTGAAAGCTCGTCTCTACTAAAAGTACAAAAATTAGCTGGTCATGGTGGCGCATGCCTGTAATCCCAGCTACTCAGGAGGCTGAGGCAGGAGAAAGCTTGAACCTGGGAGGCAGAAGGTTGCAGTGCCACTGCACTCCAGCCCGGACGACAGAGTGAGACTCCGTCTTAAAAAAAAAATAGAAGTTGGGGATGTGGAGAAATCGGAACCCTTGTGCACTGTCAATGAAAATGTAAAATGGTATAGAAAGCATTGTGGCAGTTCCTTAAAAATTAAAAAATAGAATTACCATTTGATCCAGCAATTCCACTTCTGAGTATATACCCAAAAGAATTTAAAGCAAGGTCTCAAAGAGATATTTGTACACCCATGTTCATTCGCAGATTATTCACAATAGCCAAAAGGTGGAAGCAACCCAGGTGTCCATCAGTGGATGAATGGATAAACAAAATGCGGTATAAACAGAAGATGGAACATTGTTCAGCCTTAAAAATGAAGGACATTCTGACACATGCTACAGCATGGATGACCCTTGAATACATTATGCTAAATGAAATAAGCTAGTGACAAAAAGATAAGTACTGTATGATTCCACTTCTATGAAGTACCTAGCGTAGTCAAATTCAGAGACTGAAAGTAGAATGGTGGTTGCCAGGGGCTGTGGGGAGGAGGAAATGGGGAGTTATTGTTTCATGGTTCAGGGTGGTAGTTTTGCAAGATGAGAAGAGCCATGGAGATGGATGGTGGTGATGGTTGCACAACAGCCAGTATAGACCATGTTGTTTAACAACATGAATGGACTTAATACCATCGAACTGTACACTTGAAAATGGTCAATTTTATGTTATGTGTATGTTACTACAATTAAAAAAATTTTAAGAGGCTGGGCGGTGTGGCTCACGCCTCTAATCCCAGCACTCTGGGAGACAAAGGCCTGCGGATCACTTGAGGCCAGGAGTTCAAGACCAGCCTGGCTGACATGGCGAAACCCCATTTCTACTAAAAATACAAAAATTAACCAGGCATGGTGGCGCTTGCCTGTAATCTCAGCTACTCAGGAGGCTAAGGCACGAGAATCGCTTGAGCCTGGAAAGCGGAGGTTGCAGTGAGCTGAGATCGCGCCATTGCACTCCAGCCTAGGTGACAGAGGGAAACTCTGTCTCAAAAAAAAAAAAAAAAATTAAAGCCGGGCACGGTGGCTCACGCCTGTAATCCCAGCACTTTGGGAGGCTGAGGTGGGTGGATCACGAGGTCAGGAAATTGAGACCATCCTGGCTAATGCAGTGAAACCCCGTCTCTACTAAAAATACAAAAAATTAGCTGGGCATAGTGGTGGGCGCCTGTAGTCCCAGCTACTCGGGTGGCTGAGGAAGGAGAATGGCATGAACCCGGGAGGCGGAGCTTGCAGTGAGCTGAGATCGCGCCACTGCATTCCAGCCTGGGCGACAGAGCAAGACTCTGTCTCAAAAAAAAAAAAAAAAAATTAAAAATTAGTGAATGATATAAACAAAATATATTCTATCCGTTCACTGGAATATTATTCACCATAAAAAATGAGTCTTGAGATCATATTGGAAGACAAAAAAAGAAATGAGTTATTAATACATGCTACAACATGAATGAACCTTGAAAACATTGTGCTAAGTGAAAGAAACCAGACATAAAAGCCACATACTATTCCATTTATGTAAAATGTCCAGAATAAACAAATCTTTTTTTTTTTTTTTTTTTTTTTTTGAGGCAGAGTCTCTCTCTGTCACCCAGGCTGGAGTGCAGTGGCACGATCTTGGCTTACTGCAACCTCTGCCTCCTGGGTTCAAGTGATTCTCCTGCCTCAGCCTCCTGAGTAGCTAAGATTACCAGGCGCCCGCCACCACACCTGGCTAATTTTTTTGTATTTTTACTAGAGATGGGGTTTCACCATGTTGGCCAGGCTGGTCTTGAACTCCTGACCTCAGGTGATCTTCCCACCTCAGCCTCCCAAAGTGCTGGGATTAAGGCACGAGCCACCGCACCCAGCCAGAATATGCAAATCTATAGAGACAGAGTAAATTAGTGGTTGCCAGAGACTGGAAGGAGGGAGGAACTGGGAGTGACTGCTAACAGGTACAGGGTTTCTCTTTGGGGTGATGGAAATGTCCTCGAATTAGATGGTGGTGATGGTTATACAACCTTCTGAATATACTGAAAACCACTGAATTGTACACTTTAAAACTAGGAATTTTTGGCCAGGTGCAATGGCTCACGCCTGTAATCCCAGCACTTTGGAAAGCTGAGGCAGGTGGATCACCTGAGGTCAGGAGTTCAAGAACGGCCTGGCCAACATGATGAAACTCCATCTCTATGAAAAATACAAAAATTAGCCTGGCATGGTGGTGGGTGCCTGTAATCCCAGCTACTCGGGAGGCTGAGGCAGGAGAATCTATTGAACCCGAGAGGCGGAGGTTGCAGTGAGCTGAAATCGCACCACTGCACTCCAGCCTGGACAACAGAGCAAGACTCTGTCTCTAAATAAATAAATAAAAATAAAACTGGGAATTTTTATGTCATATTATGTGAAATATTATGGTATATGAATTAGGTTTCCATTTTTAAAATGAATAGATGCAACAAAACAAAAAAAGAAAGAAAAAATGAATAGACAAATGAAAGAAATATTTGACTGGTATGTATCTTTAAAGTCTCCTTAATATTTGGATTTTCTCTAGTATTTAAGCTTATCGTTTGACCAGTGTATATTTTTGGATTAACAGTTCAGTGTCATTGCCCTAAAAAGTGTTCAATAAATACATCTTTATGTTCTTGTACCTGGGAAAGAAGTACTCATGAGTAATGAGTTTTCCAGCTGTGAGACAGTGGTTGTTGGACAAACACAGCAAGGAAATGACTGTCTGCAGTTACATTCTTACTCAACAGCTCTTGGCAGCCATGAAAACAACCATTCATCAAACACTGGCACTAAAAGAGTTCACAGAGCAAGGCAATGAAAACTTCAGCAATAAAACCTTGTGCCTCCCTTGAAAGCGACGATTAACTGTCCACCAAAAAGTCCTGTGCCCCCTACCATGATATAGAGTTGTTGCTACGCAGCAGCTGCCTGGCTAGGGACTACATTTCCCAGCATCCTCTGCTTATAGGTCAGGTCCTGTTACTCCCAAGGAGGTGAGTGGGAGCGCTGACTGTTACTTCTAGATGAAGGTATGCAGGAAGCAGGAAACCTTCTCCTGCCTCTCCTCCCTCACCTGCGAGCTCAGTGCAGAGCAGATGGCCGAGCCACGGGGTGGAAGGAGCCTGGGTCCTTGAGTCACCGTATGGTGGAGCGTCTCCCTCTGCCCCAGAGTAGCCACAGTGCACAATTATGTGAGGAAGAAATAGATTTGTATATGAATAACAAATAGATTTTCATTATATGAAACTGCTGAAATGCTGAGGTGTATTTGTTATAGCAGCTAGCCATCAGCATTTATTCATTCCACCAAATGACTACGTATCATGTGCCTTTCATGGGATTATAGAGATGAAGAGCCTGGAATTCTTTCCTGAAAAGCTTACAGCCTAGTGGGACAGACAGACACCCTGAATAAGTATACCACCAATGGGAGAGCAGTACGTGACCCACCAAAAAACCTGAATACACCAACTATCATTTACAAACTTGAAAGAATTAAAAATAAAAAGAAATAAAAATGTAAAACCCAAAAGGCATCAGGCCCAGATTTATTTCATAGACAAATTTTATCGAACCCATTTTTTTTTTTCTGAGGCGGAGTCTGTCTCTCTCTGTTGCCCAGGCTGGAGTACAGCGCGATCTCGGCTCACTGCAACCTCTGCCTCCTGGGTTCAAGCAGTTCTCCTGCCTCAGCCTCCCGAGTAGCTGGGACTACAGGCACCTGCCATCACAACCAGCTAATTTTTCTGCTTTTTTGGAGAGGTAGGGTTGGTCTCTACTAAACTTAATGGTCTAGTAAATAAATACATAAAGATGTATTTATTGAACACTTGTTGACCAGGCTAGTCTCGAACTGCTGACCTCAGGTGATTTGCCCCCCTTGGCCTCCCAAAGTGCTGGGATTACAGGCATGAGCCACCGTGCCAGCTAGAACCCATTTTTTAAAATGATATAGTTAAACTATTCCAGAGCATAGAACAGTATGAAAAACTTCCTAATTTAGTCTGTGAGTCCAGAATCACCCCCTCTGTTACAAATCCCAAGCAAGAACACACACACACACACACACACACACACACACACACACACACACCAGATTTCATCTGGGGTATAGACAATTTTAAAATAATAAAAACAATAAGCCTACCACACAAATGAGCCATTCCACTGCTAGCTGTCTACCCAAAATAAATTAAAGCATATGTGTCCACACAAAGACGTGTACATGAACGTTCAAAGCAGCTATATTTGCAATAACCAAAAATTTGAAACAACACAAATGTCCATCAACAGGCTAAACAAATTATAGTGTATCTGTATATTCACTCAGCAATGAAAATGAACTACTGTTACTGCAACATCATGAATGAATCTCAAAATAATTAAGCTGAGTGAAAGAAGCCAGATACCGCCCTCTCCCAAAAGGAGCACATACTATACATTTCATTTATATAAAATTCTAGAATTCTATAATCATAGAAAGCAGATCAATGGTTCCCTGGTGTGGGGGAGATGGGAAGGAAAGAAGAGGGAGTACAAAGAGCACAGGGAAGCTTTTGGACATTATGAATATGTTTTCTTTCTCTTTTTTTTTTTTTTTGAGACAGGGTCTTGCTGGAGTGCAGTGGCATAATCATAGCTCACTGCAACCTCAAACTCCTGGGCTCAAGTGAGCCTCCTGCCTCAGCCTCCATAGTGGCAGTAAGCTGAGATCACTCCATTGCACTCCAGCCTGGGTGACAAGAGTGAAACTCCGTCTCAAAAAAAAAAAAAAAAACACACACACACACACACACAAGAAAGAATTCAAGAAAGAACAGTAGACACCAATGAGAAAGAAGGATTAGCCAAGGCTGGTGAGATTATCATTCCTTAGGTGCAGGGAGACCCAGAGTGGAATGGGGCAGGAGGGAGTTCACATTTATGAGCACTAACTATGACTGTGGGTCAGGCGTTGAGCCCAGCATTTTATGTATATCTTATGAAATCCTCCCAACAAACATATACTGCTGAGGGCTGAATTGCACTGATGAAATTGCCAGGCACGCCTCATCTCATGAAGCTCTTTCAACAGCCCAGTGAGGTAGGTACTAATATTATCCCCATTTACTAAGTGAGGAAGCTAAGAGGCAAAGAGGTTTCATAAATTGCCTAAGACTGGACAACTAATAAGAGATAGAGCTCACCTCTGACATCACAGCCTGAGCTCACCCAAAAATTAGAACGAGTCATGCTAACTGCCTGGGAGACACAAAAGGAGACAGAACAGAGTACAGGACAAGATTGCAAAAGGCAGAGGCTTTAGTATCCAGAGTTTGGAGTCAGGTCAGGTGTCCACACCTCTGGCACAGGGCCACGAGAGGGAGGAGGGGCTGGGAGGCCCTCTGACATATCCTTCTCACATCCTGCGGACAGAGGGATGGTCTCCAGGGAATGGGAGAGTGACCTCGGCATAATAAGCTGATTATACCTAAAGGTAACTAGCTAACTTCATTATAGCCTGGGAAGAGAGAAGTGACATAATTCAGATTTGTAATACCTTTTTTTTAAATATATACAGGGTCTTGCTCTGTCACCCAGGCTGGAGTACAGTGGTGCACTCATAGCTCGCTACAGCCTCAACCTCCTGGGCTCAAGCAATCCTCTCACTTCAGCCACCCGTGTAGCTGGGACTACTGCTGCATGCCACCATGCCCAGCTAATTTTTTTATTTTTTGTAGAGATGGAGTCTTGCTATGTTGCTCAGGCTGGTCTCGAAATCCTGGGCTCAAGCAATCCCCCTGCCTTGGCCTCCTCAAGTGTTGGGATTACAGGTGTGAGCCACCACGCCCAGCCTATCACCCAGACTGGAGTGCAGTGGCACCATCTCAGCTCACTGCAACCTCTGGCTTCTGTCACTGCAACCTCTGGCTTCTGGGTTCAAGCGATTCTCCTGCTTCAGCCTCCTGAGTAGCTAGGATTACAGATGCCCGCCACCATGCCCAGCCAATTGTGTGTGTGTGTGTGTGTGTGTGTGTGTGTGTGTGTGTGTGTGTGTGTGTGTAGTAGAGATGGGGTTTCACCATGTTGGCCAGGCTGGTGTCGAATTCCTGACCTCAAGTGATCCACCTGCCTCAGCCTCCCAAAGTGCTGGGATTACAGGCGTGAGGCACTGCACCTGGCCTCCTGGCCTATTCTTTAGTCTTTCTTTCCTGCATTAGCTCAAGATGTAAATATTTCAAAACTCGGATGAAGTTTGGATGAAGTATTCAGATGGTTGGGAAAAAGCTTGTCTGCTGGGAAATCCTTGAAGCAGCATGGTGGCATGGTGGCACAGACCTGAGTTTGAATCTTGTTTCGGTCAGTGCGCATTCAAGTGCCAGGCCACATCAACCTACCCCTGTGAGCCTGTTTCCATGACTGTTAAATGGGGGTATTTGCTACTTCGTGGAAATGGGAGGATAAGAGATGTTATATAAGGCACCCATTATGTTCTTGGCTCATGGTAGGTCCTTCCTAAAGCTACTTCCCTTTCTCCCTCTTCCCAGCCTTGACTCAGAAGTGCTTCACAACTGCATGTCAGAGCACTGCCTTCAGGCATCCTGGAGATGGCAGCAAGGATAACTTGCCTCTAGCTGGAGGGACAGGCAAGTATGAAGCCTGGAGGGTCAGCCTCCAGCCTCCAGCAGCTTCCTGTCCCCATCTGTGCTGCGGAAGGAATGGCACAGCCTTGGTGCCTACCAGATCCCAAACAGCCACCCAGTTCAAAAGGAATGAGGTGCCAGGTGTGGCGGCTCATGCCTGTAATCCCAGCACTTTGGGAGGCCAAGCTGGGTGATCACCTGAGGTCAGGAGTTCGAGACCAGCCTGGCCAACGGGGTAAAACCCCGTCTCTACTAAAAATACAAAAATTAGCTGGGCGTGGTGGCACGCGCCTGTAATCCCAGCTACTCAGGAGGTTGAGGCAGGAGAATCGCTTGAACCAGAAGGCAGATGTTGCAATGAGCCGAGATCGTGCCACTGCACTCCAGCCTGGGTGACAGAGTGAAACTTGGTCTCAAAAAATAAAAAAATAAAAGGAATAAAGGAATGAGGCCATGAGGCCATGGATTAAGGAGGGAAGAAGGGCCTTCAGATTAGAAACCAATCTGGAATTTCCATGGGCTGTTGAGGCTGGCCTGGGTGGGTCCCACAGACCTCCTGCCAGGCATGTCTTAAGTGCTCTTCTTGGGTTCTGACCACCTCCCCAGCATACGTTGCCCCACCGGGCCCAGAAAGTCTCAGGCCCTCCTCATCTCTTTCCAGCTGCCCCCACCAACCCTAGTCCCTGGGACTCCTATCCTCAAGACTGGCTATGGAGTGGGATGCAGCCACTCCAGGGCTCCTCCCATCCTTGCTACTCTTGGCAGCATAAGGGTTAGAAAGGGCACAGGCCCGGGGAACCACCTGCCCTCACTATCTGTTTCCTCATCACTAGAAAAGGACCCACCTCCTTTTATGGGTTTAATTACGATCTCTACAGGGAACACCCAAGGGACTAACAAAGTTAACCAGTGTAAGAAAGTTATAAAGGTTCCAGAAAGCCCATAGAACTCTTGCAGTCCCTGACTACTGTTTCTATGGACATAGAGAGTTGGAACTATATTATTGTTACATTTAAAAAGTTAAGTCGTGCAAGAGTCTGTGTGTGTGTGTGTGTGCGCGCACATCCATAAATGTTTGATTAGTTATAAAAACTAGAGAGGTCCGGCGCGGTTGCTCATGGCTGTAATCCCAACACTTTGGGAGGCCATGTCGGCGGATTGTTTGAGTCTAGGACTTCAAGACCAGGCTGGGCAACTGGTTACAACCCTGTCTCTACCAAAATACAAAAAAAAAAAAAAAAAAATTGCTGGGTGTGGTGGCATGTGTCTGTAGTCTCAGCTACTTGGAAGACTGAGGTGGGAGGGTGACCTGAGCCCAGGAGGTCGAGGCTGCAGTGAGCCGTGATCACACCACTGCATTCCAACCTGCACAACTGAGGAAGACCCTGTCTCAAAAAAAAGAGGAAGGAGAGTTAATAGTTAACAAAGATTTTGGTGGATGGATCACCTCAGATCAGGAGTTCGAGACCAGCCTGGCCAACATGGTGAAACTCTGTCTCTACTAAAAATACAAAAATTAGCTGGTTGTGGTGGCACACACCTGTAATCCCAGCTACTCGGGAGACTGAGGCACTAGAATCACCTGAACCTGGGAGACGGAGGTTGCAGTGAACCAAGATCATGCCACTGTCCTCCAGCCTAGCCGACAGAGTAAGACTGTGTCTCGAAACAAAAAAAAAAACAAAACAAAACAACAACAACAAAACACAATGATTTTTCTCTAGGGTATGAGATTAGGATGGTCAAGGCCAGGCATGGTGGCTCATGCCTGCAATCCCAGCACTTTGGGAGGCCGAGGCAGGCAGATCATACGATCAAGAGATCGAGACCATCCTGGTTAACATGGTGAAACCCCATCTCTACTAAAAACACAAAAAAATAGCCAGGTGTGGTGGCAGGGACCTATAGTCCCAGCTACTCGGGAGGCTGAGGCAGGAGAATGGCGTGAACCCGGGAAGCAGAGCTTGCAGTGAGCCAAGATCACGCCACTGCATTCCAGCCTGGGGGACAGTGTGAGACTCCACGTCAAAAAAAAAAAAAAAAAAAAAGCCGGGTGTGGTGGCTCACACCTGTAATCCCAGCACTTTGGGAGGCCGAGGTGGGCGGATCACAAGGTCAGGAGATGGAGACCATCCTGGCTAACACGGTGAAACCCCATCTCTACTAAAAATACAAAAAAAAATTAGCCAGGCATCGTGGTGGGCGCCTGTGGTCCCAGCTACCCAGGAGGCTGAGGCAGGAGAATGGCGTGAACCCAGGAGGCGGAGCTTGCAGTGAGCCCAGATCGCGCCACTGCACTCCAGCCTGGGCGACACAGCGAGACTCCGTCTCAAAAAAAAAAAAAAAAAAGAAAAGAGAGATTAGGATGGTCAAATGACTTCTTTATACTTTTTTTTTTTTTTTGACACTGAGTTTCACTCTGTTGCCCAGGCTGGAGTGCAGTGGCACGATCTCGGCTCACTGCAACCTCTGCCTCCCAGGTTGAAGCAATTCTCTTCTCAGCCTCTCGAGTAGCTGGGGACTACAGGTGCGTGTCACCATGCCCGGCTAATTTTTGTATTTTTTGGTAGAGGCAGGGTTTCACCATGTTGCCCAGGCTGGTCTCAAATTCCTGAACTCAAGTGATCCACCCAACTTGGCCTCCCAGAGCGTGAACCACCTCGCCCAGCCTCTTTTTACTTTTTGTTTTTTTCGTTGTTGTTTTGAGGGTCTCACTCTGTCGCCCAGGTGGGAGTGCAGTGGCACAATCATGGCTCACTACAGCCTCAACCTCCCAGGCTCAAGAGATCCTCCCACTTCAGCCTCCTGAATAGCTGGGACCACAGGCACACGCCACCATGCCCAGCTGATTTTTTTCATATTTTTTGTCAAGACAGGGTTTTGCCATGTTGCCCAGGCTGGTCTCGAACTCCTGAGCTCAAGTGATCTGCCCACCTCAGCCTCCCAAAGTGTTGGGAATTACAGGCATGAGCCACTGCGCCTGGCCCAGCTTCTCTTTTTACAAATCTATACTGCTTACGTTTTTTGATGGTGCATATTGGTATTATATTTTCATGGATATATATTGCTATTTTATTTTATAAATAACTATTGTGACCAAACAAAAAACACGTAAATAAATCATGCTAACCAAACTTTTCTCTCTCATATTCCTGCTTTTTCCTTTTATCATTGAAAATGTTCATTTATTAATTCTTGTTTTTTACCGCTGACCACCCCACCTCCAACCCTAGAAAAGCAGGAAAAGTAATAGACATAAACCCTGAGATTTCCCACTCATAGGACCTCATTATGTCTCTGAGAAGCAGTGTCTTATTTCAAAGTGCACTAAGCAGGAAATGCCAGATTAGGCCATTCCTAAACACCTGGTCTCCTGGAAGGAAAACCAAACTCCCTAGACTCTCTAGAGCCTGCCAAAGGACCACAGGGCTTAAAGAAACCTCTGCCTTCCAGTCCCTGCCCTGCCGCTAGCCAGCTCTGTGACCATGGATAAGGCCTTTCCATTCTCTGGGCTCCATTTCCTCTATTGAATGAGGTGGCAGATGTGGGGGGCAACAATGCCAACCTATGAGACTACTGGGAAGGGGCTGGGTGCAGTAGCTTACGCCTGTAATCACAGCATTTTGGGAGGCCGAGGCGGGTGGATCATGTGAGGTCAGAAATTTGAGACCAGCCTGGCTAACATAGTGAAAACCCGTCTCTATTAAAAATACAAAAATTGGTAGGGCCTGGTGGTGCGCGCCTGTAGTCCCAGCTACTCAGAAGGCAGAGGCAGAATTGCTTGAACCTGGGAGATGGAGGTTGCAGTGAGCTGAGATCATGCCATTGCATTACAGCTTGAGTGACAGAGCAAGACTCCATCTCAAAAGAAACAAAAGACTACAGAGAAGATCAAATAGGGTAATGCAGGGGGAAGCACATTTTCAACTGCAAAACGCTCCACTGCTAAAATAGAGTAGAGCAGGGGCTTACCAGCCTTTGCAGAAAGCAGAGCCACTTTTTACTTTGCCTGAAATTCACGAACAGACAGGAGAGGGAAGAGGGGAGTAGGGGAGGGGCCTTGGCAGCTGATGGTGTTTTCCTCCCCCACTCTCCAGTCACAAACCAAATTATGAAGAGAGTGTGTGTGCCTGTGTATGTTTGTGTGCGCAGGCACTGGAATGGTTCTTTGGAAGACAGTGGGTGTGGCGCACACACACGTGGCATCAGATCCCAGCCTGGAGCTGTTCCAGGTGAGTTTTGAAATCTTCCTGTTTCCTGGCTGCAGATGTCACGCCCAGGGCACAGGGAGGAGGAATGTTCCAGGTGAGTTTTGAAAAATCCTCTTTCCAGGCTGCAGATGTCACGCCCAGGGCACAGGGAGGAGGAGCCTGGGAGGAAGCCTCTTAACTCTGCCCTCACACCCTTTCCAGGGCATCCGTCAGCAGCCAGCAGCTGGCTGGACAAAGAATCTCTGGGGAATCGGGTGAAAGGCAGGTGGGGTGTGGTCCAGGAGGCAACACCAGAGCAGGCCACAGTGGTGTGCAGGGAAAAAAACAGGGCCTGGCTACGGGAGACCCCAACTCTGCCCCTAATCAGCTGTGTAGCATCAGGCAGGTTGCCACCACGCCCTGGACTTCATTTCCTCTTCTGTAAAACGATGGGGTTGGACTAGAACAGGACCCTCTAGCTCCACAACCACGGTCTTTCTGCGCACAGAATGAGAGGCAGTGGAGCTCCCTAACAGAGGGCCCATTGAGAGCAGGGACAAAAGCCTCTGGAATTCCCTCCAGCCTCCATCAGGGACACAGGCAGTTTTCTTCCCTCTGGTTTCTGTCCTCAGGCAACCCCTGGCCCAAGCTCCTAACTGCACTAGAGATCTGTGAACTCACTCTCTTTCCCTCCTAGAAGGAAAGAGGAAGCCAGAGAGGCAGAAAGGAGGCCAGCAGCAGGGCGTGAGGCACAATGAGATAGAATGGGAGGACCTCACATGGAGGGACGCTACAGAGGACCAGGACAGAAGACACACACACCAAGAGCAAACAACCAAACTTTATCCAGAAAAGCATATTTGTAATCACCACTAAACAATGAGGCACATCGGTCCCCTCTCCCCAACCACCCTCACTCTTCCCAAACCCACTCTCTCTTTTGGCTTTTATAGAACACTGTAGAAATCCTTTCCTGAGTCTGCAAATGGCCCCAGACTGGGATGGGAGCTGCCCAGAGTAGTCTTGGGCTGGACTGAGTCCTGGTGCCCAGAGAGGGAGACCTATGCAACTGCCTCCAGTATCCAAAAGTTCTGGGGGCAGGTCGGGTGGCCACCCCTATGGCACAGGGCCTTGAGGGAGGGTGAGTGTGGTGGCGGTCTTACGTGTTCTTCTCATACCTGGCAGACAGAGTGAGCACAAGCCGCTGGAAGCCAAGCGGGAAGGCACATCTAGAAGGGCAGTGAGCTCTGGAATGCTACAGGCACGTGTGGATGGATGAGGCTCCATGGCGGCCAAGGAGATATCTGCTCCTGAGTAAGGTCACCTGACCACAGACAGCACCAGGGGCTGGGGGGCTAAGAAGGAGATCTTGAGAAGGATGGACCTGAGCTAAAGATGTAACTTAGATGGTGATCTGAAAAAAGGAAAAAAGAATAAACGCTGGAACTCAAATCCACTGTTTAGGGTACAGGAGTACACAGCTAAGTTCCAGGTATCCAGAATCTTGTGTCCAAATCATAGCACAAGGAGAACAGGAATTCTCTTGAGTTAAGGCAAAATCAATCTTCACCCATCTGGGCTCTTCCATTGCATGGTTTGGAAAGGAAGGGGCTGGGCAGAGATCATTCCTCTCCCCATCTCCCCCTACTGCCAGTGAAGACTCTGAAAGCTTCTGCAGGCCAAGGCCAGAATGGTGTTGCCAGCCCAGGGCAGCGGGCCCTGAGAGCGGTCGGTGTGACCAGCTCTGGGAATCTCCATGGCCTCAGCAACATGGAAACCTGCAACAGGAGAACCAAAGTCAAAGGGCTTCCAAAGCACCCCAAGTGTCTCACCCCAGGCTCTCACTGCACCAGCACTTGGGGCTGAGGGGACTCCTAGTCTCAAGCCTCGGCCCCCCAAAGTGCTGGGATTACAGACATGAGCCACTGCGACTAGCTGTGAATGTTCTTAATGCCACTGAACTATACACTTAAAAATGGTTAAGATGGTAAATTTTATGTATATTTTACCACAATTTAAAAAATAGCTACATTAACAGTATCTAACATGTATTGATACCCTACTATATAGAGTATAGCCTGGTCATGAAGAGGCCAGGCTGCCAGGGTTCAAATCCTACCTCTACCACTCATTAGCTGGGAGACCTTGGGCAAGGTATTTAACCTCTCTGGGATTCAACCTCCTCATTTGGAATATGGCAATGACATTAGAACCCACCTCATTAGGGTTACTGAGAGAATCAATGGACACCTATAAAATGCTTTGAGACGTGCCAACCATATAATAGAGCTACATAGGTGCTCTGATGGCAACATATCTAGAACTACATTCATGCTTCACACACCCTGAAACTACACCTTTGCAGCCTCCACAGAGAAAGCTAACACCTGTGCACCTAAGCTTTAAAAACAAGCTCACAAAAACACGCAGCCTCCCCTCTTCTAGTTTCTAATCCAGAGAAGGTTGAGCCTTTTCAAACAGCAGACCTGGCCAGGCACAGTGGCTGAGATCTGTAATCCCAACACTCTGGGAGGCTGAGACGGGAGGATCTCTTGAGCCCAGGAGTTCGAGACCAGCATGCAAAATACAATGGGGCCCTGTCTCTACAAAAATTTAAAAACTAGCCAGGCATGGTGGTATGTGCCTGTAGTCCCAGCTACCCGGGAGGCTGAGGTGAGAGGATCGCTTCAGTCTGGGAGGTCGAGACTGCATTGAGCCATAATCACATCACTGCACTCCAGCGTGGGTGACCCAGTAAGACTGCCTCAAAAACAAAACAAAAGAGAAAGAAAAAATAAAAGAGCAGACCATTGAAGGATTTAGCAAAAAGGTTGAATTTTCACAACTCTGTAGATATTGTGGTTATTACCGTCACCTCTCCAACTTGCTCTGAATAAAAACCCTTTAACTTCTGGAAAAGGAGTAGGCTCTGTGCTTTTTATTCAAATGCCCAGGACCCCTTCCAGAAAACCAAGAAGCGTCTTACCTTACAGGCCCAGCCAGCAGGTCACCCCAGCGCCAGAGAGTGGTTCTTCTCTTTGGTAAGGGAGACCCACCCTGTCAGCTGCTCCAGATCAGTGCCGGGATCTCTTGCAGGTGACTTTCCTTTAGCCTGGGAAAACCATCTGAATAACTTTGGCTTCATTTCTCCAACAATGTAAAGGAATGTTCAAATTCCCCAGTTCAGGTCTCTGGCTAGAGGCAGCAATCTACTTCCTCACTGGGGTGGGTCCCCTCCCTCTGCTAGAGAATTCCCTGGGGAAGAAAGAGAAGGCGCCCCCCAAATCTTCAAACAGAACACAGCCAATGGGTTGGGCCCTTCGGCATGAATGAGAGCCGGGACAGCACAGGGATGCTGGGAATCTTAAGGTGGGAATACTGCTCCAGGCCCAGGAGCAGTTAATACAGCAAACTAAATTATTTCTGTAACAGCGGGACTTCTCAGTCTTTGATAAGCTAATGAGCATCTCCAAGAAAGGGAGACAGCACCGTTGACAAACCCATTTGGCCTTGAAACCCTCTTTTAGGAGAGGCGGCTCCTGAGCCAGGGGTCCTGACTCACCCACCCTTTTAATGCAAACAGCGCTGGACTGCAAGTCTGGGTTCCAATCTTACTCTGGCTGTTCCCAAGAGCAGGCTCTGGGTCCCCATCTGTAAGAAGGGGTGGGGTTCACCTTAACATTCCACCATGGTCGTGGAACTCCTAATGCAAACAGATATGGGGGAGGGTGGAGATGAGGGGGGCGGCAGAAGCCTGTGAGGAAGGCTGGGAAGAGACTTGTGTCACGGAGAGGCCAGGACAGTTAGTGTGTGTTTGGCACTGGCCTGCAAAAACCTTAAGGACAAAGGCGGAGTAGGTAGAGGCAAGAGGAGACTCCACAAGTGTAAGGGTACAACCCACCGGCTTCTCCTATCGGTCCCCACCTCGGCGGATGGGCCCCACCCCAAGACAACCGAGCACAGAGAGACCGGCTGGGAGGAGCTTCGCAGGATGCCAGCACAATCCCCAGCTAAAACCAAACTCGTCGCTCATCCTGGGACCAGCCAAGGCCTGTCCTCAGCTCCGCCCGCGGCCCAGCGCCTGCGTTTTACAGCACCGGAGGCTGGATGAGGGGCCAGGGAAGGGAGTGCTCTTCCGACCACGGGGCGGGAGGGAAGGGGGCAGCCAGAAGCCTGGTTCCAATTTGGGAGCCTCCCCCGGATCTGCGCGGCCCCTGTCCACGTCTTAGTCTCAGCAGGGAAGGGAAGAGGAACCGCGAGGTTTCGCCTCGGGGCGGCTCGTCTGCGAGTGTGTGTCAGCCCCTCGGATCGCAGCCTGCGCTTGTCCCGGGAGACGGCGCGTCCGGCGCGGCGGTCGGGATTCTGGGCTGGGATTCTGGGCGGCGGCGGCGCTGCCGTCGGGCGGGAGCTGAGCGTCAGGGTTCCCGGGCGCGGGCGACAGTGGAAACGCTGGAGGGCAGGGAGAGGGTGCCAGGGCGCACCCGCGCGGGGCGGCGGCGGGGGAAGGGATTAAGGAGGCTGGTCTCCGGGGATTCCCCCGCCCCGATCGGGGCCGCGGCGGGCGCGGGCGGCCTCACGCCACCTCCTGCTTGCCCTGGCAGCGACGCCCGCAGCCATAGAGCGCCGAAAGCAGGTAGAGGCCGTGGCAGACGCCGCCGCAGACGGCGGCCGCCAGGAAGGCGTGGTAGGCGCAGGGGAGCGGGTAATCCTTGAGGTTGCAGTAGCTGTGGCGCTGCATCTGGTCGCTCATGATGCCGGTGGCGGCGCCGTAGAGCGCGGCCGCCAGCACATCGTGCGCCACGTTGACCATGAGCCAGCGCGAGCCCAGCACGGGGACCAGCTCGTGCTTGCCCAGCAGCGTGAGGAAGTAGAGGCCCAGGGTGAGCAGCCAGAAGAGCACGGACACGAAGAGCGCGAAGTGCACGGGGCCCTGGTACTTGCTGGTGGCGATAGTGATCCAGAAGGCAGCGCCGGCCAGCAGCTGCAGCAGCCGCAACACGCCCAGCGGGCTGCGCAGGAAGGGCCGCTGCAGGCGCACCGCGCCGCGGGCCGCACGCGCCTGGGGCGGCGGCTGGCGCGGGGGCGGCGGGAGCATGGCCCCTGGGCGCGGTGGCGGCGGCGGCGGCGCCCCGAGCAGCGGAATGGCGGCGCCTTGCTCGCGGGGGCAGCACGGCCCAGGTGCCCGCTGCGCCCGCCGCGGCCTCCTCGCCTTGCTCCCCTCTTAGTCCTCTCTTCCTCTCCTCCTTTCCCCACCCTTCCTCTCCTCTCTCCTCCCCTCGGCCCTCCTCGCCTTCTGTCTCCAGCTCTCCACCCTTCCCACCCGCCCCTTTCCCTTCCCCTTCCCCTCGGCTGTCTCCTCCCCCGCGCGCTCCTCCCGGCTTCCTGCCATCTCTCTTTCCATCTCGCTCACCACCCTGGCGCCCCCCTTTCCCCTCTGCGCCAGGCCCCCAGCTCGGATTCCTTCGTCCTCGGGCCAGGGCAGGGCGCATCTCCCAGCCCGACGCGGGCCTTCCGCCCTGTCCGCCCGTGCGCTGCTGCGCCAAGTTTGCCACATCTGGGGCCGCCCCTGCCCGCCCTGCCTCCTCCTTTTCCCTCTTTCCTGCCATAGCGCCCACCCCGGGCCTCTGGGCTCTTCCTGGGCGCGGGAGGAGAGCAGTGCTGGTTTTGAACTGGCATCCACTGTCACCTGGACATCCGCAGTCTCCTGCCAGGGCCCGCCTCGTCCTGTCCAAAGCTGTCCGAGTTACCCATGTCGGAGTAAGAGTCCATCACCCACCAGAGGCACCGCCACTCGTTCCACTCGGCACAAGCTTATTGTCCACACCCTCTTTTATCCAACCCTTCCTTGCCATCCTTCTGTCTTGCCCACATTCAAAATACGCTACCTAACATGGCTGGGACACAAACCCAGGGCCAAGAGGAAGCAAAGCCCACGGACTTAACTACTAGGCCGAACTGCCTGTGATGGAGGCTAACGATGCTTTACATTATTATTATTCCGTGCCACCGCTTTACCTGAGTTCTCATTTAACCCTCAAAACAACCACAGAGATACACGCAACTCCCCTCATTTTGCTGAGGAGGAATGAAGCCTACCTGGGTTCAGACCAGGAAGCTGGTAACTACCACCAGTCTCTCTTCTCTCCTTCATGCTCAACCTTTGTGCCCATGGCATCTTTCTTTTTTCTTTTTCCTTTTTTTTGTGGGGGGGGGGGTGGGGGGCGGTGGGGTAGAGTACTGTTCTGTCGTCCAGGTTGGAGGGCAGTGGAGCAATCTCTGCTCACTGCAACCTCCGCCTCCCGGCCTCAAGTGATTCTCCTGCCTCGGTCTCCCAAGTAGCTGGGACTACAGTCGCGAGTGCCACCACACCCAGCTAATTTTTGTATTTTTTTTAGTAGAGACAGGGCTTTGCCATGTTGGCCAGGCTGGTCTCGAGCTCCTGACCTCAAGTGATCTGTCCCCCTTGGCTCCCAAAGTGCTGGGATTACAGGCGTGAACCACCAAGCCAGGTCATGACATCTTTCTAAAAGACAGACCTGATGTTTGTTACACTGCTTCCCCTACTGAGACAGGACAGAAGCTGTCTCTTCTGTGTGGCCTATTTCACAATTTGTCCCCAACCAATTTCCAACTTCCTGGCTTGCCACTTCCTTCCCTGTCCCATGCTGTCACCCAGCATACAACCCACTAATCCTTTCCAAATTTCCCAAGTAAGCTCAGAATGCCCTCATTCCCACACCCCACTTGACAGCAAAACTCCTATTTATCCTTCAAGGCTCAGTTTAAATGCTGCTTCCTTTTGGTCCAGCCTCTGAGGCTGCTCTTCTAGGCCCCCAGTTGGACCATCCCTCTGCAGCAGTGTTGAGTCGGCTACATCATAACTATTGGATATCATGTCTTATCCATCTTTGCCTGTGCCTGGCTCATAGGAGACCCTGAGTAAAATACGTGGAGCAGATGACTGAGTGGCTGCAGGGGCAGCAATGGAACTGAGGGTGCCCCTCTTACCCTGGGGACAGTGCATGCCTCAGACCTACAGCTGACCCCACGCTGCAGAGCTAGTCTTCATCTCCCGGTCATAAGATGAGTCCTCTGGCCTTTGGCCTGGCTGAGCAGGTCCTCTTCCAGCAGGCTGGCTCCCCTTGGGAGAGAAAAGCTATGTGGCTTCTCAGCGGGTAATGCTCTCACTGCCAACTCAGCCCACTTGGAGAAGGCTCTGAATGTATTAAAAAAAAATAGAGACGGAATCTTGCCATCTTGCCCAGGCTGGTTTCAAACTCCTGGGCTCAAATGATCCTCCCTCCTCGGCCTCCTAAAGTGTTAAGATTATAGGCATGAGCCACTGCACCTGGCCTAAATGCATATATATGTAAGCATTTATATATATAATGCATATATATATAAATGCATATATATATATATATTCTTTTTTTTTTTTTTTGAGATGGAGTCTCACTCTGTCACCCAGGCTGGAGTGCAGTGGCAGGATCTCAGCTCACTGCAACCTCCACCTCCCAGGTTCAAGTGATTCTCCTGCCTCAGCCTCCCAGGTTCAAGCGATTCTCCTGCCTCAGCCTCCCAGGTTCAAGCGATTCTCCTGCCTCAGCCTCCCACGTAGCTGGGACTACAGGCGTGTACCATCATACCCGGCTAATTTTTGTGTTTTTAGTAGAGACGGGGTTTCACCATGTTGGCCAGGCTGGTCTCGAACTCCTGACCTCAAGTGATCTGCCTGCCTCGGCCTCCCAAAGTGCTGGGATTACAGGCTTGAATGCATATTTTAAATGAACAAATGGTGATGTATGACACCTCTGTCTGTGTGCGACAGCATGGTATAGAGACTACGGGTGCAGGTCCTGGAGTCAGACTGCCTGGCTATGAATCATTGCTTCACTACTCCTTAGTGCTGGAACCTGCAGGGAGGGTAGGCTTGAGCTCTTTGTGCCTCAGTTTCCTCATCTGTAAAATCCTGTTACCAGCAAATAGATATTGAGCACCTATTAAATGCTGGGCACTGTTTTAGGGGCCAGGGATTCATAATACGCATGTTATTTTATTTTATTTTATTTTTTTGAGACAGAACCTCGCTCTGTCTCCCAGGCTGGAGTGCAGTGGCGCGATCTCGGCTCACTGCAAGCTCCGCTTCCCGGGTTCATGCCATTCTCCTGCCGCAGCCTCCCGAGTAGTTGGGACTACAGGTGCCCGCCACCACGCCCGCTAATTTTTTGTATTTTCAGTAGAGACGGGGTTTCACCATGTTAGCCAGGATGGTCTCGATCTCCTGATCTCATGATCCGCCTGCCTCAGCCTCCCAAAGTGCTGGGATTACAGGCTTGAGCCACCATGCCTGGCCAATATACATGTGATTTTTATTAATTGAATGCTTACTGTATTCTAGGCACTATGACAAGCACTTTCTATTCGTTGTTTTACTTGATCCTTACAACAACCCTATAAAATGATTGTTATTTTTATATCTATTTCTGATTTGCTGATGGGGAAACTGGGGCTTACAGGGTTAAAGAAGCAGACCATGGCTGGGCACGGTGGCTCACCCCTGTAATCCTAGCACTTTGGGAGGCTGAGGCGGGCGGATCATGAGGTCAGGAGTTTGAGACCAACCTGACCAACATGGCAACATGGTGAAACCCTGTCTCTACTAAAGATTAAAAAATTAGTCAGCATGGTGGCATGCGCCTATAGTCCCAGCTACTTGGGAGGCTGAGGCAGAAGAATCGCTTGAACTAGGGAGTCAGAGGTTGCAGTGAGCCGAGATCACACCACTGCACTCCAGCCTGGCAACAGAGCAAGACTCCATCTCAAAAAAAAGAAGCTGACCATGTTCATAGGAAGGTGGTGAAACCTCAAACACCAGCCCAGGGGAGCTGACTCCACACCAAATTTAAAGTGCGTTTATATAATCTCCACATTTTATTCTTGACTACACTCACAGGGACCCAGAAAGGCTAAGTGACTTGCCCAAAGAAACACAACTTGTAAGTGTCATTGTTGGGACTCAAACCTAGGTCTTCAGATCCCAGTTTCAGGGCTTTCCCCTCAGCATCCCTTAGCATCCTTCTGTGCCCTGGGGGGACATCCTCAGTGCCCTCCAGATGCCGGTCTTGAATAGGGCGTAGGCTCAGATGGGCAGCTGGGATCCGAATCTGGGTGCTGGGCTGGTGACAGGGAATTAATGTGAGGGGGGGACCTAAGTGAACAAACTTTAAAAGAGGGAACATAATCCTTCCTTTCTAAAAAAGGCATTGGGAAACTTGAGAGTCAGAGCGCCACCTGGTGAACATAAACTTCCAGCCTCTGGAGTCACATCACCCCTTACAAGGAAGCTCCTGCAGCGGCTTTGGGGCGATATTTTTAGCCTCTGGAATGTTTTCACATTCCACGGGGCGGTCCAGCAGACTCTCTGGAAAAAGCATAACATGCAGAAAAATTATGATTCCGTCCAACTCAACAAATATGGTCTAGGCACCTGCTAGCTGCAAACAATCTGGATGTGGAAAGCAGGAATGAAAAGGACCAACTTCTGCCCTCAAAGCGTTTGCACTCTGCTGGTAGGGGAGGGATCACTGTGGACACAAAAGAGAGGTGTAGATGAGGGTTCTAAGGAAATACAAAAGGGAAGGAGAGAGTATGTGAGGGGAGAGCTGGGGAATCTTTCAGCAGAAGTTGTCACTGGAGGCCGGATAGAACTTCGACCAGCAGAGGTAGGAGACCAGAGTTGCTGGGAGCGGTCCCCCGCCATGGGTCCAGAGCATGGCTGGATGTTATTGCTGGGCGTGCCATGAATGCAAGGCTATGACTGCTCTTTCCCCTGCCATTCTTCAGGGTCGTGTCTGCAGCCAGCAACCTTAAGAGATAAGGGAACATCTCCCAAAGAGCAGGCTTGCTTACAATAAAAATGATGATGGTGGCCAGGCGTGGTGGCTCATGCCTGTGATCCCAGCACTTTGGGAGGCCGAAGCAGGCAGATCACCTGAAGTCAGGAGTTCAAGACCAGCCTGACCAACATGGTGAAACCCCATCTCTACTAAAACTTCAAAAATTAGCCTGGTGTGGTGGCACGCACCTGTAGTCCCAGCTACTCGGAAGGCTGAGGTGTGAGAATCGCTTGAACCCAGGAAGCAGAGGTTGCACTGAGCCGAGATCATGCCACTGCACTCTACCTGGGCAAAAGAGCAAGGCTCTGCCTCAAAAAAAAAAAAAAAAAAAGGTGGTGGTGGTGGTGGCAACAGTGGTGGGTTCCCCAAGTTCAGTGCTTCTCAGCTGTGTCACAAACACTGCAGGTGTAATGTCCACCTGCACCCCTCTGTTGTTGTTCCCGTGAGAGTTGAGGACAAGGGGAACAGACATAACTAGGATGATCAGGCTGCTTTATCTGTGTCTCAGGAATCCTGTGTCTCCTACCAGCATCTAAGAAACAACACCAGGCTAGCTTATTGGTGGAGTAACATCCCAGCCCCTGACAGGTGTTCTAGGCAGAAGGAACAGTGTGAGCAAAAGCAGTGCCTGCACTATTCAGGGAACAGGGTAGTGCTGCTTGGTTGATTATCTAAGCCTCAGTGCAATGACTTTCAATTGGCCAGAAAGGAAGGCCAGAAACTTGTAACAAGAAGAAATGTGTGGCCCATGCTGTGACCCCGTGATCAGCACTTGCAGTTCACAGTCAGATCCTGTTCTGTCTCTAGGCTACTGTAAAAGTACTGCATATATAGACTCAGCTCACATTTTTTTAACATCTATTATATGCCAGGCCCTGGGCTGACACCGGACACAAATCTGCTAATGGCAGAGGCAAAATGCAAAGCAAGAAAGCAGATGGGTGCCAGGAACTGTGGAATCCTGCCTTGAATCTTATGATTAAATTACTAACCATTCCCTGAGCAGCTACTGTGTACCTGGCAGTATGCTACCATTAGATGCCTGAGCTGGAAGAGGCCTTAAGGATCATTTGCTCCAGGCTTCTCATTTTATGGAGGGAGTAACTGAGGCCCAGAGAGGGGATGCGACTTGCCCCAGGTCACACTGCTCATTGATGATGGGAGTTTAGGTCTCCTGACACACAATATGGTGTGTTACCACAATACTCTTGACACCATCAGGATGGCACCCAAACAGGAAGTTCCCTGGAGCTGTAGGGCAGGGGGCTCTGTTCAGGAGCACCGTGGAGCCAGGCCCAGGACACGCACTCACATCTCTGGGCCAAGAGGCTCCCTCCTCTTGGCCTGTTCCCAGGATGGCTCCCACCGGGCTGTCGGAACAGAGGCTACTGGAGTAGTCAGTGAGGTCACCTCTGGGAGGTGCTGGCTGGGACTCTGGGTGGCTCTTGAGCTTGTTGATCCAGCCCCCAGGGAGTACCTGGGCCTTTGCCTGAGCCATGAGGCAGCCTGGACTCTGGACAGTTGTTTGCAGCGGCAGGGGTCAGGGGCCACGGTCCGGACCTGATCTGACCTTCACAGTCCAGACCTGGTGAAGGCATTTGACTCTGGCAGAACTCAGCCCTCACCCCTCAGGGAACACCGGCCAGGATCAGACCCCAAACCACCCAGACTTACTTTTGTGTGAAGCCACCCAGGACACTGGTTGGCAAGGCTGGGACCCTTAGGCTAAGTAATTGTTGGCAACTATGGTAGGTGCTCCTGAGGCCATGCCATCAAGAGGCTGCCCATGAGGTGCTGAAGGTGCCCTTGCTGGGACCCATGATGGGGATGTGCAAACCCCCGAAGACCACACTCTGGGGGAAAGTGGGGCCGCATCTGAGTGATTGGACGCCCTGAGCCAGGACAGACTGGGTAATCAGCACTGCTCTGACAGTCCCACTTTGGATAGAATTGGGGCTGGCTCAACAGTAATAATTAACACTTGCAGAGCACCTACTCTGTGCCAGGCACTATGCCAGGTGCTGTCTGCATTTGTCTCATTTACTTCCTACAATAGCCCTGTGAAGTAGGAACTGTTAAAACCATCCTCATTTTAGGCCAGGGGCGGTGGCTCACACCTGTAATCCCAGCACTTTGGGAGACCGAGGCAGGCAGATCACCTGAGGTCAGGAGTTCGAGACCAGCCTGGCCAACATGGTGAAACCCCATCTCTACTAAAAATACAAAAATTAGCCGGGTGTTGTGGCGTGCGCCTGCAGTACCAGCTACTTGCGAGGCTGAAACAGGAGAACTGCTTGAACCCGGGAGGCAGAGGTTGCAGTGAGCTGAGATCACGCCACTGCACTCCAGCCTGGGCAACAGAGTGGGACTCCATCAAAAAGGAAAAAAAAAATTAGCCAGGCAGTGGCGCATGCCTGTAGTCCCAGCTACTCAGGAGGCAGGCTGAGGCAGGAGGATTGCTTGTACCCAGGAGGCGGAGGTTGCACTGAGCCAAGATTGTACAACTGCACTCCAGCCTGGGAGACAGAGCGTAACTCCATCTCAAAACAAACAAACAAAAACAAAACAAAACAAAAAAATCCTCACCTTAAAATGAGGAAACTGAGCCCAAGACACAGGGAGGTTATGTGGCTCATCCAGTGTCACACAGCTAGTAGAAATAGAAATTCCAAATCGGATCTTTTCACCACTGCCTATATCTGAGGCTTCAGCCTTGGTCTAGGGTGAGACAAAACATCAGAGGACTGCCCCTGAATGGCAGGAAAGAGAATGGTCCCGATTTTGTGGGGAGGGTCAGGAGGTAGAGGGCTGGGCAAGAGGCCCCAAGAGTGAGTGGGGCCAGGCAAGAGACCATGAGAGTGGGTGTGGTTGCTGCAGTCCCTAAGATCTGCACTTGGGAGCCTGACTCTGTCTGTTATTTCCATGTCTCCCCTGCTATGCTAGAGAGCCCCTGGAATGGGGGATTTGCCCCCTAACTCCCTATCCTAACCACAGCAGGAGCTTTCTTTTTTTTTTTTCCTTTTTTTTTTTTTGAGACAGAGTCTCACTCTGTCACCCAGGCTGGAGTGTAATGGTGTGTTATCGGCTCACTGCAACCTCCGCTTCCCAGGTTCAAGTGATTCTCCTGCCTCAGCCTCCCAAGTAGCTGGGATTACAGGCGCCTGCCACCACGCCCCGCTAATTTTTGTATTTTTAGTAGAGATGGGGTTTCACCATGTTGGCCAGGCTGGTCTCGAGCTCCTGACCTCAGGTGATCCACTCGCCTCAGCCTCCCAAAGCGTTGGGATTACAGGCATGAGCCACTGAGCCCGGCAGCAGGAGCTTTAATGCAGGAGAATGGCCCCCAAGGGCTGGGCTAGTGTTGGATGATGCTCTGTGCTGAGTGTTTATCTGCATGACCTCCTTACCCCACACGACAGCCTGTAAACTGGCTGATTTGTATTCTATTCAGGCCTTCAACCTATTGGATGAGCCCCACCCACAATTGGAGGCAATTGGCTTTCAGTCTACCAATGTATATGTTAATCTCATCCACAAACACCCTCACAGAAACACCCAGAATCACATTTGACCAAATATCTGGGCATCCTATGGCCCAGTCAAGTTGACACATAAAGTTAACTACCACAGGCAGATATGCAGAGACGAGGGATAGTGAGAGACAGAAAATAGCTGCCTGTGACTTGCTCCAGGTCATTCAGCTGGACTTCATAGCAGTGAACACACTTCAGTTTCACAGTACCTTTCTCCCCACTTCCTGGGCAAACTTAAACAGATTTCTGTGCCTTACATTGACCCTGTAGTTAAGCAAGGAGGGCCTGGAGCCAAACTGCCAGAATCTGAATCCTAGTTCCACATGGGTGGGTTTTAAAAAATAGCTGGAAATTCTGTGACTCTCCTCCAGAATCTGGGCAGGCTTATGACTCAGTTGTAACTAATGGCAGTAACAACACTATATCTCTTCTAGGTCATGTCAAAAAAGGCAATGCAGCCTGGGCATGGTGGCTCATGTCTGTAATCCCAGAACTTTGGGAGGCTGAGGTGGGCAGATCGCCCTGACCAGGCTGGAGTTCGAGACCAGCCTGGGCAACATGGCAAAACCCTATCTCTACAAAAATACAAAAAAAAAAAAAAAAAAATGTACCTGGGTGTGGTGGCGTGACCCTGTAGTTCCAGTTACTTGGGAGGCTGAGGTGGGAGGATCGCTTGAGCCTGGGAGGCAGAGGTTGCTGTGAGCCAAGATCACACCACTGCAATCCAGCCTGGATGACACAGCAAGACCCTGTCTCAAAAAAAAAAAAAAAAAAAAAAAAAAGGCAATGCAGCTTCTGCCCTATTTGCCAAAATAAAAATACACTTGAAGCCCTGAGCCACTATGGAAGAAGTCTGGCTATTCTGAGGCCACCATGCTTCTGGTCACATTGAGAAGCCACTGAAGCACTCCAGTCAACAGTTCTAGTCTTCAGGTTTTCCCAGGCTAGGCACCAAAGGGATAAGAAACGATTATTCCAGCCCCTCCAGCTATCAAGTCAACCTCAGCATTCAAGGCTTCCCAGCTGAAGTCCTGACATTGTGGATCAGAAACAAGCCCCTCCTGCTGTGCTCTGGCTGAATTCCTGTGTAGTGATCATGTTTGTTTGTTTGTTTGTTTCTGTATTTTATAATGCATTTATTTTATTTTCTGTATTTTAAGATGTATTTTTGCCATCTTGAGGCCTGGCAGATCAGGGAAGGGACTGCCCCCTCCAGAGCCAGCTAATTTATTTTTATTTTTCTTCTTCTGTTTTCTTTCTTCTTTCTTTCTTCCTTCCTTCTTTCCTTCCTTCCTTTCTTTTTAGAGAGACAGGGTCTTGCTCTGTCACCCACGCTGGTGTGCAGTGGTGCAAACACAGCTCACTGCATCCTCTAACTCCTGGGGCTCAAGAGATCTTCCTGCCTCACTTTCCCAAGTAGCTGGGACTACAAGTGTGCACCACCATGCCTGGCTAATTTTTTATTTTTTGTTTTTTTGTGGAGATGAGGTCTCACCATATTGCCCAAGCTGGTCTTGAACTCCTGGTCTCAAGCGATCCTTCCCCTTCAGCCTCCCAAAGTGCTGGGATTATGAGTCCCTGCACCCAGCTACGCCAGCTAAATTCTGGAGATGGCGAACAACTTGCTTGTAAGCGTGCCTTTGACCTGCAAACCAACCAACCCTGAGTCCATACTCTGAACCGCCTCCTCTATCTGGCTCTTACACTCCACCAGGCGATATTCCTCTGCCTCAATCATCCCAGGCCCAGGTATTGGGCAATTAGAGACAGTCCCTATACCCCAGAGCCCACTGGAATTATTCAGAGTATCCAATCCTAAACCTACCTAGCCTGTTTACTCTGCCTTACCCATTGCTTCCCAAAAAACCCGCAATGCTTTCCCTTGCTCCTTCTGCCTCCTGGCCAACCTTGGTGCTTCCCCATGTGTCCTGTGTGGTGTGGGGTGCCTGCTCCTCATGGGAACTGTGAGTAACAAACTATATTTTCAATGTAGTCATCTCCTGAGCTGTTGGGCTTACCATTCCTAAATAAACCCAAAATCTCAAGGACATTTTAAAACATCCTGACCCACAAAACCCATGAGTGTATTAAAATGGTTGTTTTATGCCACTAAGTTTTGGGGCATAAGTTGTTATGCAGTAGTTGTAACTGGAACATATAACTTCCCAGCTATATGATATCCTGCACATTTCTTCACCTCAGCCTTTTCATCAGTATAATAAGATGAACAGCAATGACACTGCCTCCTATAGAGCTCCAGTAAGAATTAAATGAAATGTAAGTGCTTAGAGATTGTTAAAGCAAACTAAATATGGCCTGAGAAAGACCCCGTACTTCTTTCTTTCTTTCTTTCTTTTTTTTTTTTTTTTGAGATGGAGTCTCACTCTGTTACCCAGGCTGGAGTGCAGTGGCAAAATTTGGGCTCAGTGCAACCTCCGTCTCCCAGGTCCAAGTGATTCTCCTGCCTCAGCCTCCTGAGTAGCTGGGATTACAGGCATGTGCCACCACACCCGACTAATTTGTTTGTTTGTTTGTTTGTTTTTTGAGACAGAGTCTCGCTCTTTCAGGCTGGAGTGCAGTGGCACAATCTCGGCTCACTGCAACCTCTGCCTCCCGGGTTCAAGCGATTCTCCTGCCTCAGCCTCCCAAGTAGCTGGGACTACAGGTGTGTGCCACCACGCCCAGCTAATTTTTGTATTTTTAGTAGAGATGGGGTTTCACCATGTTGACCTCGATGGTCTTGATCTCTTGACCTCATGATCCGCCTGCCTCAGCCTCCCAAAGTGCTGAGATTACAGGCATGAGCCACCATGCCCAGCCTAATTTTTGTATTTTTAGTAGAGATTGGGTTTCACCATGTTGGCCAGGCTGGTCTCAAACTCCTGGCCTCAGGTGATCTGCCCGCCTTGGCCTCCCAAAGTGCTGGGACTACAGGCATGAGCCACCGCACCCGGCCATCAATATTGTTTTCTAAAAGAGCTTTGACACCCAGGTCACTGGTTCCCAGGGCATCCCTGGATTGTAAGACAAAACTTGCTGTCTTGAGATTCTTCATCCTTCTTCCTACTAGTCTTGTCATTCCCCACTTTTTCAGAGTCCAGTCTCCACACAGTCATTTGGACAGGGAAAGTTTGATACAAAGACTCACTGTAACCAGGAGTTGGAGTACTGAGGGATTGGCTCATAAGACAAGGAGAATGCTAAAGAATAAGGACTAGAAGATATAAGGGGCAGCTCCTAGGCCCTAGGGCTGAGATAGACACCCAAAAAAGAGCTCCTTCCCCACCCTTCCCCCAGGGCTGAAATCCAGACCTCATTGGAGAGGATGGGGCTGTGGCTCACTGGAAGGCAAAAAAGTCATTGTGGTGCTGCACCGGTGGAACTTGCTAGAAATCTGCCATTTAGGTGTGCTGGGGAAGTTGCTCACAGGGAGGTACTGCATCTCAAAACCTGCTGCAAAGCCACCCAAAGAGGTGCCGAGGGAAGCTCCTAGCCATGGTGTGTTGCTGACTGCCACGCGCTGTAGGACCCAGGCACTGAAGAAGCTGCTCACACCACAGGAGCCCACGCTGCTGGAGCCTGGGCTGGAAAACCAGATGTGCTCCAGGGGCCGGGCCATGGAGGAACCTCAAACGTTTCAAGAGGCCGGACATGGTGGTACACACCTGTAATCCCAGCACACAATTAGCTGAGCATGTTGGCACACGCCTGTAGTCCCAGCTACTTGGGAGGCTGAAGTGGGAGGATCCCTTGAGCCCGGGAGGTTGAGGTTGCATTGAGCCATGATCACACCATTGCACCCTAGCCTGGGTGACAGAGTGAAACCCTGTCTCAAAAACAAACAAACCAAAAAAACCCACAGGAGCCTAGTGAGAGGCGCACACAAGAACCAAGGAGAGAAACTCCTAAACCCCTGCCTCCTACAGTGTCCCGCTAGCTCCCTCTACTGACAAAGCTGAGCATTGTGTTAGCTGGAAAAGAAAAAGTACAGGGCTCCTCTCCAGGATCATGGAACTGTACAACAGAGGGTGCATTTGTTGCTGAGAGGCAACAAGTTGATAACTGGCACAGTGGATCAACGCTCAGCTTCCATATCCACTCCTATATACATTTGAATTTCCATGCAATATTGAAACAACTTCATATTTCCGCCTAAAGAAGACCAACTGTCTTTCTTATAAATGAAGAAGTTCTCATCCTCTCTCCAAAATGAGAAGACACACAGTCCCAACAATCATTGCATCACTGGCTTTACTAAATACTTATCAAATGCAGTCATAGTCTCTATTATTTTTTACCTAAAGACTAAATTGTAACATTAGCTTGCATGCAACAACTTACATAGGAAATAAAAATGGAGAGAAAGAGAAACAAAAAAATTAGTACTATGATTTGAATGCTTGTGTCCCTCCAAATTCTTATGTTGAAATCGTAACCCCACAAGGTGGTGGTATTAGGAGGTAGGGACTTTTGGGAGGTGATTATGTCATGAGGGCAGAACCCTCATTAATGGAATAAATGTCCTTATAAAAGAGGCCCCAGAGAGATGTCTTGCCCTTCCACTGTGCGAGGACACAGCAAGAAGGTGCCATCTACGAATTAGGAAACAGGCCCTTACCAGACAATGAATCTGACAGTGCCTTGATTTTGGACTTCTAGCCTCTAGAATAGTAAGAAATAAATTTCTGTTTTTTAGTGAAGGGGTGGCCTGCCCCTCCACACCTGTGGGTATTTCTAGTCGGGTGGGACGAGAGACTGAGAAAAGAAATAAGACACAGAGACAAAGTATAGAGAAACAACAGTGGGCCCAGGAGACCGGCACTCAGCACACCAAGGACCTGCACCGGCACCGGTCTCTGAGTTCACTCAGTTTTTATTGATTATTATTTTTATTATTTCAGCAAAAAGGAACATAGTAGGAGAGCAGGGTGATAATAAGGAGAAGGTCAGCAAAAAACATGTGAGCAAAAGAATCTATGTCATAATTAAGTTCAAGGGAAGGTACTATGCCTGGATGTGCACGTAGGCCAGATTTATGTTTCTCTCCACCCAAACATCTCAGTGGAGTAAAGAATAACAAGGCAGCATTGCTGCAAACATGTCTCGCCTCCCGCCACAGGGCGGTTTTTCTCCCATCTCAGAATTGAACAAATGTACAATCGGGTTTTATACCGAGACATTTAGTTCCCAGGGGCAGGCAGGAGACAGTGGCCTTCCTCTATCTCAACTGCAAGAGGCTTTCCTCTTTTACTAATCCACCTCAGCACAGACCCTTTACGGGTGTCAGGCTGGGGGACGGTCAGGTCTTTCTCATCCCACGAGGCCATATTTCAGACTATTGCATGGGGAGAAACCTTGGACAATACCCAGCTTTCAAGGGCAGAGGTCCCTGCGGCTTTCCGAAGTGCATTGTGCCCCTGGTTTATTGAGACTAGAGAATGGCGATGACTTTTACCAAGTATACTGCTCATAAACATTTTGTTAACAAGGCACATCCTGCACAGCCCTAGATCCCTTAAACCTTGATTTCATACAACACATGTTTTTGTGAGCTCCAGGTTGGGTCAAAGTGGCTGGGGCAAAGTGTCTGGGGCAAAGCTACAAATTAACAACATCTCAGCAAAGCAATTGTTTAAAGTACAGGTCTTTTTTCAAAATGGAGTCTCTCATGTCTTCCCTTTCTATATAGACACAGTAACAGTCTGATCTTTCTTTTCCCTACAGTTTAGAAGCTAGAAGCTACCTGCTGGCTGGGCATAGTGGCTCAGGCCTGTAATTCCAGTACTTTGGAAGCCCAAGGTGGAAGGATCGCTTGAGGCCAGGAGGTTGAGACCAGCCTGGGCAATAGAACAAGATCTCATCTCTACACCCTACCCCACCCCAAAAAAAGCAGCAGCAGCATTAGCAGCAGCAGCTACCTAGTCTATGATATTTTGTTATAGCAGCCCCTGAACAGACTGAGGCAGCATGTAAAAAAGTCCCACATATACAGAACAAACAGAAAGAAAATATGCAAAACTACTACTATAGTCCAGGTGGCTGGTCACTAGACCAGGCTAGTAATCAGTCACAAGGCCATAATTGATATCTATGCCTTCCTTCTTTCACTACTCATTCCCTATTTCCCCTAATTTTAGCTAGAACCGCAGATGAGTGAATTTTTTTACCTGTTGAAGTAACCCAAACCTTCATTTCTTTCTTTTTTTTTTTTTTTTTTGAGATGGAGTCTCCTTCTGTCGCCCAGGCTGGAGTGCAGTGGTGAGATCTTGGCTCACTGCAGCCTCCACCTCTCGGGTTCAAGCGATTCTCCTGCCTCAGCCTCCCGAGTAGGACTACAGGCACGCGCCATCATGTCTGGCTAATTTTTGTATTTTTAGTAGAGATGGGATTTCACCATGTTGGCCAGGCTTGTCTTGAACTCCTGAACTCAAGTGATCCACCCACCTCGGCCTCCCAAAGTGCTAGGATTACAGGCATGAGCCACCGCACCCTGTCTGAAGTTTCATTTCTGAAAGGCCTGAGATGTCAATCTTCCTGCCTTCTTTTGGCTACTAGTTTCCCATTGACCTTTACTACTGGGCATGGAGGTACCACTTGGTACACCCTGAGGATCCTCTGGTTTCCAGACATAGTCCTCCTATTCACATGTAGCAGACAGACTGTAAGGTAGTTCCCCACTATGTCTGTTTTCTGGTATTCACATTTTTGGGGTTTTTTGTTTTTTGTTTGTTTTGTTTTGTTTTGAGATAGAGTTTTGCTCTGTCGCCCAGGTTGGAGTGCAGTGGTGAGATCTTGGCTCACTGCAACCTCCACCTCCTGGATTCAAGCTAATCTCCTGCCTCAGCCTCTCAAGTAGCTGGGATCACAGGCTCATGACACCACGCCTGGCTAACTTTTTGTAGTTTTAGTAGAGATGGGGTTTCACCATGTCGGCCAGGCTGGTCTTGAACTCCTGACCTCAAGTGATCCACCCACCTTGGCCTCCCAAAGTGCTGGGATTACAAGCATGAGCCACCACGCCCGGCCTGGTATTCACACTTTTATGTGTTCCCCACACCTTGAGTAGGAACAGGACCTGAGAGTGACTGCTAACCAGAAGGAGCCCAGGCCACGGCAAAGGTGATGGTACTCCCATGGTTATGTTATGTGATGTCATACTCCCATGGTTATGTTATGCTAGTCTATGAGTCTGTCTTGCTTGCAGACTTGCTCTAGAGACTCTCCTTGCTGGCTTGATGAAGTAAGCGGCCATTAGCGAAAGCCCATCTGTCAAACAACTGTGGAATACCCCAGGGAGCTGTGAACAGCCTCCAGCTAGCAAGAAATCATGGCTGGGCACGATGGCTCACGCCTGTAATCCCAGCACTTTGGGAAGCCAAGGCGGGCGGATCACCTGAGGTTGGGAGCTCGAGAACAGACTGACCAACATGGAGAAACCTCATCTCTACTAAAAATACAAAATTAGCCAGGCGTGGTGGCACATGCCTGTAATCCCAGCTACTCAGGAGGCTGAGGCAGGTGAATCGCTTGAACTTGGGAGGCAGAGGTTGCGATGAGCTGAGATCACGCCATTGCACTCCAGCCTGGGCAACAAGAACAAAACTCCATCTCAAAAAGAAAAAGAAGAGAAATCAGGCCCCAGTCCTATAGCAAGGAAATGAATTCTGCCAACACTTTGAATGAGCTTGGAAGAGGCTTCTTCCCCTGCCAGGCCTCCAGGCTCCCAGGTGCAGCCTTGGCCAACACCTTGATTACAGCCTGTGAGTCCTGAGCAAACAACCCAGCTGAGCCCTGCCCACTTTCCTGACCCACAGAAACTGTGGATCAATAAATGGGTATTGTTTTAAGCCAGTAAGTTTGCGGCAATTTGTTACACAGTAGTAGAAAACTCACCTGGTGCAGTAGCTCACGCCTGTAATCCCAGCACTTTGGGAGGCCGAGACGGGTGGATCACCTGAGGTCAGGAGTTCAAGACCAGCCTGGCCAACATGGTGAAATCCCATCTCTACTAAAAATACAAAAATTAGCAGGGCATGGTGGCGTGCACCTGTAATCCCAGCTACTCGGGAGGCTGGGGCATGAGAATCGCTTAAACCTGGGAGGCAGAGGTTGCAGTGAGCTGAGATCGTGCCACTGAACTCCAGCCTGGGTGACAGAGCAAGACTCTGTCTCAAAAAAAAAAAATTCTGCCAGTGGGTTACTAGAGATAGTAGTAAGTGGATGCACTCCCACTTCTACCCTTGATTCCTGGATTCATGAGTTCTAGCTATGGAAGAGATTCAAATAATGATTCAAAGTATATATTGCATGTCGTAAGACAGAATCCATCCTTTCTGTGTCTTGTCTCCTGAATAGCACTGTAACTGAGTCTTCAGTAAACCATTCCACCTTTGCCTTTGTTTTGTTTGTTTGTTTGTTTGTTTGTTGTTGTTGTTTGAGATAGAGTTTTGCTGTTGTTGCCCAGGCTGGAGTGCAATGCTGTGATCTCACCACAACCTCCACCTCCCTGGTTTAAGCGATTCTCCTGCCTCAGCCTCCCGAGTAGCTGGGATTACAGGCATGTGGCACCATGCCCAGCTAATTTTGTATTTTTAGTAGAGATGGGGTTTTTCCATGTTAGTCAGGCTGGGCTCAAACTCCCGACCTCAGGTGATCCACCCAGCTCGGCCTCCCAAAGTGCTGGGATTACAGGCGTGAGCAACCGTGCCGGGCCCTCCATTCCACCTTTTAACTAGCCCAGCTATTTTCAGGTGATGGAGTAGGTGGTAAAACTAGTTAATTGCAGCCGGGCGTGGTGGCTCATGCCTGTAATCCCAGCACTCTAGGAGGCTGAGGCGGGCGGATCACAAGGTCAGGAGATCGAGACCATCTTGACTAACATGGTGAAACCCCGTCTCTACTAAAAATATAAAAAATTAGCTGGACGTGGTGGTGGGTGTCTGTAGTCCCAGCTACTCGGGAGGCTGAAGGCGGGAGAATGGCGTGAACCCAGAAGGTGAAGGTTGCAGTAAGCCGAGATTGCGCCACTACACTCTAGCCTGGGCGACAGAGCGGGACTCCATCTCAAAACAACAACAACAACAACAACAACAACTAGTTAATTGCATGGCCTTGAACCCATTGCTGTGAAATGAGTTATCTGACCAGAAGTATTGTTATGGGGAATCCCACGATGGTAAATAAGGCATTCTGTGAGTCCATGGGTGCTGTTCCTGCAGAAGCATAATGGGCAAGGAAGGCAAATCCATATTCAGAATATGTGTCTATTGCAATGAGGACAAATCTCAGCCCCTCCATGATAAAACAGGTGCAGTGTAATGAACTTGCCACAGGTGGCTGGTTGGTCCCCTCTGTGAGTGGTGCCATATTGGAGGGCTTTGTATGGGTCTCGGCTGTTGGCAGATTAGGCACTCAACAGTGATGTTATCTAGGTCAGCTTTGGAAAGATGAAGTTCACATAACTGAATCCCTGGGCAGCCTCCATCTATGCCACCATGGCCACTTTGTTTATGGGCTCATTGCACAAGAACTTGGGAGGCGAGAGAAAGGGGCTGACAGACATCTAGAGCATGCTGTCAATTCTCCTGCTCTCTGTCATGTACAGTCCTAGCAGGCCAGACACGGTGGGTCAAGTCTGTAATCCCAGCACTTTGGGAGACCAAGTGGGCAGATTGCTTGAGCTCGGGAGTTCAAGACCAGCCTGGGCAACATGGGAAAACCCCATCTCTACAAAAAATACAAAAATTAGCTGGGCATGGTGACATACACCTGTAGTCCCAGCTACTCGGGAGGCTGAGGCAGGAGGATGGCTTGAGCTGAGGAGGGGGAGGTTGCAGAGAGCCGAGATCGTGCCACTGCACTCCAGTCTGGACGACAGGGCCAGACCCTGTCTCAAAAAAAAAAAACAAAACAAAACGAAAAAACAGAAAACAGCCCTAGCAGATCTTGATAATTTTGACATTCCACAAAACATCACGATGGTCTATTACATTGACAAAATTATGCTAAGTTGGTCTGATAAGCTGAAAATAACGCATACTTTAGATGCCTTAGTAAAACTTACGTGACCTGGAGGGTAGGAGATAAACCCCATGAAAATTCAGGGTCGGCCAGGCATGGTGGCTCACGCCTGTAATCTCAGCACTTTGGGAGACCAAGGCAGGTGGATGACCTGAGCTCAGGAGTTCAAGACCAGCCTGACCCACATGGTGAAACCCTGTCTCTACTAAAAATACAAAAATTAGCCGGGTGCAGTTGCAGGCGCCTGTAATCCCAGCTACTTGGGAGGCTGAGGCACGAGAATCTTTTGAACCCGGGCAGCGGAGGTTGCAGTGAGCTGAGATTGAGCCACTGCACTTCAGCCTGGGCAATAGAGTGAGACTCTGTCTCAAAAAAAAAAATAATAATAATCAGGGGCTGCCCATGTTAATGAAGTTTCGCTCTTGTTGCCCTGGCTAGAGTGCAATGGCACGATCTTGGCTCACTGCAACCTCCACCTCCTGGGTTCAACTGATTCTCCTGCCTCAGCCTCCCCAGAGATTACAGGTGTGCCCCACCACACCTGGCTAATTTTTGTATTATTAGTAGAGATGGGGTTTCACCATGTTGGCCAGGCTGGTCTTGAACTCCTGACCTTAGGTGATCCACCTGCCCTGGCCTCCCAAAGTGCTGGTATTACAGGTGTAAGCCACCATGCCCGGCCGATATAATTTTAAATTTACAAAAGTGTTGTAAGAATGATTCAAGAAATTTCCATGTGACTATTATTTTGATATTCTCTCTCTTTCCCTTTCTCTCTCTTTCAGAGCAGGCTATCTTTCATTCTGAACCACTTGAGATTGAATTGGAAACATCATGTCCTTTAACTCCAAATACTTCAGTGTGTATTTCCTAAGAACAAGGGCATTCCCTTGCAGAACTTCAGCATGATTATCAAAATCAGAAGATTTCAATTGATATAATACTCTCTAACTCGCAGTCCATGTTCAAATTTCAACAATTGTCAAATAATGTCTTTTATTGCTATTTCTTTTTGCCCAGCCCAATCTAGGATCACACATTACATTTACTTTTCATGTCTTTTTAGTTTCCTTCAATCTGGAACTATTCCTCAGTCTTCCTTTGTTTTTCTTGACCTTGACATTTTTGAGGAATACAGTCCAGTTCTTTTGTATTTATTTATTTATTTTTAGAGACAGTGTCTGGCTGTGTTGCCCAGGCTGGTCTCGAACCCCTGACCTCAAGCAATCCTCTTGCCTCAGCCTTCCAATGTGCTAGAATTGCAGGCATGAGCCATTGTGGCTGGCCAGTTCTTCTTTTCTTTTTTTCTTTTGAGACAGAGTTTTGCCCTTGTTGCCCAAGTTGGAGTGCAGTGGTGCAATCTCGGCTCACTGCAACCTCTGCCTCCCGGGTTCAAGCTATTCTCCTGCCTCAGCCTCCTTAGTAGCTGGGATTACCAGCGTGCGCCACCAAGCCCAGGGTAATTTTTTGTATGTTTAGTAGAAACGGGATTTCACCATGTTAGCCAGGCTGGTCTTGAACTCCTAACCTCAGGTGACCTGCCCACCTTGGCCTCCCAAGGTGCTGAGATTACAGGCGTGAGCCACCATGCCTGGCTGCCTGGCCAGTTCTTTTATAGAATATCTTTCAGTTTGGATTTGTTTGATGTTTCCTTCTGATTTGATCCAGACTGATTATAGTTTTTTTTTTTTTTGGAGACGGAGTCTTGCTCTGTCACCCAGGCTTGAGTGCAGTGGTGCTATCTAGGCTCACTGCAACCTCTGCCTCCCAGGTTCAAGCGATTCACCTGCCTCAGCCTCCTGAGTAGCTGGGACTACAGGCACGTGCCACCACACCCGGATCATTTTTTGTATTTTTAGTAGAGACAGGGTTTCGCCATGTTGGCCAGGATAGTCTCGAACTCCAGACCTCATGATCCGCCTGCCTCAGCCTCCCAAAGTGCTGGGATTACAGCCGTGAGCCACCGTGCCCAGCCTGACTGATTATGTATTTTTTAGCAGGTATATCACAGAAGTAGTGCTGTGTCTTTCCCAGTACATTGTATCAGGAGGCACATTATGATCACTTGCCCCAGCATTGGTGATGTTAACTTTGATTTTTGATTAACTTGGTGTCTGCTAGGTCTCTCCACTGTAGTCACTACTTTTTTCTTTAGAATTAATAAGTAATTTGTGAAGAGATACGTTTTAGACTATATAAGTATCCTGTTCATCAATAAATTTTCACCCACTAATTCTAGTAGCCACTGATGATTTTCTAACTATGTCATTCCTTCTACATTTACTAGTGAGCATTCTACTGTAAGGAAGGGCTTTCTTCTTTCCCCTGTTTATTTACTGATTGATATTATTGTGGACTTAAGCATTCTTATTTTATTACATTATAATTTATTACTGTTATATTTTATTTTGATGCCTAATTGCCCCATCTTTGGCCAGTGGGAGCCCTTTTAACCTGACTCCTGGTCCTTTGACATGTCTGCATTATTCTTTGAGAACCTCCTTACTTTCTGGCACAACAAGATGTTCCAGGTTCATCTTGAATTTTCTCAACTTCATTCTAGAATCAACCATTTCTCCAAGGATCCATAGTCCCTTTTTGTAGAGAATGGTGATTGAGAGGTCAATATCTGGGTGCTAAGTGTGGTTATTCCCACTAGACTATCGTTGTTTCTAGGCCTTCTTCACCAACAGAGCTGGGGAGTGCACGTGTGTGTGTGAACGTGATTGTTCATATACATACATATGCATATATGTACATGTATGCAAATATATATACATATATATATAGAGAGAGATATATATAGATATACATTTATGGCTTTATTTACTTTTAGAGACAGGGTCTTGCTCTGTCACCCAGGGTAGAGTGCAGTGGCACAACCATAGCTCACTGCAGCCTCAAACTCCTGGGCTCAAGCAATCCTCCCACCTGAGCCTCCTGAGTGGCTGGGATTACAGACGCAAGCCACTGCACCCAGCTATATTTATTTTTGTATCTATTTATCAATATCTTTAAAACCATGAGTTCATACTAGCTATGGATTGAATTGTGGTCCCTCAAGATTCATATGTTGAAGCCCTAACCTCCAGTGTGACTCCACTGGGAACAAGGAAGTAATTAAGATTAAACGAGGTCGTAAGGGTGAAGCCCTGATTCAATAGGATTACTGTCCTTGGCCAGGCACGGTGGCTCACACCTGTAATCTCAGCAATTTGGGAGGTGGGGGCGGGCGGATCACTTGAGGAAAGGAGTTCAAGACCAGCCTGGCCAACATGGTGAAACCCTGTCTCTACTAAAAATACAAAATTCGCAGGGCATAGTGGCACGCACCTGTAATCGCAGCTACTTGGGAGGCTGAGGCAGGAGAATCACTTGAACCGGGGAGGCAGAGGTTGCAGTGGCCGAGATCTCACCACTACACTCTAGGCTAGGCAACAGAGCAAGACTCTGTCTCAAAAAGAAAAAAAAAAAAAAAGATAAGGATGAATGTCCTTGTGAGAAGAGAAGAGACCCCAGAGCTTACTCACAAATGCTCTCTCTGTCTCTCTTTCAGCATGTGAGAACACAGTGAGAAGGTGGCCATCTACAAGCCAAGAAGAGAGCCTTCACCAGAAATGGAATTGGCTGGCATCTTAAGTTTGGACTTCCCAGCCTTCAAAGCTGTGAGAAAATAAATGTTGTTTAAGCCACCCAGTCTACGGTATTTTGTTACAGCAGGCTAATACAATACTGACCTTTAATTCTAATCTACATGAATAGTGTACTTTTTTAGTGCTTCTATAATGTACCATTTTTCTTTTTTCTTTTCTTTTCTTTTTTTTTTTTTTTTTTTTTTGAGACAGGGTTTTGCTCTCGTTGCCCAGGCTAGAGTGCAGTGGCACAATCTCGGCTCACTACAACCTCCACCTTCCAGTTTCAAGCGATTCTCCTGCCTCAGTCTCCCAAGTAGCTGGGACTACAGGCGCCCATCACCACGCCCAGCTAATTTTTTTGTATTTTTAGTAGAGATGGCATTTCACCATGTTGGTCAGGCTGTTCTCGAACTGCTGACCTTGTGATCTACCCGCCTCAGCCTCCCAAAGTGCTGGGATTACAGGCGTGAGCCACGGCGCCCAGCTTGTACCATTTTTCTATAAGGACTTTGCTATTTTTCGCCTGTCCAGATTGTCACTTGATAGAAGAGGGCTATAGTCTAGCTGCCTTGTGTAATGTCATAAGCAGAAGGGGCTTTCTTAAAAAGTTTAGAATGCCCATGATTATTTATCAAGAAAATCAGAGTTAATTCAAAAGTTGCACTGTTGCATGTCAGTTGAGTGTAAAAGTTCTCTCTGCTTTGCCCAGAACAGGACAAATAGCAATAAGAAACCCATGGGAATAAGTGTCAGCCCCATTAGGGAACCATAACTGTCCAGCTGCTTGAACCATTCCTGCAGGATAGAAAGAGGGAAGGAGTCCAATGCTGGTTTAGTGTCTATAGCAAGGTGTATATTAAGAACTCAGCCTACAGTACCTCAATTCATCTTCACAGCAACACTGAAAAGTGGTGTGATTATTCTCATTTTAAAGACAAGAAAAAGAGGCCAGGTTGGGTGGCTCACGTCTGTAATCCCAGCACTTTGGGAGGCCGAGGCAGAGAGATCACGAGGTCAAGAGATAGAGACCATCCTGGCCAACATGGTGAAACCCTGTCTGTACTAAAAATACAAAAATTAGCTGGGCGTGGTGGCACACGCCTGTAGTCCCAGCTACTCAGGAGGCTGAGGCAGGAGAATCACTTGAATCCGGGAGGCAGAGGTTGAAGTGAGCTGAGATTGGGCCACTATACTCCAGCCTGGTGACAGAGCAAGACTCTGTCTCAAAAAAAAGAAAAAAAAAGACAAGAAAATAGGCAGAGGAATTAAGTCATTTGCTTAAGGTAAAACAGCTAGAACCCCCTTCCTAGACTTTACTTCCTTTGAGGGTAAAAACCAGTACTGAGTTGAACCATATTCGAGCCCAAGACAAAAGAAAAAATATATGTCCTATATGCACTTACCTTCCATATTTTGAACCAAATAGAACAAGTGGATAAAAGCATTCCAATAAAAAAAAGACTACATATAAAGTTCCATGTTATTCAATCTGTTCACATGTTATTGTCAACTCTCATAAAGCCACTTGTCAGGACACGCAGTGGCAGTCTGCCTGGGAACCATGGGCTGATTGGTAATGACTGTTCCCATTGCAAAATAATGCAAGGTCATAAACAATAGTCTGCCTATATTTTAAATGTTGATATTCTGTTCATCATGGATTTTTTGCATTAATTTCGATTTTTAAAAATATTGTGTTAAGATATTATTTATCTTGGGTTTCCTGAATTTTTTGGTGCCCTCTTAAATTTTATGCCTGAAGGGAGTTCCTCACTAAACTCACTTTAATCTAGGCCCCTGGGTAAACTCAAGTTTGGGCCTGAATTTCATGAGGTTTCCATTCCCCAGAGTTGACTTTCTCTAAACAGGGCCCCGTCCGGGGTGATTACTGTCTCCAGCACCATTCTGTGGGTCTCAGATGTTACTCCACTTCTGGTGAGGCTTACATGGCCCACACAACTGTGGAGTGCCCCACCTTCTCGCCAGAAGTATTGAATCACAAAGCTGTAACAACAGAAATGGTTCCATTGTGTGGTAAGCACATGGTCACATGCCTGCAAAAATGTTTGGAGATACCAGATACGCTCCACCCAGCCTTAGTCACATCTGAGCCAGAAACCACAAGTTCCCAATTCCTACCTCGGGATGCTCATCTAAGCTCATGGCATCAGAGTTCCTAGGTTCACCCAGCACTGATATGCCAAGAGTCTGGCTTCCCCATTGGTTAGAATGGGCCAGTGGGAGTCACTGGCTCAGAAGCTCAGCCTTTGGTTTAGGAGCCTGCACAGTCCCCTCCTTAGCAAAGTAGTTGGCTGAAAGTCTCTGCACCAATACTTTCCACTGGAGACGAACATCGCTGATTTCTTTGTTCTTTTCAACAGTTCCCCAGGGCTTGAGGAAAAGTGAAGAGAAGCCACTGTAAAAACCTTTTTAACGGGCCGGGCGCTGTGGCTCACGCCTGTAATCCCAGCACTTTGGGAGGCTGAGGCCGGAGGATCACGAGGTCAATTGATCGAGACCATCCTGGCCAACATGGTGAAACCCCATCTCTACTAAAAATACAAAAATTAGCCGGGCATGGTGGCCTGCACGTATAATCCCAGCTACTCGGGAGGCTGAGGCAGGAGAATCGCTTGAACCCGGGAGGCAGAGGTTGCGGTGAGCCGAGATCGTGCCACTGCATTCCAGCCTGACGACAGAGTGCGCCTCCGTCTCAAAAAAAGCAAACAAACAAACAAAAAAACCTTTTAGCGGCCGGGCATGGTGGCTTACGCCTGTAATCCCAGCACTTTGGGAGGCCGAGGCAGGTGGATTACCTGAGGTCAGGAGTTCAAGACCGGTCTGGCCAACATGGTGAAACTGCATCTCTACTAAAAAATACAAAAATTAGCCAGGTGTGGTGGTACGTGCCTGTAGTCTCAGCTACTCGGGAGGCTAAGGCAGGAGAATCGCTTGAACCCAGGGGGCAGAAGATGCAGTGAACTGAGATGGTGCCACTGCACACCAGCTTGGGCAACAGAGTGAGACTCTGTCTCAAAAATACAAAACAAAAAACCCTTTTAGCCACAGCACAACAACACTTACGCTGTTTTTGTGCAGAAGGACAGAGAGAGGAACTGGAGATCATGGGGTGAGGACAAATAGCTCCCAAGCATCCCCTTCACGCTGCAACAAGGAATTCACAAAGCCCCATGTGCTGGCTCTTCCCCTTCCCACCCACAACTTTTACAGAAGAAAAATCAAGCTTAAATGGATAAGAGGTCAGCTATGAAGTAAAAAGGAAGTCAGGGAGACCCAGGAGCCTTTCCTGAGCATTGCTGAACAAGTGCACAAACACTTCATCTTCCAAGGACAAAACAAGCATTTATCAGAGGCCTACTGGACACCCTGCCTCCACTCCTGCCCCCTCCAATCCAAGTTCCAAACTGCAGCCAGAGTGACCTTCTAAAAACACAAACTTGTCATGATGATGAAATTTGCAAAGTGCTGACTGACACTACTGGTACGTGGTAAGTACTATAAAATGCCCGTTACATAAACACAGTACATATAATGCCATTCCTTGTTTAAACCCCTCCAAGGATCACATGCAACCTTCTCTGCCTGCCTCTGCCTTCTACTTCCCACCGTGCTCTCTCTTGCTAGCCTTACTCCGGGTCGCATTTAATTCCTCCGGAGCCAAGCTACCTCCTGGCCCAACCAAATGCCTTTCCCTCTTTCCTTAAAGCAGTCTCCCCAGATCCACTCCTCTTCATTTGACCAGTTTCAACTCCTTCTTTATATCTCAGCTTAAATGCTGCTTCTTCAGCCCTCCTGAACCTCCCAGAGGAAGCTTAGGTTCCTCCATATTTATCCTCTTATAGCCATAACATTGATCACAACTGTAATCACATACTCCATGTTTTAGGTTGTTTAATGCCTGCCTCCCTTACTAGGCTGTAGACTCCCCAGGACAAGGGCTATAGGTCTTTCCGTCTCTCTTGTTTACGGCCTATCAAGGAACTCGGACAGCATAGGTCACTAATGAACATTTCCGAATGCATACAAACTTTAAAATACGGTCTTGTTTAGGTAACCGGCCCAAAGTCGCACAAATGACCCAATATTTGAACCCACGACATTCTGGCTTTGAAGCCCAAGGTCTGACTCCAGCAGACTGCCCCCTCCTCTCCCTCAAAGCCGGAGCCAAACGGTGGGCTGGGAGGGGACTTGAGCGGCAGAGTCTGAGGATCTGCAGAGGGCCACGCGCTGCAAGGCAGTCAGTGCCGCGCGCGCTGGCCTCGGGCCCAGGAGAAGGGGCATCCGTCACGTGTACCCGGCAGGGCCAGCTTTCGCCGCACCCTGGGGCAGGAATGCAGCCCCGCCCAGCTCCCGCGCCAGCAAAACCGCGCTGGCCCTGGGGACTGACGTCAATGAAGGGGGCGCCTCGGGCGCCGCGCGGGGGCGGAGAGGGCGGTGGGCAGGGCCCGGGCAGACACGCCCCCTCACCGCCGCTCCGCCGCCGATTAGGTTTGAGGAAGCTTCGCACTCCGCTTTCGAGGCCAGCGGAGGCGGGGGGCGGGGATGGACACGCCCCCTCCCTGTCTCCCACCGATGATTGGCGCACGGAACTCCGCCTTGGGTTTGGAAGGCTCGCCTGGGAGCTCATACCTGGCTAGGGCCGAGGATTGGCTGTTCCGGGGCTAGGGAGCGCTTTCTCCCGGGAACCGCGGCTGTGACCCAAGTGGCCCGGACCAGTTTGGGGCTGCGTGCGGCCTGCCTCAAGCAACCAGGTACGTAGGTCGGCGGCCCAGCTCGGCGCTGCGGTGGGAGCCGGAGGGCGACAGTCAGAGCCGGGGTGCCAGCGGGACGCGACCGCCAGATCCACTTAGGACCCCGTCGTTCTGCGAAGCGGCCACGTCTGAGTCCCGGGGCCTCCTCGTGCTGCAGATGTCGCCTTAGGACCTCGGCCAGGATACCCTCTGCCATGCTCTTGTGCTGCCCGTGATCACCGACTGGCCCTTGTAAGCACCTTCGCAGAGCTGCGCCTGCCCTTTCTGAAGGCTGTGGAAGAGGTTGGAGTGGGCGCATCTTAGCTTGCCCCATCCCCATTTGAGGTCTGTCGGAGCTGCCCTTCAGTGTGGTGAGTACCTGCTCCAATTCTCCACCGGGCAGTGGAGTGCAGAGGGTACAGAGGCTAGCTTGGGAGTCCTGACTTTGGATCCCTCCCTGCTCCTTCCACAATCTACAGAAGCAGATAGCCTCCGAAAGGCTTCTGGGACCGACCTTCCCCAGAAGACCTCCTCAGCCATCTGGCAGGAACAAAAATAACAGTGGCTTGAGAGCCCGGGTGCTGGGGTCAGACTGCCTGGGTTCATGTCCCAGCTTCCATCACCTGCCAGCTGTGTGACTTTGGGTGTAGCTTTCTCATCTGTAAAATGGGTATAACAATAGTGCCACCTTAAGTGAGGAGGAAAGAAAGCACCCATCTGAACGTGCTCTGTTCTGCGCTTGACACTGAACAAGCTGCCTCTATGATTTTAATCATAAAGCTATGATTTAAAAGTACACAGATTTGTTGATGGCTGTGATGATGAAAATGACAATGATTCTATAGCCCCTGGTAGTCAAACAGCCTTTCCCTTCATCATTTATTCATTCAACCAGCATGCATAGAATGTCTGTGGTATACCAGGTACTAGAAGGAATGCCGTCACAAACTTAATCTCCCTTTTCCTGTTAAGAGTTATTTATACTCACCATTTATTTTAAAAAGCTTATTTAAAATTTTATAGAGGCAGTCTTGCTATGTTGACCAGGCTGGTCTGGAACTCCTGGGCTCAAGCAATCCTCCCACCTCAGCCTCCCAAAGTGCTGGGATTACAGGCGTGAGCCACCAGGCCTGGCCTTATACTATTTTGATGACGAGCAACTTGTGGCAGGGGAAACTGAGACTTATCCAAGGTCACCCAGTTAGCAGCACAGCCAGAATTCAGGGTTCTAGAAATCTTGAAAGGGTTATCCCTAGATCTAGTAGCAGTTTATTTCCAGGTCATATATGAGAACTGGTCTGGGGAAAGGGCCCAGTTCCTTTCTCCACCTCCAGGGGCATGGATTTGGAGGCCAATGTATATCCAGTTGTCTCGGCATACCTCCCTGAGGCTAGGCCCTGCTGGTGGGGAAGCCCACACAGCGATTTGAACTGGGCTTCCCATTTGAGGAGCCACAGATTTTGGCTGCTGTCCAGTGGCATGTCTGTATAGGATAGCAGGCCAGGGTCCCAAGTGTTGATTCAGGCCTTGGGCCAGAGCCTCCAGTAATTTTTCTAAGAGCCCCTAGGCCCCTGATTACAGAGATTATTGCTATCACCTGGGTTATTGGAAGGGGGCCTCCTCCTGCATGAGGACCTAGGAGTTGCCAGCTCACCCAAATGTGTTCTGCCTCTGGTGGTTACCTGTGCCTCCCTGGGACTGCAGTGAGATACTCTCCTAGAATAGCTGTCTGAACTGAACTTCATATATTGCAAAGAGTGCTCAATTGCGCGCCATATTTATATATTGCAAATTCATTGCATGGTGAGTCACTTTTTAAATATATTTCTTTGTTAGGGTTCCACAGTTCTTCACTTATTGCCTGTTTCAAAACAAGTTGAACTTTGTCATTTTCAATGTTTGGTATTTCCTTTGGGGTTCACTTTCAACCTAGTTTGTGTCAAATTGAAGTATTTTGCAATTGGTCTTTACTCGTTTGTACACAGACCCATACTTACCTTCTTTTATGTCAGTTCTGAAATGAAAGGTCCATTTGTAATCTTTTAATAGCCCCATGGTTTCATTTTCTAGTTTTCAAAAGTACTATTGTGCAAGTATACACTGACTTTTCCTGGACTAAGGTCTTCTCCAGGAAATTGGAGGGAAAATAACTATTGAACACATGGAATGAGACAGGAAAAGTTTCCTTTGATAATAAAAGTGTTCTGATTCGACATTTCATCGGTTTTCCCAAAACTTAACCATCTAATCCTACCTGGAATCAGCCTAGTTTTATTCCCAGCCTCACTCTGCTGTCTGAATCCCAGAATAAGAGACAGAGCCAAGAGTGAGGGGCTTGGCCGGTCATGGTGGCTCACGCCTATAATCCCAACACTCTGGGAGGATGAGGTGGGTGGATCACTTGAGGTCGGGAGTTCAAGACCAGCCTGGCCAACATGGTGAAACCTTGTCTCTACTAAAAATACAAAAATTAGTCGGGCGTGTGGTGGGCACCTGTAATCCCAGCTACTTGGGAGGTTGTTGAGGCAAGAAAATTGCTTGAACCTTGGAGGCAGAGGTTGCAGTGAGCTGAGATTGCGCCACTGCACTCCAGCGTGGGTGACAGAGTGAGACTCCGCCTCAAAAAAAAAAAAAAAAAAGAGTAAAAAGAGTGAGGGGCCTCAAAATCTGGAGGTGCTAGGCCCTCCCTAAGGTTCAAGGAGGGTTGAGGCTGGAGGCTCAGACTCTCCCTGAGGGTTTCTTGGTATGTTTGTGACTCGCAGCTCGCTGAAGCTGTGGAGTCAAAGCCTTGCCATCCTGGGAGAGGTTGTTGGGAAGTCAGGCTCCAAGCCATTTCCTCCCCGAGGCAGCTGCTGCTACATGATCCTTATTGCCCTTCTTTTCCTGGGGAGGTGAGGCCAGATATCACCCTTTCTCCTACTACCCCAGACCTGCCTAGGCGTCTGCCCCGGGCTTGGTCATTGCCAGCTGAGGTCACTAGGGAGCTTTAGAGCTGTGAGTTCTGTTTTCTACCAGATGCTAACCCCAGGGCCCACTGCAGCAAAACAACATAGAGTAGGGAGGAGAAAGGGAGCTACTGGCTGGGGAATTTCCTAGCACCCAGTTAGCCAGACCTGTCCACACATTGCCCCTAGGCTTTGGCAGACAAGTAGCTCCGTTCCTCCTTCTGTACAGACTTACCTGCGGGTGGAATTGTTGACTCTCAGCACTGGTGCAGGCCCTCAGAAACAAACAGCATCAAGCTGTTCTTATAGCAGTAACAGGGAAGCTGACCCACAGAGGGGATGTGAATTGCCTGAGGTTTTTCAGCCAGTGAGTGGCAGAAGTAGGGCTTGAACCGACTCCTCTGACTCGTAAGCCAGGGCTCTGTGCACTGGGCTGGGTTGCAGTTCTTGATTTCTTCTGTGGAAGCTGGGCTCTTCCTCTTTAGAGTGCTACGGCTCAAGGCTGGGCTGTCACCCAGGAAAGAGCCCTGACCCTAGAGAACAGACTAACGAAATTCCACAGCTCCACCCCTGCCTCCACCAGGTGGGATAATTCATTGTCCTTCCCTTTCCATTGGTAGGATTTCCCCTTCATGAATTAGGTGGGAATAGGAAAGCATTCTTCATAGAAATGTGAAGTGTTCTTTAAGCTGCCTGGCTGTGAAGCCAGCTCGGGGGTTTAAAAGCGTGGGCTGACCGGGCGCAGTGGCTCACACCTGTAATCACAACACTTTGGGAGGCCAAGGCGGGTGGATCACCTGAGGTCAGGAGTTCAAGACCAGCCTGACCAACATGGTGAAACCCTGTCTTTACTAAAAATACAAAAAATTAGTCGGGAGTGGTGGGGGACGCCTGTAATCCCAGCTATTCGGGAGGCTGAGGCAGGAGAATCACTTGAACTCAGGAGGTAGAGGTTGCAGTGAGCTGAGATTGCAACACTGCACTCCAACCTGGACAACAAGAGCAAAACTCACTCTCAAAAAAAAAATAAAAATAAAAGCATGGGCTGCAGTCATTTGAACCACCTCTGGCCTCGGCTAAGCCACTGGTACTCATATTTGCATCTTAGCTTCCCTTTACTTCCCTGTGAAATGGGATAACAGTCCCTAACTCCTAGAATTGTTTTGAGGATTAAAGGATATCATACGTATTGCCTGATCCAGAGTAAATATCCCATAGTTAGCTTTTCTTTTTATCAGCCTAAAAGTGTTACTTGGCGACTGTTGTCTTCTTGTCACAGTGTGTTTATGTCATCCAGCTCTGGGGGCTTAATTACCATATAGATTAGGTTTTAACTGGATTTTCATAATAGCACCTAAGGAGAGGCAGATTTTTAAATTTCCATTTTCCAAATAAAATACAATTTTCATGACGTTAACTCATCTGGAAGTCTTCTGCAGCTTTATTGTAGTTGTTAAATCTTTTGAAAACAGGGTGGAGTTTTTATGATAGAAGGCCTGGAAACTGGGACAGAGTGAGCATAGAAATGATTGGGATAATGAGGGTGACTATTGAGGTGAGGAGCGGAGAAGGCCAGGGCAAGGGGGGGAGTCATATTTTGGGAGTATGAGTGGGGCGGAGACAATTCAAACTCTTACAGAGAACAAAAGGCAGGTTAGGGGAAGGGTTACTTCTGCAAGTGGGTTGATAGGAAATTGGAAAAGTTTTTATATATAAGCTTTTGTACTGTTTGCCTCTTATGATGAGCATGTAAATATTTTAATTTAAAAATATTTTAATGTTCCTTTTCCCCTTTTGGAAGCTGGTTGCTGTTGACAGCTGTCTCTGTAGCTGGCTGTGGAATGAGGTCTGACTTAGGCAACCAGGCCCTGGAGAAGCAGCAGGACCTGCTCCTCCTCTCCCCAGCAGGCCTGGGGCTGGGAGAGATGGGTGGGAGCACAGGCCTGTCATCAGCTGGCTGTGCCACACAGCTTAGAGGAAAGAGGAGGGTTTACCTGTACCCCTGACCCAGGTACAAAGGTCACAGAGGCCAACAGAGGAGGATTTGCGTTTATAAATTCCTCAGTATCCATGGAGGGTGGTTCCAGGCTCCTCCGTGGGACGCTTAAGTCACTTACATAAAATGCCATGTTGGCCTATAGACTGCGCACATCCTCCTGCATGCTTTAAATCATCTCTAGGGTACTTATAATACCTAATACAATGTGAATGTTTTGTAGTTACAATGTATCTATTTTTTATTTGTATTTTTTAATTGTTGTATCATTGTATTCTTTTTTTCTTTTTTTTTTTTTTTTCTTTTTTTTTGAGACGGAGTCTCGCTCTGTCGCCCAGGCCGGACTGCGGACTGCAGTGGCGCAATCTCGGCTCACTGCAAGCTCCGCTTCCCGGGTTCACGCCATTCTCCTGCCTCAGCCTCCCGAGTAGCTGGGACTACAGGCGCCCGCCACCGCGCCCGGCTAATTTTTTGTATTTTTTAGTAGAGACGGGGTTTCACCTTGTTAGCCAGGATGGTCTCTATCTCCTGACCTCATGATCCACCCACCTCGGCCTCCCAAAGTGCTGGATTACAGGCGTGAGCCACCGCGCCCGGCCGTATTCTTTTTTTTAAGACGGAGTTTTGCTCTTGTTGCCCAGGCTGGAGTGCAATGGCGGGATCTCGGCTCACCGCAACCTCTGCCTCCTGGGTTCAAGTGATTCTCCTGCCTCAGCCTCCCGAGTAGCTGGGATTACAGGCATGCGCCACCACGCCCGGCTACTTTTGTATTTTTAGTAGAGACGGAGTTTCTCAATGTTGGTCAGGCTGGTCTTGAACTCCTGACCTCAGGTGATCCGCCCGCCTCACCTCCCAAAGTGCTGGGATTACAGGTGTGAGCCACCACGCCCAGCCATATCATTGTATTCTTAAATTTTTTATTTATCCTCTTATTGGGTAACTGATATAATTTTATTTAGCTCTTATTGGGTAACTGATATACTGGGCTCATTTATCCTTACTATAACCCTAAGAAGTGGGTAATCTTATCCCCATTTGACAGTTAAGGAAACAGGCTCAGAGACGAGGTTGGGTAACTTGCTTAAGGTGTCAGAGTTGGAACTCAAAACCTGTTCTATGTAATGCCAGGCTTCCCTTGTTTCCAGGCTGTGCTGGAGACAAGGATGGGTGGGTAAGCTTCTTAGGCCTTTATTATTCAAAGTGAACTATCTAGAATCAAGGGAGATCCTTTAATTTTCACTTCCTGGATATGATGGGAGACATTGACACAGAGTCTAACTTCTATTGAACTTTCTTATAAGTTTCAGTCTCTGCCCTTGACAGTATATTCTAACCCTTGTAGCCTCCTCTTCTGCCTCCACCTCTTGCTCATTAGGTCCACTGGACTGTGGTTAGATCTGATTGGCTCATTTCATACTATGTTTGCTAAATTATACAGATTTGGTTCATCCCCAGGGTCTTAAAGATAGGAGGTGGGATGATGTCTCAATTTTATAGATTGAAAACACTGACCACTATTCTATATACTTTGTCTTCCTTCAATCTTCAAATTAATCCTACAAAGTAGGTAGTAGTACTAGGTGATAATTTGACACGGGAGGCAGCTGAGGCAGGGGGGATGCCCAGCCAGTAAGTGGTGGAGGGGGTAGAAGTGGGATTCCAACTCGGGTAGCCCAGCTCCACAACTCCTCTCTTACCTTTGTGCTACGGCACCTGGGCCTTAGCATCAGAGAGGCCTGGGTTCTCATCCTAGTTGCAGAACCATGGATGACTTAACCTTTCCTCAGATTCCTCATCTGTGAAATGAGGAGGATTAAAATACCTACCTTACAGGGCTGTTGTGCTTGTTACATCTCATTGATACTATGTGAAGCAAGCTGTTACAGGTGCCTGGTATAAGTACTCAACACAGTTGAGCTGCTACTGGGCATCCTGGCGTCTGCATGGAATCTACAGCTAGACAGACCTGGGTTCAACTGCTGGCTCTGCATGTGCACGTGGCTTTGTGACGCTGGCAAGTCATTTAACCCCTCTGAGTTGCACTTCTTCATCGGTAAAATGAGGATAAACAATAATTCTTACCTCATGGGTTGCTTTGAATCCTAAATGAGATAATATGGGGGTCTGACACATAAGTGCTTAAGTGATTTTAAGGCAGGAGACTTCCTCCAGTTTAGCTCTTGGAGAATGGAAACATCAGAAGCCCTAGGATTAGCCAGGACCCCCAGGTCTGGGAAGGACCAGCTGAGTTGATGATGTCTCCATGCTTTGCATCCTCAGAGCATCCACAATGGGTACCCCAGCCTCGGTGGTCAGTGAGCCACCCCCTTGGCAGGCCCCGATTGAGGCCCGGGGCCGCAAGCAGGCCTCGGCCAACATCTTCCAGGACGCCGAGCTGCTGCAGATCCAAGCCCTGTTTCAACGCAGCGGGGACCAGCTGGCCGAGGAACGGGCACAGATCATCTGGGAATGTGCAGGGGACCACCGTGTGGCTGAGGCCCTCAAGAGGCTGCGCAGGAAGAGGCCCCCAAGGCAGAAACCCCTGGGCCACTCGCTACACCACTGCAGCCGCCTCAGGTAGGTTCCTAGAACCGGATGGCTGAGGGAAGAGCACTAATGCCTGTTCCACCACTGCATGGCTGTGTGGCCTGGAGCTAGTTACTTGGCCTCACTGTAAAGTGCCTGCCCACCATTGGGGTGGTTATAAGGTCTACACAGTGTCACCACTTGGTTGGCACTTAAGAGATTGCTGTTGGTGGGTGCAGTGGCTCATCCCTGTAATCCCAGCACTTTGGGAGGCCGAGGCAGGCAGATCACTAGGTCAGGAGTTTGAGACCAGCCTGACCAACATGGTGAAACCCTGTCTCTACTAAAATTACAAAAATTAGCTGGGTGTGGTGGCACACACCTGTAATCCCAGCTACTCAGCAGGGTGAGGCAGGAGAGTCACTTGAATCTGGGAGGTGGAGGTTGCAGTGAGCTGAGATGACGCCACCGCACTCCAGCCAGCCTGGGTGACAGAGCGAGACTCTGTCTCAAAAAAAAAAAAAAAAAGATTGCTGTTACTTTTGGAGTCATATACAACCCTGTGAACTCCCATGGAAAGAGATGCCTGAGTCCTAGTAGCATCACCTCATTCTGCCGTTATTCTCAGCTTACCAGCCTGGGCAACATGGCGAGATCCTGTCTCTGAAAACACACACACACACACACACACACACACACACACACACACACACACACACACACACACACACACACACACACACACACACACACACACACACACACACACACACACACACACACACACACCCTCCCCCCGCCAAAAAAAAGAGAAATTAGCCAGGCATGGTGGCATGCACCTGCGGTCCCAGCTACTCCAGGGGCTGAGGTAGGAGGATCACTTGAGGCCAGGAGTTTGAGGCTGCAGTAAGCTATGATCCTGTCACTGCACTCCAGCCTGAGTGACCTGAGTGACAGAGTGAGATTCTCTTTTTTTTTTTTTTTTAAGCCTAATTAAAATCTTGGCTGGGGGATTACAGAGAATATAGCCTAGGAATGTACTGTCGAGGCATTATGGGTTAAAAATTGTTGAAAACTTTTACCTTGAGATCTCTCCCCAGTCTCCCTGGTGGGCCACTTCTTTGCCTAGGCCACTGCCAGCCCAGGAAGAGTGAACCCAAAGGGATGGAGCTGAACCACTTGGCCTCAACCAATCACTATGGGTGATGCTCTGGGCTTCATCTCTCTGCTGCCTTCTCTGGGGCCCACAATCAGAACATCAGACCTAAACAGGCCTTTGGAGGTCATCAGGTCCTGAGATGGCAAGTCAGTGTCATAGCTTGTATTTAACTCCAGTTAATTAGTAGTCACTGCTTATCAAACCAGTTTAATAGCATGACTTATGACATCTGCCATGAGTACAGGATGAGGATGAAGAAATGTTGAGTTTTGCACAACCTGATCTGGTCCAACCCTTTCTACTGCAGAGAAATCTGTAAACTTTGTCTAGTCAGACAGTTCTCAGAGGGGGAAAGACCAGAGCAGAGCCCCGCTCTCATTTTGCTCCAAATCATATGTTTTATGGTCCACCATGACGAAATCTCTTGAAGTCCCCATTCCATTCTTCCTATTGATGTTGGCTAATCATACACTTGTTCTCTGCAGAATCCTGGAGCCCCACTCTGCACTGGCCAACCCACAGAGTGCCACAGAGACAGCCTCCAGTGAGCAGTATCTGCACTCTAGGAAGAAAAGTGCCAGGATCCGCCGGAACTGGAGGAAGTCAGGCCCCACAAGCTACCTCCACCAGATCAGACACTGATCCAGGGAAAGAGCCAGGAATGGCAGTGTCTTCCCTCTTGCCAAAAGGCCTGGGGAGGTGAAGGAAGAGAGACTTTAGGCAAGCAGCCCAAAGGGGTAAATGAAAGCAAGAGGCTGCTGCCACTGACCTGCTCCATTCAGAACAAGACTGGATGCTTCTGTTGAGCTCTCCATTATGTGGGACCCATTCCTCACCAAAATGAGGAGAGACAGTGACTGTTCCTGCCACAGTCCTTCCCAGTCTAACACTATTCCTGGGCTGCATGATATTCCCCTGGGAGCAAAGTGACAGGCACTTAGATGCAGCATTTCACCACTCATGCTACTAATCATCTACCTGCTACTACTGTAAACCATGGTTCCAGCAGCCTGTTCCACACCCCCACACCATCAGGATAGCACAGGGAAACTGTAGTTTAAGTGGCAAATAAAAACATTTGCATCAAGAGCTGTGTGAGTCTGTCACAGAAGGGGAGGAAATGAAACAGAGTGGGAGGGGCAAGAGTGTCCCCAGGAAGGAAAAATCAGGGCTGGCCTCCTCTCTCCTTTTCACCTCCCTCTCCTTTTTCACCCCCATGCTGAGCCCCTGGACCACAGCCTCCTTTTCCAGAGTCTGTTGGATCGGGAGTAAAGAGGGGAGTCTCTGCAGCAGTCCTGATCCATAGGATCAGGAGAAGGGGGAAGACTGTCATGGTCAGCCCAGCACAGTAGGCTGAGGCCTTGGGCTGGCTTAATCTGTAGTCAAACTAGTGGTGCCAGATCCTCATTTGGTTTCTTCATCCTTATGGGCTGACCATCCCAAGGTGGACTGATGATTCTGAAGTTGCCTGCGTTATATCCTAGGCTTCCCATGGCCTGGAAACCCTTGAAGGCAGGGTTTTTCCCACAGTTCTGGCTCCACCTCAAGAGAGGCATACTCTGTGCTTATTAGCTTTCTTCTCCCTCTCCACCCACCCTATATGCTTGATTATTCAGGGTTTGAAGTGGGGCAGTGATGTACACAGGGCAGGGCTGCCCTCTGGTGGCCAAGAGGAGGAACCACTACTACCTTGAGTCAGGTAGGTCCTCTTTTTTATTTTATTGTTTATTTATTTATTTATTTATTTTTATTTACTGAGAGACAAAGTCTTACTCCAGGCTGGAATGCAGTGGTGCAATCTCGGCTCAGTGCAACCTCCAACTCCCGGGTTCAAGTGATTCTCCTGCCTCAGCCTCCCAAGTAGCTGGGATTACAGGCGTGTGCCACCACACCCAGCTAATTTTTGTATTTTTAGTAGAGACGAGGTTTCGCCATGTTGGCCAGGCTGGTCTCAAACTCCTGACCTCAAGCAATTCACCCACCTCAGCCTCCCAAAGTGCTGGGATTACTGGTGTGAGTCACTGCACCCAGCCTGTAGGTCCACATTTCTTATCCCAAGCCCTTGGCACTAGATTATTTTGGAATTCAGATTTTTTATTTTTGGCTCTTAGGAAGTAGTCAGCAAATACTGTATAATCCCTAGTAGGGAACCATGTCATAAAATATATTGACATTTCTGCAACAAAGAATCACACTAAAAGGAACACATCATAATTACCCATAGCTTCCTATCAGTGTAAGTTCAGGTCAGGTTTGGTTTCAAATGGGTTATGAAAATACTTTTGGTTTTCAGAGCATTGGGACTTTGGAAATGAGGACCTGGATCATCCTTTATTAGGGAGAAATAGCCCCAGGAGCCACGTCTCAGCAATTCCATGGAAACACAGGTTTCTTTGCCCTCAAAATTCCGTTCCTACCTTCTTTGTCTTCCTTCCCCCAAAGAAACTGGACAAAAAAGGTCAGAACTGTATTTGTTATTCATACATTTGCGTTGATTTAAATACATTACGTACAATTTCTACATTGGATTAGAAGAATGACACAGGGGGCAGCAACACTCTCGCAGCCCAGCCTCCATTCCCTGACACTGGAGGCAGGGCCTATGGCTGGCAGAGGGACGGTGTTCCATGAGTGCCACTCAGAAGCCTCCCCCGGCATTCTGGGCCCCTGGCTCTTCCAGAGTCCACATTCAAGGCAACCTGAGCACAGGCTTGAGGGAGAGTGGAGAAAGGCCAGGAAAGGATGCCCACACTCTTGCCTGCCAGGCCCAGGACCAGCTCTCTCCTACACTGGACCCAATTTCCTTCTGATCACAGAGCTGGTCTGGATCAAGACAATGTGGAGATCTGGTGTGGAGGCTGTGGCCAGGTGAGGCAGCCGGGCTCCCTGTTAGACCCCCAGGCTCTCTTGAGCACCAGATGGGCACTTTACCAACAGGTTTGGGTAAAAATGTCTACAGAGAGCTATGCACACCTGGGTCCCCTTCTGGCTCCTACAGTCAAGGGGCAAGTGTTCTCTCGAACATTGTTCCCAAGGCCAGTGTCCGAGTCAGCTGCATGTGATTGTCGGGGCTGGGATTGGGGCAGGCAGGCGAGCTGTACCTTCGTCCACAGGGCATGCACATCCAGCTCTCAGAAATTCTTCCTGTCAGCCAGGTGGAAGCCCGGGACAAGTGGACTCTTGGTGGCTGGACTGGAAGGGGACCGGCGGGGACCAGCCTGGACCAGCTGACCAGAGGGCTGCACATCTCTGCTCTGCAGCCGGGCAAGCAGAGGACATGCAGCCATAGTCCTCACTCCCTTTCTTTGGTTGTTTTTCAAACCTTCAAGATAGTTACTTTCTGAGGTTGACTGACCAATCGCAAGGTGCCAGAATTGTGAAATGTCCAGTAGCACAGGGCATGAACACAGCTGCCCCTCCAGACACAGATGGCACCCTTTTTACTCCCTCCTGAGGCCGTACTTTGCTTTGGTGTAGAAATGGCTCAAACACCTGGCAAGTGGGGGTGGGGAGTGAGGCAGCAGGGGAAAAGACACATGGAAGCAAGAAGATACGCACTGAGCTGCGCAGGACCTGGGACAGTTTGAAGGCCTCTCTCCTTTGGGCCTCACCTTTCTCAGGGAAGCCATAGAGAAATCGGCCTAGGACAAGTCAGAGAGAAAAGGGAAACTGCCACTTATGAGGCAGAATCCACGTCCTGTTACTTCCACCAAGCAGCAGCGGTAGCACAGAAAAAAGTCCAAGAACCTAATAGCCTGTCCTCTTGGAAGCCAAGACTCATCCCAGAGCCCTTGCAGAGACCCACTCCCGAAGACAAACTGAACTCTTACATCAAAAGAGTTGGGGGGAAAAAATTTAAAACGAGAGGAACAAATGAGAAGATTGGGACCAAGGACTCAGGAAGCAAGGTGGGATATGTTCACCCATAGACCACTTAGCTCCCGGCATACACTCCGGCTGCGTGGATCACTTTTACATGCTGGGAGTCAACTTCCTATTAAAATATAAATGCTAAGACTAGCTCTTCCTGCCTCTGCTTGAGAAACAGACAAGCTGTAGGCCAGCAGAGAGCAGAGAGGTTCTCTATGATTGTGTGCGGAAGTGCTGGCGGGGGTAAAGCAAAAACCTCCCTTCCAGGAGAACTGTTTCGAGGCTTGCAGCCAGCCCACAGCACTGATGGGAGATGGAGGAGGCTTGGCAAAAACCCAAAAGAAAGGTGTGGCTTCTGTCTGTCCCAGTGCTGTGGTACTGCGAGTCATCCAGTTGCCCTCTGACACCACCTTGGCTCATGGGAGGAAGCAACTGCAAGGCAGCTGAATGTCAGGTCTATGCAAATTTAGGCCTGGATTAAAGGTTTCTGACATGAGATGACCCGGGGTTCTGCTACAAGCATTTAAAGTTGTTTTTGTTTTGTTTGTTTTTCTGATGCAGAATATAATAGGGAATTGCAATAGAGCAGGGTTTCAGGGAAGGAAGGGACTGTCCCAGCCTGCTACCAGCAGATGCTGGAAGGGAGATGTTCCTTCCCAGGCATCTGGACTACGTGCATGGAGCTCCAGCCTCCCCCACATCAGAAGGGCGAGGAGCACTCACTGTTCCTGATTGTGCTTCTCCCTGTGGGTGGAAAGCTCTGAGCAGGGTGGCAAGCAGAGAGAGAGGGCTCTTAAAGGTGCTGCTCTCCACCGGCTTCTCTGGCTTTTCCTGCACCCCACTCCCCAGGCTTCCTCCCACCAGTCTCTGACAATATTTCCTCTGCCTGCCTCTGGAGCTACCACCATGAAAAGAAGGGCTTCCGGCTCTGAAAGCTCTGTGTGTAGGACTCGCTAGAAGACCGCTGGTGGGAACGGGCCGTCTCGACAATCACAGGTGGCATCTGGACGAGGTGCAGGGGACTCTTGTTGTCTTTCAAGGCCTGGGTCAGATTTAAGATCTGCAGTGGGAAAAAGGAGATGGGTGAGGGAGAGGCCTCAGCATTCCAGATCTGCCTCTGAAAGGAGATCAGTAGAGAGGACGCCTACAAATCAATTTTTTAAAATACCAATGGAAAATCATGCAAATAGGCCATTTACAAAAGTAAAAATTAGCAAAACAGAAAATGGAAACCTCTCTAATCATTTAAAAAATACAAATGAAAACAAATCCTTTATTTTTTTGCCCTCCAGTTAGTAAAGATACAAAAGAACGACGCAGAGTTGGGGAGAATTCAAAAAAATAAATACTTGCCAGGCACGCTGGCTCACGCCTGTAATCCCAGCACTTTGGGAGGCTGAGGCAGGTAGATCACTTGAGGTCAGGAGTTTCAGACGAGCCTGGCCAACATGGCGAAACCCCATCTCTACTAAAAATACCAAAAAAAATTAGCCGACCGTGGTGGCACACGCCTGTAGTCCCAACTACTGGGGAGGCTGAGGCAGGAGAATTGCTCGAACCCGGGAGGCGGAGGTTGCAGTGAGCCGAGATCGTGCCACTGCACTCCAGCCTGGGTAACAGAGTGAGAGACTCCATCTCAAAAAACAAAAAGAAAAAAAAAAAACACAAAAAACACTTAAAAATGAACAGATCCTAACCTGGCCAACATGGTGAAACTCTGTATCTACTAAAAATACAAAAAAATTAGCCAGGTGGGGTGGTGCACACCTGTAATCCCAGCTGCTTGGGAGGCTGGGCATAAGAATCACTTGAACCTGGGAGGTGGAGGTTGCAGTGAGCTGAGATCATGTCACCGTACTCCAGCCTGGGCAACAGAGCAAGACCCTGTCTCAAAAAAAAAAAAAAAAAAAAAAAAGAACAGACCCTCTGACTCGGCAATTCCATTTTTAAGAAACACTAATGGATATGCATAAAACATTTAGTTCCAAAAACAAATGTAATATTGTTTATAACAGTGAAAAGATGTAAACTAGTTAATACTTGAAGGGATAAGAAACAATTATCCTAAAATATATAGAAATTTAACCAGGGAACTATCAAATATATATATAAATGTATTGGCAAAGAAGCGATCACAATGTTGTGTTAGATGCAAAGGAAAGCAGAAAAGGAACCAGTGTTAGATTGTGACCCCACTTTTACTTTCTAAATTCTATCTTTCTATCTAACTATAGTGTAGAAAAAAGTCTGGCAGTTGGCAGTGGTCATCTCTGGGTCTCAAGAAATTATAGGTGGTTTTGGTCCGGGCGTAGTGGCTCATGTCTGTAATCCCAGCACTTTGGGAGGCCGAGGTGGGCAGATCACGAGGTCAGGAGTTCAAGTCCAGCCTGGCCAACATGGTAAAACCCCATATCTACTAAAAATACAAAAATTAGCCAGGCATGGTGGCGCATGCCTGTAATCCCAGCTACTTGGGAGGCTGAGGCAGGAGAATCGCTTGAACCCAGGAGGTGGAGGTTGCAGTGAGCCAAGACTGCGCCACTGCACTCCAGCCTGGCAAGAGAGCGAGACTCCATCTCAAAAAAAAAAAAGAAAGAAATTATAGGTGGTTTTAATTATTTATTGTTGTTCATCCCTATTTTATGATTTTCCTACAAAGATGATATAAATGTAAAATGTAAAAAGCTGGCTGGGCGTGGTAGCTCATGCCTGTAATCCTAGCACTTTGGGAGGCCGAAGTGGGCGGGTCACCTGAGGTCAGGAGTTTGAGATCAGCCTGTCTCTACAAAAATACAAAAATTTTGAGAAACCCCATCTCTACAAAAATACAAAAATTAGCTGGGCATGATGGCGAGTGCCTGTAATCCCAGCTACTGGGGAGGCTGAGGAGGGAGAATCACGTGAACCCGGGAGGCGGAGGTTTCAGTGAGGTGAGATTGTGCCATTGCACTCCAGTCTAAGCAAATGAGCAAGACTCCATCTCAAAAAAACAAACAAACAAACAAACAAAAAGTAAAAAGCCAACATTTTATTTGGATTCTCCTTCTAACACTATCTCTTCATCACCTTTTTTTTTAAATAAATGTTTTACTTTGGAATAATTTTAAATTTAGAGAAAAGTTGCAGATTGTACAAAGAGTTCCTATATAGCATTTGCCCAGTTTCCCCTAATTTTTTTTTTTCTTTTCTGAGACAGGGTCTCACTCTGTCACCCAAGCTGGAGTACAGTGACACATTCATAGCTCACTGCACCCTCCAACTTCTGGCCTCAAATGACCCTCCCAATTTGGCCTCCCAAAGTGTTGGGATAACAGGCATGAGCCACTGAGTCCAGTCCTCACCATCTTTTGTCAGTATTTTACAGGTATTTCAGTTATGTGTCCATGAGGACACAGTTTCTCCTCTTTGTCAAAATTAGTATCACCACCATTTATCTTCTCTGGTAGGAGAGTACAAAAGCTGAAGGTGTCCTGTCTTCTCTCTCTCTCTCTTTTTTTTTTTCTGAGACGGAGTTTCGCTCTTCTTGCCCAGGCTGGAGTGCAACGGCACAATCTCGGCTCACAGCAACCTTCACCTCCTGGGTTCAAGCGATTCTCCTGCCTCAGCCTCCCGAGTAGCTGGGATTACAGGCATGCACCACCACACCCAGCTAATTTTGTATTTTTAGTAGAGATGGGGTTTCTCCATGCTGGTCAGTCTGGTCTCGAACTCCCAACCTCAGGTGATCCACCCGCCTCGGCCTCCCAAAGTGCTCGGATTACAGGCATGAGCCACCACGCCTGGCCCTATCTTCTTTAAAACACTAGATGTTGAAGATTTCATGGCCAGGTCACAGAACATGGAGGGGTAAGCTAGGCTGCACCCTGAAATCACACAGACACACAGCCCTCAAGCCACAAATATCCTCTTACACAACTGCTGCCTATAAAGGAGCAGAGATACAACTGCAACAGGGGTCATTTGTTACCCTATTGGTAACAAATTTCTTTTTTACTTAATTGTTTTGGTACTTGCCAGCATCCTACACTGTTCCAAATAGTCTGAAGCACAATATTGGGGTGAAGAACTAAAAGGAGATTGCGGGAGTATCTGGGGTAAACATGTCAAATTGTCTACTACTTATTTTCAAAAGATTTGGCAAAAAAGAATATCTAGGGAGAGAAATTAAATAGATATTATTCAGATACATCACTGGATAATACGTAGACATATGAGATAAATGTGGTTAAATATAACAACTGAAGAATCTAGAAGATCCCATTCTTTCAACTTTACTGAGGTTTGAAAATTTCCAAATTAAAAAGCTGAAGATAAGCCTGGAACCAGGACTGAAAAGAAAGGAGAATAAAGAATTTAAAAAGAAAAATTATTTTTTAAATTTGAAGAAAAATTATAGCAGTCACATAATACTAAAGAATAAATACTATCTTTGAAAATGTTGGGCTGGATGTGGTGGCACATGCCTATAATTTCAGCACCTTGGGAGGCCAAGGCAGGAGGATCGCTTGAGGCCAGGAGTTTGAGACCAGCCTGGGCAACATAGCGAGACCCCACCTCTTAAAAAAAATTACCCAGAAATGGTGGTGCATGCCTGTGGTCCCAGCTACTCAGGAGGCTGAGGGGGGAGGACTTCTTGAACCTAGGAGTTCAAAGCTGCAGTGGTCTACAATTGGGCCACTGCACTCCAGCCTAGGTGACAGAGCATGACCCTGTCTTTAAAAAAAAGAAAAGAAAAAGAAAATGTTACAGAGGCTTTCTCTCAGACCCTAGATTCTTTAACTCCCGGTGAGAAGCCTTTAAGTTGAGTAACAACTTCTATCACCTGACTGTGTCCCTGTGGGGCCTCTTCACTCTTTCCCTACATCTCAGGGCCCTTGTACTACAGCCCATCCTGCAATAATGGCTCAGCTATGTAGACAGGGTTATGACCTCTTTTCTCTGTGCTTTGTCAGATTTCTGTAGTGCAGAAATTTTGTAGTGCACACATTTTGCTTTGATGTGTGAATGGTAGACAAGTAAGCACATGAGTGATATACTGGCCATGTACATGTTGGAAGGAGCTGGATGGTCACCCTAAGGTAGTAGGCACTTTAGGTTACAAGATACCAAAAGCTCCTCTGAAGACATTAGGAGCACAAGATGGAGATAAATAAAACTGCACTACCCCAACCTCCCTACCATCCTGAATAATGGCACTATCTGAGTAATGGGAGAAGGGTTGGCAAGGGACTGAGCTGGGATGGAATTAGATAAGACATTGCAATACGGACAGAGGCACAGCCTATATCAACTGGAGAAGCCAGTTTACTCCTTTATGCTGAGTTCCATAACATCTGAGTCTATCACATGGCTTTTAATGCTTCCAAAAATTCTGCCAGCCTAATTGGGCCCTTACATTACTTGGGAAATGTAGGAATACCATGTTACTGGTATTCAGACAGCTACAATAATTGTAGTTCTTAAAACCTCTGTCCAGGCCGGGCTCAGTGGCTCACTCCTGTAATCCCAGCACTTTGGGAGGCCGAGGCAGGCAGATCACCTGAGATCAGGAGTTTGAGACCACCCTGGCCAACATGGTGAAACCCCATCTCTACTAAAAATACAAAAATTAGCCAGGTGTGGTGCCATGCACCTGTAATCCCAGCTACTTGGGAGGCTGAGGCAGGAGAATCACTTGAACCTGGGAGGTGAAGGTTGCAGTGAGCCAAGATCGCACCACTGCACTCCAGCCTGGGTGACAGAGTGAGACTCTGTCTCAAAAGAAAAAAAAAACCTCTGTCCAACCCCCTTCCAGGGAAAAATGGGCTCAGCAAACCCAGGAGGTGCTGTCATCAGAGGTCTTTAGATAAATGGCAGGAAGAAGTAAATGCAGAATTAAGGCTGAGAAGATCCTCTTGCCCTTTAAAGATGGGAGAAGCTGAATTTTCTGTATACAAAAATCATAATCCTAACAGCTATTAATACTACAAATTGAGTATTTTAGTATACCAGGTACTACTCTAACTGTTTCAAATCATTTATCTCATAATAATTCTGTAAGGTGGGTACCATTATTATTATCTTGAGACAGGTTCTCACTCTGTCCCCTAGACTGGAGTGCAGTGGTGCCATCTCAGCTCACTGCATCCTAGACCTCCCAGGCCCAAGCAATCCTTCCACCTCAGCCTCCTGAGTAGCTGGGATTACAGGCGTGCGCCACCACACATGGCTAATTTTTGTGTTTTTTGTAGAGATGGGGTTTCACCATGTTGCCCAGGCTGGTCTCCAACTCCTTAGCTCAAGTGATCTGCCCACCTAAGCCTCTCAAAGTGCTGGGATTACAAGTGTGAGCCACCATGCCTGGTCTCAGCTACTATTATTGATCCCACATTAAACATGAGGAAACTAAGGGAAGGAGAGATTAAGTAACTTGCCCAAAATCTCACAGGTAGTAAATGGCAGAGCCAGGCTTCAAAAACCCAGGCACTGTGACCACAGTTTGCACCCTTAACCACTAGGTCATCCCAACTCTCTTTAAGAAGACTTCAAAGTGATAGGCATAATACCAGTACCCTACAGAGTTTTCAAACCATTTTTCAAGCATTTCTTTACTATGCTTTGGAAGATCAACAATCCCCTTGGTTTCCTTAGCTCCCTTTGAAGGTGAAGTGGAAGGAGAAGGAATAATGTAAGTTGCACCTATAACAACAAAATTATAACCATAATCAATATGTGAGTGCTTCATGTGCCCAGTACTCTTTTTACTAAACGCTTGATAAGCATTATCTCATGAAATTCTCCAGCCAACTGTGCAACGTATTATTACTATCCTGTTTTATGAACAAGAAAACAGAGGCTTTTGCCCCAGGCCACAGAGCTTCCAAGTAGTGAAGCAGTCTGGCTCCAGGGCCCAGATCTTAACCACCAAAACATACAGCCTGCCTTGAGCAACTCTAGGACAGAGAGCATTAGTTTAATTACCAATGAATTACCTAGCAACTAGCATAGAGATGAGTGCACATTAAGTGCTTCAACAAGCACTGGATACCAGGGAAGAGGTGGGAGAATTGGGAGGGCCACTTTTCCTCTCCTAGGTGTTAAGGTACAGCCAAAAATAATGTACACAACGGACTTAAAAAAGCTGTAAAACACGGCCGGGCGCAGGGCCTCACGCCTGTAATCCCAGCACTCTGGGAGGCAGAGGCAGGTGCATCACTTGAGGTCAGGAGTTCGAGACCAGCCTGGTCAACATGGTAAAACCCTGTCTCTACTAAAAATGCAAAAATTAGCCGGGCGTTGTGACATGCGCCTGTAATCCTAGCTACTTGGGAGGCTGAGGCACAAGAATTGCTTGAACCTGGGAGGTGGAGGTTGCAGTGAGCAGAGATCATGCCACTGCACTTTAGCCTGGGTGACAGAGTGAGACTCGGTCTCAAAAAAAAAGGGGGGGGTATAAAACACAAACTTCAAACATTTGCTCAACCTGAGCACACAACACTCCCAGAGACGCCAAAGATACTGGGAGGATGTCCCAGGCTTACCTGGCCCCGCATGACAGCAATCTGCTTATGGAACTGGCCCCTGTCGAAACCAGGATCTTTCTGCAAAAGAAGACCAGAAGGAGATGGAACCTGTGTGAATGCCTCACAGGAACCCATTTTCTCCCCCAGTTAGAAACTTTCTAAGAAGGAAAACCTGCATAAGGCTTCTGCAGCTTTGTGAAGTCAACTACTCCCACAAGAACTCCCTGCTTTACAGATGAGGAAACAGAAAACAAGTCAATATCTTCCTCTGCATCTCAAACTCTAGGCTCCAGTGCTCCATATTAAAATGAAAGCCCTGCAGATACATTGCAGCCACATGATGGACAGGAGAGACACATCAGTGTGATTTCTCACCCCTGCCCATTTCTCTCAAACCCATCCAAACCAGGTCCTGCTGTCCACATGTGGAAATCTTGCTATTCGTTGGCTAACTCAAGTCAGAAAGGTGTTAGCCATTTCCTCTTGGCTTTTGTCAGGACCAATTAAAAAAACCATTAAAAATTCCTTCTCCCATATGATAATAGGGCTGAGGTTCCCAGGGCTAACCTTGAAGAGTTCATATAGGTCCTCTTCCAAGTCCTTGACGAAGTTAGGGTCCGATATCTTTGGAAGGATCAGATCTTTGATCTCCTGAGAAAATGGGACTTTCGCCTGGGGCAACCAGGCCCAGTAAAAAGGATCTGAAAAGAGGAAAAGTCAAAGGCAAAGCTGGTGTTGGAAAAGTCCCTGCTCATCTGTGTCCTCCACCAGTCAAGGCACTTTCTAAAGGAGAACCCCTCTTCCCTGACATACAACAGAAACAAAAACTTACAAGTGCTCTTAACTGTAAAGGTTACACAGCTAGTCAGTAGAGGAACCAGGGTTCAAACCCAGGGCTGCCTAATGTCAGAGCTCATTCTCAGACATTACATGACCTTCCAAGATGCAAGGTCTAGAAGCAACTACTTGCCACTGAGACGCTGAGATGGTCCTTCTGAAAAGGAAGACTAATGCTGCAAAAGGGGCTACTGACTCCCTACATTTATTTCTCCTCCTTTCCAGAAGCTTCTCAGTTACAACAGGGTAGGAGATGGAACAAGGAAGACAGAACACTGATAGGAAGCTTATATTTAGAGGCACAATTAGAATAAATTATGGAAAGACAGTCCTCAGATAACAGGAAAAAAAAAGATATTTCAGGAAATATACACTAAAACAATAAAATAACAAATTAAAAAATTAAAAAAGGGCCGGGCGCAGTGGCTCATGCCTGTAATCCCAGCACTTTGGGAGGCCAAGGCGGGTGGATCACAAGGTCAGGAGATTGAGATCATCTTGGCTAACACACTGAAACCCTGTCTCTACTAAAAATACAAAAATTAGCTGGGCATGGTGGCGGGTGCCTGTAGTCCCAGCTACTCGGGAGGCTGAGGCAGGAGAATGGTGTGAACCCAGGAGGAGGAGGTTGCAGTGAGCCGAGATCGCGCCACTGCACTCCAGCCTGGGCGACAGGGCAAGACTCCGTCTCAAAAAAAAAATAAATAAATAAAAAATAAATAGCCCTCAGCCAGGCGCAGTGGCTCACACCTGTAATCCCAGCATTTTGGGAGGCTGAGGCAGGCAGATCACCTGAAGTCAGGAGTTCAAGAACAGCCTGGCCAACATGGTGAAACCCCGTCTCTACTAAAAATACAAAATTAGCCGGGCGTGGTGGCGCATGCCTGTAATCCCAGCTACTTGGGAGGTTGAGGCAGGAGAATCGCTTGAACCCAGGAGGTGGAGGTTGCAGTGGGCCCAGATCGCACCATTGCACTCTAGCCTGGGCAACAAGAGCGAAACTCCATTTCCAAAAAAAAAAAGTCCTCAGAAAGAACGAGAAGAATGCAAAGAGACAATGAGAAAACTCATCTTTATGCTTCTAATTTCTAATCACCTTTATGCTTGTAATGGGAATCATAGAAGACAAAAATTAGAAAAACAGCTTACATTATGAAATAGTTGCCATATGCCAGCCATTGTGTTAAAGTGCCTGAACTCCATTATTTCATTAATTTTTAGAATAATCCTATGATAGAGACATTATCATCTCCACTGCACAGTGAGAAAATATACTGAGCAAGGGAAGAGCCAGACCACCATTGTCTGGAGACTTACATGCCCTCCAGGAGTCAGGATGCTTCAGTGGGAAGGCCAGCCCATTGTCTATGGCAGCCACCTTGATAACAGGCTCCTTCACCACCACCCAGTCTGTGTCCTGAAGAGCAAGGAAAGACTAATGACTGAGGAAACCCATCTCCCTCAGGCCCTTCCAATTAGTAGCAAAGCAACTCATCCCAACTCCCTCAAGAGAAGAATTCTTATTGAACTTATCTTGAGCTACTCTCTGAACTGGCTTCCATGTTGTTATCTGAACTTAGCACATTTTGGTGCCTCTGACCTGGCTCTTGTTCAAAGTTCAAGAGTCCTGTTCTTATCTTAGAAAAGGTACACTTCCCCAAGAGTTGCTACAGTCCTTGGTAAGAAGGAAATGACAATAATAAAGATAACTATAAGCCATTCCTCCTAGGGAAAGAAAATGAGAATCCTGAAAGCAGAACAGAAGAAATAAAATCCATATCAGTTGGCCAAGGTCCTTTTGTGTGGACCTTGACTCAGATGTTACTTCACTGGTGACAACTACATTTTCCAGTGAGAAAACAGAGCCTCGGAAGATAACAGCTGGCTGCTCTTGCACAAGGGAGTCTGTTCTCCTGCTTCAGTGGTGCATGAAAAGGAAAAGGACAAGAGATGAATGTAAAAAGAGTGGGCATGTCACCTGTGACAGCCCATGTCAGAGACAATCACTGACTATGTGGCTCCATGCTTCAGGTTCATGGGTGCCATCACAGGAACAAGAACTGTGGTTCCAGGATGCCTGAATCTGAATCCCCTGAGATACCTTATTAAATGTGCAGAATCCTGAGTTTTACTCCAGACCTGATGAATCAGTTTCTAAGGGAAAGGCCTGAAGAATCTGTGTACTATTTTAAATAACTCTTCAGAAGATTCAGGCACAAAATTTGAGAGCCACTATTAGAGAAAGTAAAAAAGTTATAAGGAATGAAAACCCCACCCTGGGCAACATAGCAAGACCTCATCTCTACAAAACATTAAACAACTTTTGCGCCTGTAGTCCCAGCTACTCAGGAGGCTGAGGTGAGAGGACTGCTTTGAGCCCAGGAGTCCAAGGCTGCTGTGAGCTAGGATAGCACCACTGTACTCCAGCCTGCGCAACAGAGCAAGACCCTGTCTCTTTTTTTTTTTTTTTTTTTTAATTTTTGAGACAGAGTCTTGCTCTGTCGTCTGGGCTGGAATGCAATGGTGTGATCTTGGCTCACTGCAACCTCAGCCTCCCAGGTTCAAGCCATTCTCGAGTCTCAGCCTCCCGAGTAGCTAGGAATACAAGCTCCCGCCATCATGCCCGGCTAATTTTTGCATTTTAATAGAGACGGGGTTTCACCATGTCGGCCAGGCTGGAACTCCTGACCTCAGGTGATCCTCCCACCTCGGCCTCCCAAAGTGCTGGGATTACAGGCGTGAGTCACCATGCCCGGCCAACCCTGTTTCTTAAAAAAAAAAAAAAGAAAGAAAAGAAAAAAGAAATAAAACCAATCTCACTCTCCCCTAGGCAGCCTTCTGCTAATTTTGTAAAACATGTAGACTGAACAGTGATAGAGAAGTATGGTGGAGGATGAAAGGAATGAGAAAGGAAAGAAAGTTGCAGGAGCAGCTTTTTCTAAACTTATGTTCTGTGGACTTGCGGTCTGTTGTGAGAAAAGTGGTTCATGGTTTAAAAGGGGTAGAAATCAAATTTAAATAGGTTTGTTTAACGTAGTACTTCTCAGACCTTTACTATGCTACTGTGCAATAAGAAGCTCAAAGAACAGAGTACATAATATGTTCCAAATTTACTTGACCCTTTCTTCATGCTATTCCTATTAACATGTGTCAGTAGGATGTCCTTGAAACACATATTGAGAAAAACTTTACCAAATATTAACCTATTAATTTTAAACATATGCGCCCCCCGATTCTTCTGAACTTGTATGAACTACATCTCTGACCATTTTATGTGTTTCTATATTATGCAAATACTCTTCATTCTCTTTAAGATTTATCTCAGTCTCTTACCCGAGAGCTAGAACTATCCATTGGACAGTCATATTTAATCAGCCAGTTGTCATTGCCTCGATCTGTGAACAGAAATATAAAGTTAGCAGAAAAAGGGGGGATGATTTTCCATTTTTGTAATGGTGGACTAGGTATTCTGGACACTCGGACTAACGCTTCTACTGAGAATGACTACAAATGCTGGATAAAATATTTTTAGATCTTTTTTAAGGTACTGGAGATTTTAATAAGACCACAAAGGATTTAAGAGTGAAGATATGGGAGAGAAAGGAAATCCATGGGAGGACGTGGAGCCCAGCACTGTGGCTTCTTTTCCCCTAGAGCACCTGCCAATTTGGAAAGAGCTGGCTAAGAGCTTGAGAGGTAGAACAATTATAAGAGCCTTGTGGAGCTAGAGAGACAAAAACTATAATCCAGTGACTGATCAGGGGTAAGGGACCCTCGTATATCATCTATGCTTTGGGTTACGACCTGAAGCACTACACCTTGGAAATACACTAAGCTCCCCTCAACACCTGAAATTAAAGTGATACTGGATTGCTATTGCCCTAGATGCTTGCCAAAAGAAATCTTCCTCCAGACAGGATTTACAATGACATCTTAGGCCTTTATACAGCTCTACGATTTCTGATAGGCAGTATTTGACAATGAAAAACAACCAGGTACACAAAGAAACAAGATGACAGGAATAAAAGAGAAACAACTGAAAATTAAAACAGATCTGTAGGGGCTCCAAACAATAAAAATATACAGACTTTAAAATGTTCACAACAAAATCCTTAATATGTTTAAAAAGATAAAAGTCAAGATTAAGAATATCAGCAGAGGCTGTACCTGAAATCCCAGCATTTTGGGAGGCTGAGGAGGCAGAGAATCACTTGAGGCCAGGAGTTCAAGACCAGCCTGGGCAAAATAGCGAGACCCCATGTCTAAACAAATTGTAAATAAGATTAGCCAGGTGTGGTGGTACGTGCCTATAGTCCCAACTACTTGGGAGGCTGAGGCAGGACAGCTTGAGCCAAGTGTTGGAGGCTGCTGCAATGAGCTATGATCATACCACTGTACTCTAGCATGGGCAACAGAGTGAGACCCTGCCTCAAAAAAAAAAAAAAAAAAATCAAACCTGAATTTGATCAAGCCTTTAAACTCAAGCAGTAAATTTACAGGAAACACAGAGAATTGGGGATGCCAAATCCACAATGTGGAACTTCTATAGGGCAAATATCCAGTTTCTTCAACAAATAAAAGGCAAGGGAAAAAAAAAGATGTGAAACTTTCCCTAAATTGAAGACATTTAAGAAACATATTAACCTGGCCAGTCACAGTGGCTCATGCCTGTAATCTCAGCATTTTGGGAGGCTGAGGTGGGAGGACTGCTTGAGCCCAGGAGTTTAAGACCAGCCTGGGCAACATAGTGAGATCCCATCTCCAAAAAAAAAACAGAAAGGAAAGATATTAACCAAATGTAATATGTGGACCTTTATATCATAATTTCAACAAGCCAATTATAAAAATCTTTTTTTATGAAACAACTGGGGTAATCCAAACACTGATGGGACATTAAATACTGATTATACTGAAAAAAAAAAAAAAGTCTTTATCTCTTCAAGAACATATGGAGGTATCTATGGATGCTATAAAATGATGTCTCAGATTTGCTTTAAAATAATCCAGCAGTGGCCGGGCGCGGTGGCTCACTCCTGTAATCCCAGCACTTTGGGAGGCCGAGGTGGGCGGATCACGAGGTCAGGAGATCGAGACCATCCTGGCTAACACGGTGAAACCCCGTCTCTACTAAAAATACAAAAAATTAGCCGGGTGTGGTGGCGGGCGCCTGTAGTCCCAGCTACTCGGGAGGCTGAGGCAGGAGAATGGTGTGAACCCGGGAGGCGGAGCTTGCAGTGAACCGAGATTGGGCCACTGCACTCCAGCCTGGGCAACAGAGTGAGACTCCGTCTCCAAAAAATATAAAATAAAAATAAATTTTAAAAAATCCAGCAGTTCCAGTCAAAGCCTTAGTTGAAAAAAAAAAAAATCCAGCAGGGATGGGGGTAGCAGGAAGTGAGACCTTACATAATAACTGTTGAAGGTGGTAACAAGTACATGGGGTTTATTATACCAGTCTCTCTACTTTTGTGTATTTTGAAATTTTCCTACTAACCAGCTAAAAAACTATTTTAAGTAAACTATGGGTCAGAGAAGAAATGAACAATGGAAATTAGAAAATACAGTCTCCATCTATAAACTGAGAGGATAAAAAAAATTTCAGTATATTTTATAATGATTATGGTAAAAAAAAAAAACACTTGTAAGATACAACTAAACTATGCTTAAGATGAAATTAAAGTCTGAAGTGCATATATTAGAAAAGAAGAGCCCGGGCTCGATGGCTCACACCTGTAATCCCAGCACTTTGGGAGGCCAAGGCAGGCAGATCACGAGGTCAGGAGTTCAAGACCAGCCTGACCAATATGGTGAAACCCTGTCTCTACTAAAAATACAAAAATTAGCCGGGTGTGGTGGCATGCACCTGTAGTCCCAGCTACTCGGGAGGCTGAGGCAGGAGAATCACTTGAACCTGGGAAGTGGAGGTTGCAGTGAGCCAAGATCATGCCACTGCAATCCAGCCTGGGCGACAGAGTGAGACTCCGTCTCAAAAAAAAAAAAAGGCCGGGCGCGGTGGCTCACGCCTGTAATCCCAGCACTTTGGGAGGCCAAGGCGGGCAGATCACGAGGTCAGGAGATCGAGACCATCCTGGCTAACACGGTGAAACCCCATCTCTACTAAAAATACAAAAAATTAGCCGGGCGTGGTAGCAGGCGCCTGTAGTCCCAGCTACTCGGGAGGCTGAGGCAGGAGAATGGCGTGAACCCGGGAGGCGGAGGTTGCAGTGAGCCGAGATCGCGCCACTGCACTCCAGCCTGGGTGACAGAGCGAGACTCCGTCTCAAAAAAAAAAAAAAAAAGAAAAGAAAGAAAAAGAAAAGAAAAGGAAGGGAAAGGAGAAAAGGTAAAAATCAATACTCTAAGAGAGAGGATTCTGGGAAGATGGTGGAGTAGGAAACAACAGAAATCTGTCTCCCCACGTGGACAACAATTGTAGTGGCAAAAATCTGTCTGATGTAATTATTTTGGAGCTCTGGAGTCTATGGAGGGCCTGCAACTTGCAGGGGAAAGCCTGGACAGTAAATTGTGGTTAATTTCATTCAATTTTGGCTCTTAGCCCCACAAGCAGCTACCCATCCCCCACCCTTCAGCCACATGGCAGCCAGATGTGCACAAGTTCCAGGAGCAGCTTGCAAATAGCTTGAGGGTGCCAAGGTGGGCAAAAAGGACCCTAACATCATAATGGTGAAAGATTGCAAGGTTTTCCTCTAAAATCAAGAACAGTGAAAAGATGCCTGCTTTTACTTCTATTCAACATAGTACTGGAAGTCTTAGAGCACTGAAGCAAGAAAAAAGAAATAAAAAGCACCCAAATTGGAAAAAAAAAAAGAGGGAAAATTATGTCTGTTCATAGATATGATTGTGTAGGTGCATAACCCTAAAATTTCCACACAAAAAAATAACTACTAGAACTAATAATTCAGGAAAGTAGCAGCATACAAAGTCAATCCACAAAAAAATCAGTTGCAAGCCAGGCGCAGTTGTTCACACCTGTAATCCCAGCACTTTGAGAGGCTGAGGTAGGAGGACTGCTTGAGCCCAGGAATTCGAGACCAGTCTGGGCAACGCAGTGAGACCTCATCTCTACAAAGAATTTAAAAACTAGCCAGGCGTGGTCCTCACACCTGTAGTCCCAGCTACTCGGGTGGCAGAGGTAGGAAGATCACTTGAGCCCAGGAGTCCGAGGCTGTAGTGAGCTATGATTGTGCTACTGCACTTCAGCCTGGACAATAGAGCATAACTCTGTCTCTTTAAAAAATAAAACTAAAGGCAAGAGATTGAGAGAAAATATTTGCAAATTATATATCTGATACGGGATTAATAGCCAGATATACAGAGAACTTTAAACAAATGTATAGAGAACTCAACAATAATGACCAAAAAAAATTCAAAAATAGGCAAAGGACTTAAATAGACAGCTCCAAAGAAGATATATGATTGGCCAATCAGCACATAAGAAGATGCTTACCATCACTAATCATTAAGGAAATGCAAATCAAAACTATAAGATAACATCTTACACCCATTAGGATGGTTACTATCAAAACAACAGAAAACATTCAGCAGAATGCAGATTAAATATGAAAAGGAAAAAACAGAAAACAGTAAGTGCTGGTGAGAAATTGGAAGGAACCCTCGTGTGCTGTTGGTGGGAATGTAAAATGGCACAGCTGCTGTGGAAAACAGTATGGTGGTTCCTCAAAAAATTAAAAATAGAATTACCATATATGATCCAATAATTCCACTTCTGGATATATACTCAAAAAAACTGAAAGCAGGGTCTTGAAGAGATATTTGTACACCCATGTTCATAGTAGCATTGTTCGTAATAGCTAAAATGCAGAAGCAACCCAAGTGTTCACTGAAAGATAAATGGATAGACAAAATGTGGTATATACATAAAATGGATCAGTATTTATCCTTAAAAAGGAAGGAAATTCTGATATATACTACATCATAGATGTACCTTGAGAACGTTATGCTAAGTGAATAAGCGAATCACCAAAAGACAAATACTGTACTATTCCACTTACATGAGGTACTTAGAGTAGTCAAAATCATAGAAACAGAAAACAGAATGATTGTTGCCAGGGACGTAGGGAGGGGGAATGAAGAGTTACTGTTTAATGAGTATAGAGCTTCAGTTTTACAAGATGAAAAGAGTTCTGGAGGCCAGGCATGGTGGCTCACACCTGTAATCCCAGCACTTTGGGACACTGAGATGGGTGGATCACCTGAGGTCAGTTCAAGACCAGCCTGGCCAACATGGTGAAACCCCATCTCTATAAAAACACAAAAATTAGCCATGCATGATGGCGGGTGTCTGTAATCCCAGCTACTCAGAAGGCTGAGGTGAGAAAATCACTTGAACCCAGGAGGCAGGGGTTGCAGTGAGCTGAGATCGCACCATTGCACTCCAGCCTAGGTGACAGAGCAAGACTCGGTCTCAACAACAACAAAAAGAGCTCTGGAGATGGATGGTGGTGACAGTTGCACAACAATATGAATGTATTTCATACTACTTTAAAATGGTTAAGATAATAAATTTTATGTTACATGCATTTTACTATGATTAAAATATCGGACAAAATATAGCTCCAATAAGGTGACTTTAGAGACTTTTTTTTTTTTTTGGAAACAGAGTCTTGCTCTGTCACCCAGGTTAGAGTGCAGTGGTGCAATTCTGACTCACTGCAACCTCCGCCTCCCAGGTTCAAGCGATTCTCCCACCTCAGCCTCCTGAATAGCTGGGACTACAGGTGCCCGCCACCACACCCGGCTAATTTTTGTATTTTTAGTAGAGACAGGGTTTCACCATGTTGTCCAGGCTGGTCTGGAACTCCCGGCCTCAAATGATCTGTCCACCTTGGCCTCCCAAAGTGCTGGGAGTACACGCATGAGCCACCACATCCAGCCTGAATTTAAAGACTTTTGTCCTCAATACATGTACATTTTACCAGGTTAGTTGAATTTAAATTGCACTGAAAAAAAATTTTTTTTAAATATCAATGATCTAAACATCTACCTCAAGAAGTCAGAGGAAGACAAAACTGTCCTGTTACAGGTCTTGAGGCTACAAGAATGACTAGGGATCAAGGATAAGAGTACTCTTCACAGTGCTTTGGAAGAGTTAAGTGTCTTCTGTCTGGAACCAGGAAAGAGTGTAAGATAAAATGCAAATACTAACTCCAGGCCTCACCACTTCTGAAAACTACACATGATGTGTCTGGACAAGGTACTCTGACTCCCAAGCCCTGCAAGCCTCCAGGCCTCCCCATGCCTCAACACAGTCTGGCACAGGGCATGGGACCACCTGCAGCTGCTCACCAGTGTTGCGGATGATGTAATCCAGCACCACCAACCGCTCAAACTGGAGCAGTAGTTGCCGGTTAGTGTTCTCAGGAAGAGGTTCTGCTTCAAAACGCCGCAGCCAATAGTCTGCATCTTTGTAGCCTTCAACAAAGAGCTGGAATGAACCAACCTGGAACCAAGAGGAAGGAACAAAGGTTTTTCCCTACTGCCCAAATCCAAAGACCTTTGGAGTATATGCCAGATACCCATTAAGGCCCTATGGAGTTTGTATCAGAGAAGGAAAACTTTTCAAGATCTTTACTTCCTCATTTCTTGCAAGTACAGGAGAAAAGAGATGTAACAGTGATCATCCATCCAAATTAAAGAACCTATCCAAATGAACCAGAGGAGTAAAGTGAAAAGTTAGGTCTCAACTTTTCAAACCTTAGCCACTTGACAGAAATAAGGAAGACAGGATCCTCAGGGCAGGTTATTCACGTGCCCATATTTGAGTTGTAGGCACCTTGCTTCACCACTTGGATGACTATGTCACTATAAATCATGACCCTTGATAAGCCAGAGGTGCGTCTATACCTTTGGTGGTAGCCCGATGCGGTTAAACCGCTGTCCAACTTTTGGCACTTTCTCTAGTGCAAGCCGCTTGCCCCTGGACTTCACTCGGTCAATGGCACTATAGTTGAAGGTCTCACTGGCCAGGTATACTACCTACAGTGAAAGAGAAGAGATACTAAGGTTAGAGTCAAGTTTAAGGAACCAGAAGACTATGGCAGAGAATAAATAGCTTGATGTTCACAAATCCTATTCCTCTTCCAGGGCACAGAAAGAATACATTTCTCAGCCTTCCCAGCAACTAGGAGAGGGAAGATAACTAGTTTGGGCCAATGAAATAATGACAAAATTATGTATGTACAACACTTCCACTGCTGGCAACTAAAATCTCCCACAATCCTTAATTCACATTCTCCAGTCTGTGCAGCTAGGAAAGAAGGGCTGGGAAATAGCAGAGCCACACCATGGAAGAACCTCGGATACCTTGTAACTACATGAGTGATGTGGTATCTAGGAGAGCTGCCTATCTGGCATGAGTCTGAGATGTAATCAAGAAATACACTCCTGGCCAGGCGTGGTGGCTCACACCTGTAAACCCAGCACTCTGAGAGGCCGAGGTGGGCAGATCACTTGAGGTCAGGAGTTCGAGACCAGCCTGGCCAACATGGTTAAACCCCGTCTCTACTAAAAATACAAAAATTAGCCAGGCATGGTGGTGCACGTCTGTAATCCTAGATACTTCGGAGGCTGAGGTGGGAGGATGGCTTGAACCTTGGAGGCAGAGGTTGCAGTGAGCCAAGATCGCACCACTGCACATTCTATCCTGGGTGACAGAGGGAGACTCTGTCCCAAAAAAAATATGATAAAAAAGAAATACAATCCAATTGTATTAAACCACTTAGATTTAAGGGTTGTTACAGCAGCTAGTATGAAGTACAAGGATTAACACTGTCATCTCCTGGGTTAGATTAGGCCAAATGCCCATCTTCTTTCCAGAGACAAACAAGTTGCAATTTACTCTGTACCCCTTCATTTCCTTTTGAAAAAAAATTTTTTTTTTTTTTTTTTTTTGAGACAGAGTCTCACTCTGTTGCCCAGGCTGGAGTGCAGTGGCACAGTCTCGGCTCACTGCAACCTCCAAGTCCCGCATTCAAGCAATTCTCATGCCTCAGCCTCCCAAGTAGCTGGGATTACAGGTGTGTGCCACCACTCCTGGCTAATTTTTGTATTTTTAGTAGAGAGAGGGTTTCACCATGTTGGCCAGGCTGGTCTTGATCTCCTGACCTCAGGTGATCCTCCTACCTCGGCCTCCCAAAGTGCTGGGATTACAGGCATGAGCCACTGTGCCCGGGCCCTTTTGAATTTTTTTACTTTGTGAAATTATTCGTATTCAAAACACAAACATTAAAATTGGTTTTCATTTTAATTAACTGCTATTTTTATGTATAGGCTATACACTGTAATCCTGGCTGCCTCTGAGGAAGGAAACTGAATGGCCAGGAGATAGGGGTAGCAGGGAGTCTGAATTACTTTTCTCTGTTTACCCTATGTGCCTTCTGATTTTTATACTAGATGCATGCATTACTTATTCTAAAAAAAATTTTTATGAGCCATCAATATTATACTTAAGTCAAATTGCAGTGACGTAATTGTAATCCACATATGCATCTATTGTCACACTTATCACATTGTCTTGTAATTATCCATTTGTATATCTAACTCCTCCTTTAAAATGAATGAGATTTGAGGAAGCGGAGAACATCTTATTTATATTAGCATCCACAGCACCTAACACAGTAGCTGGCATATGCTCATTAAATATTTATTAAGTGAATGAAGAATGAGTTACAAGCTTCTTTCAGAGACAGCAACAAGTGAGTTTTAGCATATAAATACCTAAAATCAAACTTATAAGAAAGGTATTTTCCTAAGCCTTGTAAAATTTATTACAAATAACTATTTTTTTTCCCATGAACCTGAGAGGCAAAATAACTGCCTCTCATCTATCGCTCCATGCTACCATCTAGTATTAATAGACTACCTAAAATGGATGTGCATGGTACTGTAGTAGGCACTCCCTGCCTTACAAATCAGAAAACTCAGGCATAGGAATGAAGGAAAAAGAGCTTTCCTAAGGCTACCTTGCCAGTGTCCACAGTGAAACTCCTGGCTCTCTCAAGCCATAAATCCCCTTTTGCCCCCATCATATTTATTTTCTATCATTCTTCCTAACAAACCACTTTTTCCCCATGACTAATGAAACTATCATAACCTGAAACCTCATAGGAGCAGAGAGCAGAGACAGCCAGTGAGTGAGAATTAGAGCCTTACCATTTGAAGTTCCAATGCAATGTGAACCTTGTTTCTATAATGACAGATGCTCTGATCAACTGGATAGAGTCCTGTCACAAGAGTTGGGGAGACAGGGAGAGGAGTCCTCTTACTATTCTCCAGCAGCTATATGTTAAGCTTCCAAAGTTCTGTCTCATCTCAGTCTCATGGAAGACAAGTATTTTTTTTTTTTGAGACGGAGTCTCGCTCTGTTGCCCAGGATAGAGTGTGGTGGCACAATCTCAGCTCACTGCAACCTCTGCCTTCCAGGTTCAAGCGATTCTCCTGCCTCAGCCTCCCAAGTAGCTGGGATTACAGGCACGCACCACCATGCTCAGCTAAGTTTTGTATTTTTAGTAGAGACAGGGTTTCACCCTGTTGGCCAGGCTGGTCTCGAACTCCTGACCTGAGGTGATCCACCCACTTAGGCCTCCCAAAGTGCTGGGATTACAGGCGTGAGCCAATGAGCCCAGCCAAGACAAGTATTTTTGTTGTTGCTGACTTTCTGATGCAAAAGATCCTCAGGCCTCGTGAAGGTTCTCTAACAGGGAAAGAGGAAGACCAAAGATAGGGACGAAAGGGATTGTGGGGGTGACACTAACGATTAGAATAGCTGATAAAAATATCACAGGCTAACATATGGAGGGTTTACGTTGTGCCTGGCACTCACTCAGCTATGTGCTTCATATAGGCTGTCTTGTGTAATATTGATGGCCACTCTACAAAGTAGGAACTATTTATATCCCTATTTTTACAGTAAGGAAACTGAGCCTAGGGAGGTTACATGACTTGCCCAAGTGTTACACAAATCAAAAACTGCAGAGCAAGAATTCAAACTCAAGTCCTCTGATTCTTGGGCACCACACTCCAGAAGCACCAACAGAGCAGGTAGGCATAGAGCCAGACACGGTCTGCTATTTGCCTAGTAAAGGAAGAAAACTATAGAGTGATAAGCAAGGAGAATGTAAAAGTTTCTAGAGTCTAAGAGGAGCCTAGTAGAAGCATTTCAGGTTAGGAGACTTAAGAACATTAATTATCATACAAGATGTTCAAAGCATGCTGTAAAACTATCTGCACAGAGAGGGAAAAGTAAGGCATAAAGAGAAGGAATGAGCTGTACAAAGCCAGGCAGTGAATTAGATGTGAAATGGGAACTAGAAGCCTGGTCAAACATTTTCTCGCTAGACCTAAAGTTGGAAGAACTTTGGTATTGTTTCTCATGATTTCATATTCATTTACTGACTCAGCTGGTACTTCATGAATGCTTACTATAAATATAGTATTTTGCTAGGTGCTGAGAATGAGAGAGGAAATCTTGAGAAGTGGTCTCTGACTTCTATAACTTACAAACTAGTTGGCTAATTGTTTGGAGTTTAGTAGCAAAGGAGCAGACATGGTTAAATATCCACAATAGTCACATTTTCCTCTCAAACGGAAGGGAAGTTTCTACTGCTGATCAATCTCTTTGCTCATAGAATCTGCTATCTAAACCTGAGAAGACATCTTTAAGGCTGGGTGTGGTGGCTCACACTTGTAATCCCAGCACTTTGGGAGGCCAAGGCAGGAGGATAGCTTGAGCCCAGGAGTTCAAGACCAGCCTGGGCAAAACAGGGAGACCTTGTCTCTACAAAAAATTAAAAAAAAAAAAAATTAGCCAGGCATGGTGGCACATGCCCGTAGTCCCAACCTGAGAGGCTGAGGTGGGAGGACTGCTTGAGCCTGGGAGGTCAAGGCTGCAGTGAGTTGTGATCATGCCACTGCACCCCAGCCTGGGCAACAGAGCAAGACCCTGTCTCTAAAAATAAGAAAGAAAAGAAAACTTTAAGCAGAGGGATTTTAATCTAGAGACATGCTCCCTGGGGTGTCAACAGATAGACTGCAACGTTTATGAACCATTGCCCTAAAATTATACACAAAACAATAATTGCAAATATATGTACTTTTTCTGGAAAGGGGGTCTATAGGTTTCATCAGATTCTCAAAGAGTTATTTACTAAATAACTAAATAAATTTAGTTTTAGTTATTTAGTAAATAACTAAATAAACTAGCATAGACTAGTTAAGACTAAGCACGGAGCCAGGATTGTTTAGATGACTCAGCAGCCTCAGGGCATCAGATGAGAGTCCCACCTAAGTTGTTACTAAACCCCAGGTAGCCACGTACTCAGTGAATGATGTGTCCGGACATGTTCATATGCTGACCAGTAGATTCCTTCCCCTCATAACCTTTGGTGAGTTTCATGGAATACCTTGTAGTGCAGGGGTTCTTAGCCTGGTGTCAGTAAACTCCCTCAAATTGTATGCAATCAATTCTGTATTCAAGCATATTGGTGGGGGTGGGGGTTGGGGGAGACCTCAACTATGTCTATAACACATACAAGATGTGTATGAATCCATTCTGAGTGTGAGTTTGCCTAGATCTGGCACCCCTATTTTGATGTGTTCAGACAAGTCCCAAAATTCGACAGCATAAAGATAAGTTAGAAATATTCCATGTCAGTTCCCTGTAGGGTTCAGGCCAGACCATTGTTCTAACCCTCAGCCTGTCCTAAAGTCTTCCTTGTCAGACCCTGCAGAAGTTCTTAGCTGTCATCAGCCAGTCCTAGACTGTATCGAAATGCTGGGATGGCTCAGAAGTCTGAGAGTAAGCCACAAAGTCACTAGGTTTCTAACTAGCTTGGGGTTAGCTGGGATTCAAAGACCAAGGGAGCCATAAACATGCAGTAGAAGTTTGTGAATTTCCTAAAATTGTATGCAAAAATTGTGTGTGTATCCTTCAAAAGATAGCCTTCATCAGGTGATCAAATCATAAGCCTAATCCTGCCATCCTCCCGAAAAAAGATCGAGAACCCAGACTTAGGGTATAAATGACCCCACTGGACCCAAGGTCCCACTAACATGTAGCAGGGCTTAGGCCCCAGGAAAACTGTGGCCAGGCAGTAAGGCTTCCTGGAGATGGGTCACTGACCTTTGTACGGGGAACAATGTTGAGTTCCAGTTTTTGGTCCACCAGGCTGGCCCCTGCTTCTGAGAGATAGCCCTGGTTAAGGACAAGGCAGTCACGGCCAAAGCAGCAAGGACAGCACAGCTTCTGCAGCCACTTGGTCCACTTAGGATTAAGATGCCCATAGGGCTCTTCATTCTTGGGTTTGAAGACAGCAATGATCCTCTACAGAGACCAAAGAAAAAGAGGATGTTAAATCCGAGTTGACCAAAATAGCCCACAGACCAAGTCAGCAGGAATCTGGAAAGAAATGACAGGGCATAGGCAGACAATTCCTACTTACAGTTGGACTCAGGTTTCTCCCAGTTGGTAAGGGGAAGACACCAGCTCGTGTGTGCAGCTAAGAGACCCACTGCTAGAAAGGGTTGTGGCCAAAGAACATCTTAAGTCTTCTCTTTCTTCCTTGCTCCTTTTTCCCTCTTCTCCATCTCTTTTCCCTCATATAAGTACCTACCTCTAACTTTGTGCTTCAAACAAACAAGGTAAATGGATTGCTACATTTCTAGGAGCAAGACACAGAAGCAGGCCAGGTACAAGGGTTCATGCCTGTAATCCCAGCACTTTGGGAGGCCAAGGCGGGTGGATAATTTGAGGCCAGGAGTTTGAGACCAGCCTGGCCAACATGGCGAAACCCTGTCTCTACTAAAAATACAAAAAGTAGCTGGGCGCGGTGGTGCACACCTGTAATTCCAGTTACTTCAGAGGCTGAGGCATGAGAATCACTTGAACCCATGGGGCGGAGGTTGCAGTGAGCCTAGATTGCCCACACTGCATTCCTCACCCTGGGCGACCAAACGAGACCCTGTCTCACAAAAAAAAAAAAAAAAGGTACAGAAGCCAATTCAGTGGTAGATCGTGAGTCACTGGCAGCATCTAATGCCAATATGGTACTGCTTCCTGCCCTCCAGAAAGATACAATATCCTAATGCACATATCGAGGGCTCTAAAGTAATCTTTCCCCCAAAAAAATGAGGAATTAACTTATCACAGGTTATATGTTCTCTTTTTTTGCATGCACCCCTGCCCTATTTATCCTACGGGATCTTTCTGTATGTGGTATGCCAGAAATTTAACATCATAAACTCTAATTTCCGAAGTTACATTATGCACACTGTTGTTCTGCACCAATTACAGAAAGACTAAAAACTTTACCAACTGGAAGGAAGTAAAGAAGGTATTATGGGCCGGGCATGGTGGCTTACGCTTGTAATCCCAGCACTTTGGGAGGCCAAGGTGGGCAGATAACCTGAGGTCAAGAGTTCGAGACCAGCCTGGCCAACATGGTGAAACCCTGTCTCTACTAAAAATACAAAAATTAGCTGGGCATGGTGGCATGCACCTGTAATCCCAGCTACCCGGGAGGCTGAGGCAGGAGAATCACTTGAACTCAGGAGGCGGAGGTTGCAGTGAGCTGAGATCACGCCACTGCACTCCAGCCTGGGTGACAAGACCAAGCCTCTGCCTCAAAAAAAAAAAAAAAAAAAAAAAAAAAAAAATCTATTATGGAATGAGGTTAAGGAAATTCCTTCATCAATGATGAAGAGATTTCCTCTCGCAGCCTTATTATCCAAAGAGAAAAATCACAGCAGGAAAAAGACTCTGCTACTTGGTTAGAATGAAGCTCTCTTAAGTAATTCTGATAGGCAAGAAACCAGGACATGAGATGCCACACAGATTAAATCCATCTTCTATAGCAGACAGTAACTTAATCTTCTAAGGTCTTTGGAAATATGGGATGCCTAGAAACTATGGCCCTCCCTCCTGAGTGTTTTCTTCAACAGGCCAGTCAGCCCTCTGAGGTTGTTTTACATTCATCTAATTCCCTCCAGTCCCCAAACTGGTAATTCAAAGGAAAAAAGCAAATATGCTATCCAAGTGATTCATCCTCATATCATATGACTCTCCTTGTCCCCTCACCCCACAGCCTACTCAAGCTAGTCTGGGTCATAAGATATTTTTCTGTGGGTGTCACTTCCTGAATGGCAGGTCACAGCAGACAACATACACCCATCTGCTTTTACCAACTCAGTACTCATATTAGGAACTAGCTAGGTCCATGTCGCTAACAATAACTGGTCGATCTTGAAGCCAGCTCCTTTAAAAATGCCTTCCAAGGATTTGAGAGGACAAGAAAAATACAGAACTCCTCCTTCTCCCTCCAAAAAGAATCAATTTATTCTTAAAGACAAACTAACTTATTTACTGGCAAATGCAAAATGCATATATTCACATCATAAGTCTTCAGAATTACTTTCTTATGCAAAGCAGCTAGCTAGAGTCCTCAGCAGTCTTCTCTGTCTCTGCTCCCCTGGAACCCCAGCCTCTGAATAACAAAGCAGCAGTAGCAACAGGCTCACAACTCAGAGAATGACTGACGAGTCCACTGTAACCCTCCGGACCCTGGACAGGGAAACCAAAAGGCAACTTGAAGCATGTCCCAGAACGCAACAGTCAGTTCAACTGAGGCACATTATGGAGTTCAGTAAGCTGGTCCTCAATGAAAAGGAGGCCAAGACACTCCTACTACTACTGGGGGCTGAAAAATACCAGGGCTGAGGTCAACTGGTAAATACTTCTACTTAAAGACAGAAAAAGTTGGGCATGGTGGCTCATGCCTATAAGCCCAGCACTTTCAGAGGATGAGGCAGGATTGCCTGAGGCCTGGAGTTTGAGACCAGTTTGGGCAATACCACAAGACTCTGTCACTAATTTTTAAAAATTAGCCGGGAATCATGCCTGTAATCCCAGCACTTTGGGAGGCCAAGGAGGGTGGATCACCTGAGGTCAGGAGTTCGAGACCAGCCTGACCAACATGGAGAAACCCCATCTCTACTAAAAATACAAAATTAGCCAGGCATGGTGGCACATGCCTGTAGTCCCAGCTACTCGGGAGGCGAGGCAGGAGAATCGCTTGAACCTGGGAGGTGGAGGTCGCAGTGAGCCGAGATCATGCCATTGCACTCCAGCCTGGGCAATGAGCGAAATAGCATCTCAAAAAAAAAAAAAAAAAAAATTAGCTAAGTGTGGTGGTATGCACCTGTAGTCCCAGCTACTCGGCGGGGAGAATCCCTTGTGCCTAGGAGATCAAGGCTGCAGTGAGCTAGAAGCATGCCACTGCACTGTAGCCTGGGTGACAGAGCAAGACCCCATCTCTAAAAAAGAAAAATTAAACAACAACAACAAAAAAAAAGCAAGCAGAACTTGAAGGCCAAGATTGCAGTCAAGTGTCATTTAAAGACTGACCTCTCAAACATCTTGATTTCCTTCTACCATAAGGAGAATAAGAAGCATTTCAATGACTCCAAAAGCATGAGTAATTATGGTTATGCAATAGTACAGGGGTTTTATTAAAGAATACTGCCTGGACTAGATCAATGAGGGAATGTTAGAGTATGAAGAATGGAGGAACAAAAGGGCATTCAGACAGAAGGGGAGACAAGTGCCTTTCAGGACTAAGTGTAAGCCTCAGTTCAATTCAATTATGTTAGCATTTGCTCAGGACCTAGCCTGTGGAGAACGATGTGCAAGCATTCTGCAGGCATTTGGTGGCTTTCCTAGACAGAGAGGTAAAATACCCTCTGGCCTAATTTCCAATGTTCACTTCATAAAATCAACTATGCTACTGAATAATCAAGAATACTCTTCTCATTCATGGAGAACAAACTCTAAAACCACTCAAATTGGAAAGACACCCACCAGTATTTAGCTGGAAAAGAAAATGACTACTGCCTAATTTTTCCTCACCATCCACTCTCTTCTTTAATATTTTGTGTTTTTTTTCTCTTAATAGATTTTCAATTCCTTTATTATATCTAGGAGAGAGCTTCAGTTTGATGCCAATATTATAAAAACAACTTTTCTTAACACCCATTTACTAATCTCCCCTTTTAACAAAGGAGGGGTGAGGTACAGATAGCTTAAGCAGTAGCAGTCCATGAAGTTGGGAATAAAAACCAAATCACACAAGAAAGCAAGAGGCCATGCACCAGCTGGTGTCAGAACCCACAACCAATTACTGGAACCTGAGCCCAGCGCAGTGGCTCACACTTATAATCCCAGCACTTGGGAGGCCAAGGCAGGTGGATCATTTGAGGTCAGGAGTTCAAGACCAGCCTGGCCAACATGGTGAAACCCCATCTCTACAAAAAAAAAAAATAGAAAAAATTAGCCGGGCATGGTGGCATGCACCTGTAGTACCAGCTACTCAGGAGGCTGAGGCGGGAGAATCGCTTGAACCCAGGAGGTGGAAGTTGCAGTGAGCCAAGATCACACCACTGCACTCCAGCCTGGGCAACAGAGCTAGACCCCCCTCTCAAAACAAACAACAACAAAAAATTACTGGAACCTGGAACCCAGCGGGGTTCCTATATCTAATCAGCAATGACAAGGAGGAGGGTGTCATGCTATGCTAAAAGAGGTCCTTTCTCCAAGAACCTAAAATGTAAGACAGTTCAAGCATATCATTCACATCGCACAGTGAAATATACAGAAATTACCTTTTATAAAAGTCTTCTTTTAAAGTTTCATAAACATTAAGTGGATAGTTCTCAAACGTTTTGGTCTCAAAAAGTTTAAACTCTTAAAAATTAGGCTGGGTGTGGTGGCTCATGCCTGTAATCCCAGTACTTTGGGAGGCCAAAGCGGGTGGATCACCTGAGATCAGGAGTTTGAGACCACCCTGGCCAACATGCTGAAATCCTGTCTCTACTAAAAATACGAAAATTAGCCGGGCATGGTGGTGGGCGCACCTGTAATCCCAGCTACTTGGGAGGCTGAAGCAGGAGAATTGCTTGAACCCAGGAGGCAGAGGTTGCAGTGAGTCGAGATCATGCCTGATCTAGCCTGAGCGACAGAGTGAGGCTCCATCTCAAAAAAAAAAAAAAAAATTATTAAGGACTCCAAAAAGCATTTGTTAATGTGGGTAAAGGCTATATCTCATATCTTAGTATTCAATCTGTTTCAATATCACACATCATGTAGTCTCTGGAAATCTCCACTCTCCACTCCTAAGTAAATGAGAATGAAAAAGGCAAATAAAGTCTTAGAATTATGATGAAAATAATTTTGACCTGTGGACCCCAAAAAGGAACTCCCAGAGGTCAAGATCCCTGGGCCACACTCTAAGAACTGCTGTATTCTATGGTATAGGTTGGAGGAAAATAGTAGTCCTTGATTTAGCTATTTAGGTAGAGAAGCCTTATTTACAAGTTCATTCTTACAAAAGGAAGGGAAGGGCTTGTTGAAATATATAAAACCATCCAGGCACAGTGGCTCACACCTGTAATCCCAACACTGGGAGGCCAAGGCTGCAATGAGCCAAGGTTGTGCCACTGCACTCCAGCCTGGGCGACAGGGTGAGAAACTGTCTCAAAAATATATATATAATAAAATATAATAAAATTATTTTACTAAAACGTTAAGAGGCAGTCAAGTTTGTCATACATGTAGGTCTCGAGATTTTAAGCATCATCTACCAACTTTTTTTTTTTTTTTTTTTTGAGATAGAGTCTTGCTGTCTCGCCCAGGCTGGAGAGCAGTGGCACGATCTTGGCTCACTGCAAGCTCCGCCTCCCGGGTTCACGCCATTCTCCTACCTCAGCCTCCCGAGTAGCTGGGACTACAGGTGCCCGCCACCACGCCCGGCTAATTTTTTGTATTTCTAGTAGAGATGGGGTTTCACCATGTTAACCAGGATGGTCTCTATCTCCTGACCTTGTGATCCGCCCGCTTCAGCCTCCCAAAGTGCTGGGATTACAGGCGTGAACCACTGCGCCCCATCTACCAACTCTTATAGCCTTATTCGATACCATGTACCCCAAGAACCCTAATTAAGCAGTTAGTAGGAATGTTTTTAAAAATCTGATTGAGCTGCCCCAACTAAGTGCCAGGAACTACGTCAGGGCTTTCATGTGTGATATGTCATTTAATCCTCTTAACCTAGTGAGTCACATGCTGTCCTATGATTCTTGGCAATGTGAAAATCTAGTATTACTCCACGCAAAAGAGAAAAAGCTCAAAAAACCCTTTTGCAGTTGAGTGAGCATGAGACCTGAAGCACAAGGAGGTAAGTGAGGGGGGTATGTGTATACTCTCCCCATGACTTCTAGCATTTTCCATCTGTTCTTGGACCCCACTGAGACAGAAACCATCCAAAATTGAGAAATGGGACCAGGGCTGTTATCTTCAAGAATCTTTCAGACTGTCTAAGATCCAAAAGTGGCTGTCGCAGAAAGTGCTGGTTCTCCCAATCTCTGTTCCCCCTTGTTCCCTAGACACAAGACCCATGATTTTTACCTGGGCGAAAAAAGAAAAAAGACTATAGTTCCCAGCCACTACTACAGCTAAGTTTTAGACAATGGAATGTAAGTAGAAGAGTCTCCTACAACTTCTACGAAGTGCCTTAAAGGATGGGGGCATATTCACCCTCTCCCTTTCCTTCTTCCAAATGGCTGAAAAGCAGACAAGATGTTTGCAGCTTGAGCGGCCATCTTGGACCATGTAGTAGAAGCCATATCCTAAAGATGGCTGATCAGCTGGCAGGAAGAACCCTATGTCTCCAATAAAGTGAAATGTCATGCCAGCCCTGAGCATGCCTGAGCAGCTAGCCTATAGACTTCTTTTACATGAGGTGTAAATGAACCTTTTTTCAAGTCATCATTATTTTAAAATATCTGTCACATATAGTCAAATTCAATACTAACCAATATAGTAGCTGAGAAGAGAATTTAGAAATTCTTTTCTTTTGTTTTGTTTTTGAGACGGAGTCTCACTCTGTCGCCCAGGCTGGAGTGCAGTGGTACGATCTCGGCTCACTGCAACCTCCACCTCCCAGGCTCAAGCAATTCTCCTGCTTCAGCCTCCCGAGTAGCTGGGATTACAAGTGCCTGCCACAGTGCTCGGCTAATTTTTGTATTTTTAGTAGAGATGGGGTTTCACCATGTTGACCAGGCTGGTCTCGAACTCCTGACCTCCAGTGATGCGCCTGCCTCGGCCTCCCAAAGTGCTGAGAGTACAGGCGTGAGCCACCGCACCTGTCCAGAATATGGAAATTCTGATGACTGACTCTGAGGGAGCAAAGGATAGTGGTGAGAACATGAACTCCACAGCCAACCCGCCTTGGCCCAATCCTGCCTCTACCACTTACTAGGTGTGAGACCTTGGAAAAATTTGTTATACCATGGGCTTGTGTTGTCACCTGCGGGGATAATAACAGTACCTACCTCCAAGGGTGGTTATAAAGATTAAGTGAGTTATTATTTGTAAAGCACTTAAAGGAATATAGTAAATGCTATGTAAGTATTTGTTTAATAAAGTAAATACATTTGGAGGAGAGCCAAAGATGACAATTCCAACTACAGTAAGTCTGTGGGCCAGTCTAACCCACCGCAAGCATTTAGAAAGTGCCCTTTGTTCTAAATCACATTTTCTTCACTGGAAGCAGTATGAGTACGTCAAAAAGTTTTGTCAGGGCATCTGTGTTTGGACTTCCCCTATGAGAAAGGATAGTGGCCAGGAAATTTTAGAGACTGGAATCCCTAAATCACCAAGTAACATACCTATGGTCTGTCCTTCTCTGTGGCCTATGTACTGAGATGGTAGTACTTTACCTGCCAGGTAGAATTAAGAGATCGTATTACTTCCATCTGTCAAAGCACCAGCTCACTTCTCAGCTGACCTAACCCACTTCCAATGCAGCTCTAACAGTGTCATGAAAGAAAAACAAAAATATTCCTCCTTCTCCTGTACCTATCAAAGATAATCTTAGCCCCTTCTTACATTTGCCAACAAACTAAAAATACCCTCTGCCCACAAAAAAAGGACAGGCATGGTGGGTCACACCTGTAATCCCAGCACTTTGGGAGGCTGAGGCAAGAGGATGACTGCTTGAAGCCAGGAGTCTGAGACCAACCAGGGCAACATGGCGAGACTCTTGTCTCCATGAAAAATAATTTTTAGCCGGGTGTGGTGGTGCGTGCCTGTAGTCCCAGCTACTCGGAAGCTGAGTGGGAGGACCTTGAGCCCTGGATGTCAAGGCTGCAGTGAGCAGTGAGACTGCACCACTGCACTCCAGCCTGGGTGTCAGAGTGAGACCTTCTCTGAAAGAAAGAAAGACGAGAAAGAGAGAATGAATGAAAGAAAGAAAGAAAAAGAAAGAAAGAGAAAGAAAGAAAGGAAAGAAAGGAAGGAAGGAAGGAAGGAAGGAAGGAAGGAAGGAAGGAAGAAAGAAAGAAAGAAAGAAAAAGAAAGAAAGAAAGGAAGGAAGGAAGGAAGGAAGGAAGGAAGGAAGGAAGGAAGGAAGAAAGAGAAAGCAAGCAAGCCTCTGGCTGACATTTAAACCTCAGGGCACTCACATTTCTTTGCTTCTAGAAATGATGGTTCCCACTTGAGCTTGCAAGCTCTTTTATTTAAGAAACTTGGAGGCCGGGCGCGGTGGCACGCCTGTAATCCCAGCGCTTTGGGAGGCCGAGGTGGGCAGATCACAAGGTCAAGAGATCGAGACCATCCTGGCCAACATGGTCTCTACTAAAAATACAAAAATTAGCTGGGTGTGGTGGTGCACGCCTGTAGTCCCAGCCACTCAGGAGGCTGAGGCAGGATAATTGCTTGAACCTGGGAGGCGGAGGCTGCAGTGAGCTGAGATCGCGCCACTGCACTCCAGCCTGGCGACAGAGCAAGACTCTGTCTCAAAAAAAAAAGAAAAAAAAAAAGAAAAAGAAACTTCGAAAGACTTATTACTCGCAAAGCTTTCCCCAACTCAGTTTATGTAAACTGAGAAACTGAGTTCATGGCAGAATTGTTCTCTAATTCTTGATTAATTCAGGGACGACTCAAACTCTGAGTGAATAACTAGATCATTCAATGAGCCGAACCAAGAGCTACAAGTAACAGCCCGTCCTGGCCACTCAGGACTCCTATTAAAACAGCACCCTGGCCATCTAAAGAGTTCACACAGGAGAGATGTCAGGGAAAATCTGAGGAAACTTTGACACCCATAATTTAAATAACAATACATCTTTCCAATGACCCATTGCAGCACACCTGAAAATTTCCCTGAAACTTCCCTGAAAACAGGGAAGACTTGGTATTTCTTAAATTCTGCAGTTCTCAAAAGGATAAAGGTCACTTCTCAGATACCCTGGTCACTCCATGCCCCATCCTATAACCATCCCCCTTTATATACAGGCAGGGGACAAAATAAAGGTCGGCAAACGCTCTGCCTTAGTTGAAAAGCAGGCTGTTGATAGCCCTGGGAGAGAAATGAAAGAAAAAGTAGCTGATGGCCCCATGTTTCTAAAACTCCAAGTTCTATCTAAACTTTGGAGTCGTCAAAAAGTATTTGAACCCTTTCCCAGAAGTGAGCAATACCCAGGGCAGATGAAACTGGTGAGTCCGCCCATTCTTTCTTCAACGTCTGTTAATAAGAGCTGGGACGGTGGCAGGGGACATCCCCCACAACATAGAAGGCTGGAACTGAATTCTCAGATCCCCTGATAGGTCACCCATCCTCCTCCGTGAACAGCGACACACTGGTTCGGTCGGTCCAAAAAGAGAGAACAGGCCTAAAGCCCCAAATCTGCAAGTCGGCGGCCGAATAGCTGTCCCAGTAGTGTGAAGCTAAGTACCCTACTAGAAAGCAGTCTCTGTCCAGCGGCGGATTGCCCCACCACACCGCTGAGCCCCCGGCCCGTATCTGGTCAATTTCCTCTTTTCATTTTCCGCTCACTCCTCCCCCACCAAGTAGGTTCTGATTTATTTCTCCATTCCGCAGAGCGTCCCCAGCTCCAGTCCTCAGTGGCATCCCTAAATCCTGCCAGGGGCTGGTACTGTGAAGTTTCTCCCTTTTCCCTCTGGCTGTGCGAAGCCCCCAACTCCCCAGGAGCGCCGCCGGCCCTCAGCCCGCGGCGGCGGTCCCCACCCCCGCACTCACCCCCTGAGGGTCCTTGACGAAGTAGCTTCCGCTGGAGCCCTGGTAGATGCGCTCGGGAAAGATGCAGCGCTCGATGGCCAGCTCGGCCTGCCGCACCACCGCCTCGAACTCAGGATCCTCCGGGAACTCGTTCCGCTCGCGGTGGGCCTGAGCGGCGTGGGCTGCCGCCGCGGCCTGAGCGGCCAGAGCCTGGGCCTGCGCCGCCACGGTTTGGGTCTGGCCCTGGGCCGCCGCGCCCCGGGCCCGATCCAACAGTGGCTGCCGCTCGCGGTCGTGGCCCGGCGAGCCCGGCGGAGAGGGGCCCGAGCCGGCCGCCGCCGCCACTCGGACCGCGCCCCCGGGCACCTGCGGAAAGTGAGCGCCCGAGCCCGACGGGAAGGTGTAGTCCGGGGGTTGGGCCCGCTCGGGGGACACTAGTGGGCTCGTCTCGTCCATCCCTCAGACAGCCGGCTCCGGGACCCGGCGCGCTCCACACCACTGCGCTCGCGGCCGCGACCAATCCGTGACATCCCCCAGGCCCCGGCCGGCCAACCAGGTCGCGACGCCTCCTTGGCCCCGCCTCTAACCTGCCCTGTTTACTTGGCTACGAATAGGCACGGCCCCTCGCGCGCGAACAGTAGCCAATCAGAACCTGCTCCTACGCAATCGCTGCCTCCGCATTTTTCTCCCCGTCACCTTCTGTGAAGACTGCGCATGCTCCAGGACCCAACCTTGGGTCAGGCACGCCCCCTGCCCCTACTATACCAGCGCCACGCTTAGCTTCCAATTGGCTTACTGGACTTGGGCGCTTTCAAAACAGCAACTATCCTGTCAGTCACTCATTGAGTGCCTACTCTGAACCGGCTGTGAGATTGGAGGAATCTCATCTATGTATCCTCATTCATTCAGTCAGGCACTCATTCATTTATTGAGCACGTACTATGTTCTAAGTGCTAGGGAGACAGCAGTGAAGCAAAGAAACAAAGCTGCTGCTCTACCTCGATGAAACGTTTTTTTTGGGGCGGGGGGTTTGTTTTTTGGGTTTGTTTTTTTTTTTTTTTTGAGACAGAGTGATCAGTCTCCAAAAAAAAAACGACAGAGGTCAAGTGATCTGCCCACCTCGACCTCCCAAAGTGCTGGGATTACAGGTGTGAGCCACTGCGCTTGGCCTGGAAGTAGGTTTTTAAAGGAAAAGAGGCAGTTCCTAACTTGTTTACCAAGAATTTACATTAAAATAACAAGTTATAGATTGGCTATACATTGTACTTTGTATCCCAAATTCGTATCTCAGTTGACCTAACATACTTCCAATGTAGATGTAACAATGTCAGGTTACACTTCAAGTTCGCAGGAACTTGAAGGTAATGGGTGAAGTAGCCAGTCAGGATAAAATGTCTTAACAATTGCCTCCAGGTTTTCCTAGGAAGCCCTGAAGATTTCTTTTTAAAATATTATTATTATTTTTTTAGAGTTAGGTTATCTCTATGTTGCCTGGGCTGGTCTTGAACTCCTGGCCTCAGGCGATCCTCCTCCCTCAGTCTCCCAGAGTGCTGGGGGATTACAGGTGTGAACCACCCACAGTGCAGCCAAAAAATAAAAAATTTTTAAAAGAAAAAAACCCGCCAGGCACAGTGGCTCACGCCTGTAATCCCAGCACTTTGGGAGGCTGAGGCAGGCGGATCACCTGAGGTCGGGAGTTCAAGACCAGCCTGACCAACATGAAGAAACCCTGTCTCTACTAAAAATACAAAATTAGCCGGGCATGGTGGCACATGCCTATAATCTCAGCTACTCGGGAAGCTGAGGCAGGAGAATCGCTTGAACCCAGGAGGCAGAGGTTGCAGTGAGAAACTCTGTCAAGAAAGAAAGAAAAAGAGAGAAAGAGAAAGAAAGAAAGGGAGAGGGAGAGGGGCAGGAAGAAATAAAGAAAAGAAAGGGAAGGAAAGAAAGGAAAGAAAGAAAGAAAGAAACCATTGCCCCAGAGTGTGGGTGTGGAAGGCATGACTGAAGTCCCATACTCATGTCTTTGAGCCAATAGACTGTGCATACATCACACAGAGCTCAGACTGCTCTAAGCTATCTTTCCTTCTCAACCTTATAGGAATTCAAGGCCAGCCTGGGCAACATAGCAAGACTCCATCTATTTTTTAAAAATTAATTTTTTTAAGGAGTTCCTAGGAAAACCCAGGGGCAATTGTTAAGACATTTTATTCCTGACTCGCTGCCTCACCCATTATCTTCAAGTTCCTGTGAAGATACAAACTTGTGATACAAAGAATAATACATAGCCAATTAATATCTTACACTGTGCCTGGCCCAGCTGCTCAATGCTTATTTGTTAATTGAAGAAAAATATGGTCCCATGAGCCTAAGAAGTTCTTACCACGAGGTAAGAGTCCATTGCTTTTACTCACACTGTTAAATCTCAGTGTCTAGACACAGTAGGTGCTCAGTACATTATTATTCATGAGAAAGGGAAGGAAGATAGAGTCCCTGCCCTCAAGCTGAAGGCATGTGGCTTTCTGAGGCAGTAGGAGAAAAAAAAGCAAAATGAGCTCAAAACTCCGTAACAGTTCACCAATTAACTGAGGCAGGCTGCAGGCTCAGCAAAGGCTTTATTTTTTTTCTAATTTTTTTTTTCAACCAGAATGCTCAAGGATCAAGCAAAGGCTTTAAGTGGGTCATGTGCTATGAGCTGAGTCTTAAAGAAAGAGTAATTAGATTGCTGGAAAAAAAGGAGACAGGAAAAAAATGTTACACCAAGCAGGAGTTACCTGAGTAAAAGAGGAAGGCTAGGGCATATAGGGAACAGAGAGCAACCTTCTTGATTCGAGGGGAAGCAGAGTTAAACTGGGTTACCAAGGGCCTGGAAAGTAGAACAGAACGAGACCAGCCTGGGCAACATGGTGAAACCCCGTCTCTACTAAAAATACAAAAATTAGCCGGGCTTGGTGGCACATGCCTGTAATCCCAGCTACTTGGGAGGCTGAGGCAGGAGAATTGCTTGAACCTGGGAGAAGGAGGTTGCAGTGAGCAGAGATTGTGCCACTGCACTCCAGCCTGGAACAACAAGAGCGAAACTCCATCTGAAAAAATAATAATAATAATAAATTCATGGAATACTGTTTCAGTTAAAATTTATACAAACAAGCCAGGTACGATGGCTCACGCCTATAATCCTAGCACTCTGGGAGGCTGAGGCGGGTGGATCACCTGAGGTCAGGAGTTCAAGACCAGCCTGGCCAACATGGCGAAACCCTGTCTCTACTAAAAATACAAAAAAAAAAAAAAAATTAGCTGGGCTTGGTGGCACACGCCTATGATCCCAGCTATTTGGGAGGCTGAGGTGTGAGAATCGCTTGAACCTGGGAGGTGGAGGTTGCAGTGAGCTGAGATCGTACCCCTGCACTCCAGCCTAGGCGACAGAACAAGAATCCGTCTCAAAAAAAAATGTATGCAAACACTACCTTCAAAAGTGTAGAATGTACATCCAGGCTTGGTGGCTCACACCTGTAATCCTAGGGGAGACCAAGGCGGGTGGATCACAAGGTCAGGAGTTTGAGACCAGCCTGTCCAACATGGTGAAACCTCGTCTCTACTACAAAAAATTAGCCAGGCATGGTGGCAGGCGCCTGTAATCCCAGGTACTACGGAGGCTGGGGCAGGCGAGTCGCTTGAACCTGGGAGGTGGAGGTTGCAGTGAGCTGAGATCGTGCCATTGCACTCCAGCCTAGGCAACAGGGCCAGACTCCGTTTCAAAAAAAAAGTGTAAAATGTAATGGTTGGAAGCATGGGCTTGGAAATCAGAGACATTTGAGTTTGAATCCAGTCTCCATGATGATCAGTTGTTTTAGACAAGTTATATAACCTCTCTAAGCCTCAGTTCCTTAATCTATAAAATGGGAATAATCATCCCCATGATTACTGAATCAAGAATCAATATAATGTTATGTAAAGCACTTAGCATATGAAGCATGACTCTCTAATAGGAAAAATAAAAATAAAGCACTTAGCATAGTGTTTTGTACATAAAGAGCACTCAACATATGGTAGCTTTTTGAAAAAAAATCACTGCTGATGTTACTGTTGATGTTGTTTTTGTTTTTATGCTTAAAGTCACCAGCAGACTAGAGGTATGGGCTTTCACGAATCATGGCCAGTCACATAGTCACCAATATTTCATAATCATTCTTTCTTGAATCAAATTATTGCCACTGCTAACTAGAAATACCAAATTGAAAGCACTATTGTTTAATTATATGTATGGGAATGTCTTAAACATTTTTGGCCAGACAAACCATTCTAAACAAAAGTCGTACAGAAGGTTAAATTGCCCCTTTCAGTTATAATACATGCACTTCCTTTTCCTATCTAGACCTCAATAATCAACTGATGCCTGGCTCTTGTGGCCCAGGGTCTGTAGCCACATAGATAATCTTTTGGTATCATTCATCTCATTTAGCCCATAAGCTTCAAATTATGGTAAAGGAAAGGTCCCAGATTTAGAGTTCTCCCTGGAATTCTGAGTTTTTTCTCCACAGAAACCCCTCAGAGTCTTTTATTTTATCTAAAAAAATTTTTTGGCCAGGCACAGTGGCTCACGCCTGTAATCCCAGCACTTTGGGAGGCCGAAGCGGGTGGATCACGAGGTCAGGAGTTCGAGACCAGCCTGGTCAAGATGGTGAAACCCTGTCTCTACTAAAAATACAAAAATTAGCCGGCTCTGTCACTCAGGCTGGAGTGCAGTTGTGCAATCTCAGCTCACCGCAACCTCCGCCTCCCGGGTTCAAGCGATTCTCCTGCCTCAGCCTCCTGAGTAGCTGGGACTACAGGCGCGGGCCACCACATCCGGCTAATTTTTGTATTTTTCAGTAGAGACGGGGTTTCACCATGTTGGCCAGGATGGTCTCGATCTGTTGACCTCATGATCCGCCCACCTCGGCCTCCCAAAGTGCTGGGATTACAGGCATGAGCCACCACACCCGGCCTAGACATTGTTTTAAATGCATTACATGGATTAACTCATGGAACCAGCTTTATAGTATCCTGTGATGTTGGAAACCCAGACCCAGGGAGGTAAAGGTAATGTGCCCATGGTCATTCAGCTGGTAAATGGCAGAGCCGGATCCAAATCCAGGCAGACTGTTTCCATGCTCTTAACACTATGTTGATTCTTATTAAATATCCCTATGAAATATGTCTCATATTTACCCCCTTTCTTTCATCTCCACTGATGCTACATGAAACTTCCAGGATGTGTTAGTTGCATTATTACAATAACTTCTGAGTTTGTTACTTTGCTTCCAATCTCTCACTGGTCATCTCTGAGTGTCACTGTCAGATTAATTTTCATAAAATACTGCTTGTAGTGTGTCATTCCCCTGGCCAAGAAACTACATTTTATTTATTTATTTATTTATTTATTTATTTATTTATTTATTTATTTATGTTTTGAGACAGGGTCTCTGTTAACCAGGCTCAAGCAGTTCTCTTGCCTTAACCTCCCGAGTGCTGGCACCACAGGCACTTGTCACCACACTCAGCTAATTATAAAGGCCATAAGAGTAACAATCATGGCTTTTCAAGCCTGACAGAACCTAGCATCATGCTGTACTCACATTGTTTAAGAAATAAACATATGGATACACAGATTGATGTGAGTGGTATTTGGGAAGATTTGCTCCAATCTTGGCACTATATTTTATTTATTTATTTATTTATCTAGTGAACCAGAAATAAAATTATAAGCCCCCCAATCAAATGAATGGCCTCCTCTTCTGGGCCAAGGGCATTCCTAAATTAACCTGAAAAACTATTTGAGGCCATGATGAGAAGTGGGAGTCAGACATGCCTCATTATTTTCTCCTGCTTTTGGAATTCAGGACCAGCATTTAACATTAAAGCAGAGATCTTAAGGTTGACACAGCAGACTCTTTGTAGCAATGATACCAACATTGACAGATAGCAGGCCCCATCTGTCATGATAGCAGGCAAAGGTGTCTTTTATGGTGAAAATCTACATTCTGTAGAAAATCCCCTTCCCTTTCCAGGTCTTTTTCCTGATCCAGGGGAGAACTAACTAAGAGTCTGATACCTTTCTAAATCTGATAATAAACACTGGCCAGCCTTGGTGGCTCACACGTGTAATCCTAGCACTTTGGGAGGCAGAGATGGGAGGATCACTTGAGCCCAGGAGTTCAATACCAGCCTGGGCAACATGACAAAACACCATCTCTACAAAAAATACAAAAATAAGCCAGGCATAGTGGAATGAACCAGTAGTCTCAGCTACTTAGGAGGCTGAGGTGGGAGGATAACTTGAGCCTGGGAGGTCAAGGCTGCAGTAAGCCGTGATCCAGCTACTGCACTCCAGACTGGGTGACAGAGGGAGACCCTGTCTCAAAACAAAAAAAAAAATAAAGAAACATTTACAATCTATGCTCTCTGGAGCCTGCTACCTGTAGCCTTCTCTGCATAATAAAAACCTTGATTTCCACAATTCCTTGTGTGTGTGTGTGTGTGTGTGTGTGTGTGTGTGTGCGTGCATATCTTAGTAACAATTCCTTAACTTAACCCAGACATTCCCTTCTGTGGGTTCCAGGTCTTTAAACTCTTTCAACCAATTGTCAATCAGGACATCTTTGAATCCACCTACATCCTGGAACTTGCCACCCCCACCCCCACTTTCGGGACCAAGCCAATGTATATTTTACATGTATTGATTGATGTCTTACGTCTCCCTAAAATGTATAAAATCAAGTGGTGTCCCGACTATTTTGGACACACATTCTTAGGACCTTCTAAGGCTGTGTCACGGGCATGTCCTTAACATTGGCAAAATAAACTCCTAAATTGATTGAGACCTGTCTCAGATACTTTTTGGTTTGCAATTTATTTATTTGAGACAGGGTCTTGCTAGGTCGCCCAGGCTGGGGTACAGTGGCAGAATCATGGCTTATTGCAGCCTCAACCTCCTGGGCTCAAGGGATCCTCCCACCTCAGCCTCCTGAGTAGCTGTGACTACAGGCACCCACCACTAGGCTGGGTAATTTTTTTCTTCTGTAGATACGGAGTCTCCCTGCGTTGCCCAGGCTGATCTAGAACTCTTGGGCTCAAGCCTCCCGCACTCCTGAGCTCAAGCCGCGGCCTCCCGAAGTGCTGGGATTACAGATGTGAGCCACTGCGCCTGGCCAGGTACTATATTTTAAACAAAAAGGATCTAGATAATGACAAGGACAGCACAAATTCCTATAATGAATGCAAAAGTGTCTTGATATCACAATGTCTAGCACAGAGTTATTGGAGGCTATCCTGCCTAGCGCGTTACAATTTACAAAGCTGCCTCTCTGAAGCTGGATTTAGGATCTGCCTTAAACTCCGCGGCGGGGCCCTTGACAGCAGTGGGGACTGGAGCAAGATCAGAGCCGCTCGCGTTGATGGTCACTGTTGCTTCGGGCGCAGGTTTGGTTTTCTTTGGGGTTGCCATTTCAACTAGACGGCCTCTGGGTAGGCCAGATCTGGATCCTCTGTCTTTATCTGCGTTGCAGAGGTGGGACCACCCCTCTTTCACATAGTCAGCCCGGGTTCGCAAACACTCGGCCCCGCACAAAGATGGCGTGGAGCCGGGCTGGGCCAATGCGGAGTGGCGTTGCTCCCGGTTGCCTAGGTAACAGCCAATGGGCAGCGGGAATTGTACCCAGTGCGGTCGCCCAGGATGGCGGCGTCAAGTGGGGCAATCGCTGGTGGAGGTGGCGGAGAGCAAGGTGGCAGCCGGGAGCCCATCAGAGGAAAAGTCCGAGGCGCTGGAACCCTGCGTCCAGGCGTGACGGTCATCCCGAAAGGCCGGCCCCAGGTTGGCTGGAGGCGCAGGAGGGAGGGGGCCGGGAAAGAGTGTGATCGGTCAGGTGGGCACTGAGGAACGGAGCACGAGATGACCCGGCTCGGGGGCGCGGCTCCACCTCGGATACGCTGACCTGAGGGCGGTTGCCTGTGGGGGACCCAAACCTGAACCCTTTAGTCTCCACCGCGGGGGTCGAGGCCCGGGAGAGCTGACTGGACTGGGGTTAGCGAGCAGAGGGTGGAGGGTTGCATCAGGGGAATTGGCAGACCTGTGTGAGCGTTAGACCCTGCCGGGCGGGAGAGCGGGCCCGGATAGCAGGAAGGAACGCGCCTGGAAGGTGAAAATGGGGTGCGAGAAGGTGTTGCCTTGTTGTGGTCTAGGGCTTTGTTTTCCCTGAGCCCGCCTTTATCTCACTGGTGGAGAGAACTCCCACATATGGAAGCCTGGGGAATGGGATGCTTCATTTAGTTGATGGGTGGTATCCCTGCATTCTAGCATCTCTGAACTGCTTAGGTACCAGCAGGAATAACTGCTATATCGGAGTCCAGCCCTGGCATTCCCTTTCCCGTGAAATAGGATAGTATTCTGGCAGTATTACTCCCTAGTCCCAATCACCCCCAGGTCATCATCGCCTTTAAATAAAAAAAAAAAAAAATCTTTTTGGCGCCAGTATTTTCTTCCCACTTTCTTCAATCTAACCATCCCACAGTCTTCCCTAAACGAACCCTTCATATAGCAACGATACATTTCTTTACTTTTCACATGAGGAAAGAGGAGGTTAGACTTATAATGAAAAACAGTTATTTCGAGCTCCTTTTAAAACACTTAAAAAAAAATATTTAGGCCGGGCGCGGTGGCTCACGCCTGTAATCCCAACACTTTGGGAGGCCGAGGCGGGTGGATCACGAAGTCAGGAGTTCAAAACTAGCTTGGCCAAGATGGTGAAACCTCGTCTCTACTAAAAATACAAAAATTAGCCAAGCATGGTGGCACGTGCCTGTAATCCCAACTACCCAGGAGGCTGAGGCAGGAGAATTGCTTGAACCTGGGAGGCGGCGGTTGCAGTGAGCCAAGATCCTGCCACTGCACTCCAGCATGGGGGACAGAGCAAGACTCCGTCTCAAAAAAAAAAAAAAAAAAAAAAAAGGGGAGTATTATTTGACTTTTTGTTCTAGGTTCCTAACAAGGCTAATCTTTGTTCATCAAAGCCTTCATTTTCTTCTCTTTAGGATTCTAAAAGCTTATGAACTGCTTTCTTTATTACTGAAATAATTTGACAAGACTATTGTACCCTGGGAAGGGTGGTTCTGGGGGGACATGTGGGTAGTTAGGGTGGCTGCCTCCACCCAGTATTCTCTAACTGGATCTCCCCCACCGCCCCAACCTTTTGTTTTGTTTTGCTTTTCTTTTCTTTTTTTTGAGACAAGGTCTGGCTCTGTTGCCCAGGCTGGAGTACAGGTGTGGTGCAGTCACTGCTCACCCCGGCAGCCTCAAATTGTGGGCTCAAGCAATCCTCCTACCTCAGCCTCCTGAGTAGCTGGGACTACAGGCATGCACCACCACACCCAGCAAATTTTTGTATTGTTTTGTAGAGATGAGGTCTCACTACGTTTCCCAGCTTGGTATTGAACTCCTGGGCTCAAGCGATCCTCTTGCTTCAGCCTCCCAACGTGCTGGGATTACAGGAGTGAGCCATCATGCCTGGCCCTTTTTCCTCTTTATGTCAGTTTTTTTTTTTTTAATCCTCTTAAATTGGACACAGTTTACTGTGAATACAAAAATGTTGTTTAATACGTTGATTTCTTAAAATTAGAAAACGATAAAAAGAACGGAAACAAAAATTCTCGTTATTGCCTCAGAGTTCTGTTTGGAAATAAGAAAATAATAATAATTAAAAAGAAATGTCTGGGACAAAAGAAAATGAAGATACCAGGAATATGGTATATAGTGCAGACTAATAGTGTGTTGGTTTACAGGGACAGAATAGTAATTTTCTTTTATGTAAATGTTTGGACTGATCCTTTGCAACCCATCTATCAGGAGTGCAGAAAGGGTGAGTGTCTGTTTAGAAGTGTGAATCATCTTGGTTTGTGACTGGATTCCATGGGTGTATCTGTAGCCTAAACTCCTGAGCCATATATTCTCTTTAAAAATATGATTTGGATAACTGATAGAAATACTGATTTGCATCCCTTATTAAAGTATTGGGCCAGACATGGTGGCTCCCACCTGTAATCCTAGCACTTTGGAAGGCTGAAGCAGGCAGATCACTTGATCCCAGGAGTTCAAGACCAGCATGGGCAACGTGGTAAAACCCTGTCTCTACCAAAAAATGCAAAAATTAGCTGGGTGTCGTGGCATGCTCCTGTAGTCCCAGCTACTCAGGAGGCTAAGGTGGGAGGATGGCTTGGGCCCAGGAGGCAGAGGTTGCAGTGGCTGAGATGACGCCACTGCACTCCAGCTTGGATGACAGAGCCAGACTGCCTCAAAAAAAAAAAAGTATTGGGCTTTCAGTCTTCATCGGCACTGACTATACTTTGTTAAACTAGGTTTGTCTCAATGACCATGGTTACTGGTGAAATTCCTTTTTAGGTCAGTAGCTGTAAAGCTATTCATTAGCATGGTTAATTATAAAAGTCATAAAATCCAGACACTGTCCCAAATAGTGACAATATCAACTATTTGGGCACATGTGACAGTTTCTAGCCAAATGTATTCAACCATGGCCTGAGACTCATGGATTCTACACACATTCCCTTTCATTAGCACTTCTGACTGTGGTCTTGGCAATGGACATCATTTTGGCAAGCATTTGCTGAAGGGAATTTGCTATATGTGCCTAAGTCAAAATGGAATGGAAGTTTGTAGTATGTACTGTTGAAAACCAATGGGAGAGGATGGTGGGAGGGTTAGGTTGAAACATGGTATTCCAGTTATTATTGCTGTATAACAAAGTACCCCAGAATTTAGCAGCTTAAAACACCCATACTGTGGCCAGGCGCGGTGGCTCATGCCTGTAATCCCAGCACTTTGGGAGGTTGAGGAGGGCGGATCATGAGATCAGGAGATCAAGACCATCCTGGCTAACACAGTGAAACCTCATCTCTACTAAAAATACAAAAAATTAGCCGGGGCCGGGCACAGTGGCTCATGCCTGTAATCCCAGCACTTCGGGAGGCTGAGGCAGGCGGATCACAAGGTCAGGAGATCGAGACCATCCTGGCTAACATGGTGAAACCCCGTCTCCACTAAAAATACAAAAAAAAATTAGCTGGGCATGGTGGCGGGCGCCTGTAGTCCCAGCTACTGGGGAGGCTGAGGCAGGAGAATGGCGAGAACCTGGGAGGCAGAGCTTGCAGTAAGCTGAGATCGTGCCACTGAACTCCAGCCTGGGAGACAGCAAGACTCCGTCTCAAAAAAAAAAAAAAAAAAATTAGCTGGGCGTGGTGGCGAGCACCTGTAGTCCCAGCTACTCAGGAAGCTAAGGCAGGAGAATTGCTTGAACCCGGGAGGCGGAGCTTGCAGTGAGCCGAGATCACACCACTGTACTCCACCCAGCGTGACAAAGCGAGACTCTGTCTCAAAAAACAAAACAAACAAACAAAAAAAAAACACCCATATGATGCTCATGGATTCTGTGGGTGAGGGAATTTGGACCTGGCACCATGGGGAGGCCTCTCTCTGCTCCCTGATATGGGATGGAATGCAGGCTCAATGGCTGAGGGCTGGAATCATCTGAAGGCTCCTTCACTGATGCCTGGTACGTGGGATAGGATGATTCAAAGGTAAGGGCAGCCAACTGGAACACCAATATATGGCTTTTCTGTGTGGCTTGGCTTTCAGTGTTAGCCTCTGTGTAGTCAGGCTTTTTATGTGGTGGCTCGGGTCTCCAAGTGTGAGTGTATCAGTGACAAGATGGAAGTTGCATCACCTTTTATGATCTAACCTCAGAACACACCACCATTTTCTTTTGAGACAGAGTTTCACTCTTGTTGCCCAGGCTGGAGTGCAATGGCGCGATCTTGGCTCACTTCAACCTCCGCCTCCTGGGTTAAGCAATTCTCCTGCCTCAGCCTCCCAAGTAGCTGGGATTACAGGCATGGGCCACCACACCCAGCTAATTTTGTATTTTTAGTAGAGATGGGGTTTCTCCATGTTGGTCAGGCTGGTCTTGAACTTCCGACCTCAGGTGATCCGTCCGCCTCGGCCTCCCAAAATGCTAGGATTACAGGCATGAGCCACCACGCCCGGCCCACACCATCATTTTCATTGTGTTCTTTTGGTCCAAGCAGTCACAAGCCTACTCAGATTCAAGGGAGGGGAGGTAGATTTCACCTTTTAATGGATCAATGGCCAGATCAAATTGTAGACAAACATGTAAGACAGAAGATACTGTTGCAAACATCTTGGAAATACAGTCCGCCACATTTGGTAATAAGAAGGTAACCTTTTCAGTTTCATTGGCTTCCTTAAAATATTTAGGGTATAATCCCCAAGAGCTAACAGCATACTAAAAAAGTGGTTAGGGGCTGGGCGTGGTGGCTCATGCCTATAATCCCAGCACTTTGGGAGTCCAAGGCAGGCAGATCACATGAGGCCAGAAGTTTGAGACCAGCCTGGCCAACATAGTGAAACCCCATCTCTACTAAAAATATGAAAATTAGCTGGCCGTGCTGGCACGCCTGTAATCCCAGCTACTCAGGAGGCTGAGGCACGAGAATCTCTTGAGCCTGGGAGGCGGAGGTTGCAGTGAGCCAAGATCATGCCATTAGACTTCAGCCTGTGTGACACAGTGAGACTGTGTCTCAAAAAAAAAAAAAGAAAGAAAAAAAGTGGTTAGGTGTACCACTTGAAAACTAGTACTTTGTCCGTAAATAACCCTCAAACTGGAGAAATGTTCCCTTCTTTCAGCAATCTTATACTGTTCCTTCTGGAACAAGGTAGAATGCCACTCTTTGGAAGTTTCACGTAGCCTTGAGAAAAAGTAAATAAATACAAGGCAGTACTTTCCCTGAGTCCCTGTGTAGTCAATATGACTCCTCAAATCCCACTGCAATAACTCCTTCCAAATTTTGAGTGAAAACAAGTTGGTTAACTGCTGCCAGACATCTAAAGGAAATGCTCTTATAATCTTTTTGTATAAATAGTGATTTTGTGTTTAGGTTTTGGAATGGTTGTTTAATTATAAGATTTAGTGGAAGATACAGCCCTTCAGATTCTAACTGATGTGTTTTGAAGGAATGAAACTTCAACCATAAGCTGACTTTTAGTGCTGTAACTTAGTTCTGGGAAGAGCTGAGGATTGCCTGATCAAAATGCCCGTCTGTACTGGAAAGCGTTTTCTTCTGCTATTCTGATGGAAAACTACTTCTCATGCTCTCATTAATGTTATATTTGCAATGGAGTCATGTTGGCCTCTACCCCAGCACACTCTGATGCTGGGCTGGTGATAAGAGGCTTGTGAGCCTGAAATTGGATGCTGACCTTGTGGGACATTGATAGGACAGAGATGACATGGCAAGTACCAGCATCACGTCTCAGAAAATAGCTCCCAGAGGTTTGGAGGGAGTTTACTACAAGAAGATAATGGTCCTTGCCTCGGATATCTTCTGTGTGAGAGATACTGGAAATGGAATGCTTGACTGATAACTGAAGAAGGGAGAAAGTCCTATGGGAGTGGCCCCCAAATATCTCTAGAAGAGTCTCCACAAGGTTGCCCTTCATTTAGGCGAGAAATGAATCTTTTCTCTTATTTGGGTGAGAGCACAGGGATTCTTATAACTCGTCTGTCCTCATGGCTGGGACAGAGCCAGGGCGTAGAAGATGTCATTGAACCCTGCTCTGGTCAGGCCTAGCTGTTTTCACATTAGACCATTTCTGGGCTTTTGGTGTCTGTATCAAAAATCATTATGTTCTGGCTGGGCGCGGTAGCTCACGCCTGTAATCTAGCACTTTGGGAGGCCGAGGTGGGCAGATCACATGAGGCCAGGAGTTCAAGACCAGCCTGGCCAACATGGTGAAACCCTGTCTCTGCTAAAAATACAAAAAGTAGCTAGGCGTGGTGGCACACACCTGTAATGCCAGCTACTCAGGAGGCTGAAGCACGAGAATTGCTTGAACCCAGGAGACGAAGGTTGCAGTGAGCTGAGATCGAGCCACTGCACTTCCACCTGGGTGACAGAGTGAGAGTGTCTCAAAAAACAAAAAACAAAAAAAAAAAGGTGTTCAGGTCCCTCTGCTGAAGCTACTCAGCAAAGTCACCAGCACCAGTCTCCATTAAACAAACAAACAAACAAAAATCAGGCCGGGCACAGTGACTCATGCCTGTAATCCCAGCACTTTGGGAGGCCAAGGCGGGAGGATCACCTGAGGTCAGGAGTTCAAGACCAGCCTGGCCAACATGGTAAAACCCTGTCTCTACTGAAAATACAAAATTAGCTGGGCGTGGTGGCAGGGGCCTGTAATCCCAGCTACTTGGGAGGCTGGGGCAAGAGAATCGCTTGAACCTGGGAGGCAGAGGTTACAGTGAGCTGAGACTGCACCATTGCACTCCAGCCTGGGCCACAGGAATGAAACTCTGTCTAAAAAAAAAAAAAAAAAAAAATCTGGGCACAGTGGCTCATGCCTGTAATCCCAGCACTTTGGAAGGCTGAGATGGGTGGCTCACCTGAGGTCAGGAGTTCGAGACCAGCCTGACCAACATGGTGAAGCCCTGTCTCTACTAAAAATACAAAAATTAGCCAGCCATGGTGACGGTCACCTGAAATCCCAGCTATTCGAGAGGCTGAGGCAGGAGAATTACTTGAACTCGGGAGGTGGAGGTTGCAGTGAGCCGACATTGCACCACTGCACTCCAGTCTGGGCCACAGAGCAAGACTCCGTTTCAAGAAAAAAAAAAAAAGAGAGAGAACAAGCATCAGAACATATTATGATTATGATTATGATTATGATTATGATTATGATTATTATTATTATTATTTTTGAGTCAGAGTCTCGCTCTGTCACCCAGGCTGGAGACCAGTGGCATGATCTTGGCTCACTGCAACCTCCACCTCCCAGATTCAAGTGATTCTCCTGTCTCAGCCTCTCAAGTAGCTGGGACTACAGGCATGTGCCACCACGCCTGGCTAATTTTTGTGTTTTTAGTAAAGACAGGGCTTCACCATGTTGGCCAGGCTGGTCTCGAACTCCTGACCTCAGGTGATCCATCTTAGCCTCCCAAAGTGCTGGGATTACAGGCGTGAGCCACTGTGCCCAGCCCGCTTGTTCTCTTTAAAAAAAAAAAAAAAAAAGGCATGAGGCTGGGTGTGGTGGCTCATGCTTATAATCCTAGCACTTTCGGAGGCCAAGGCCAGAGATTGCTTGAGGCTAGGAGTTTGAGATTAGCCTGGGCAACATAGTGGGACACGGTCTCTACAAAAAAGTTAGTTGGGCATGGTGGTGTGTGCCTATAGTCCTAGCTACTTGGGAGGCTGGGGCAGAAGGGTTGCTTGAGCCCACAAGTTCAGGGTTGCAGTGAGTTATGATCAAGCGATTGCACACCAGCATGGGCAACAGAGCGACACACTGTCTCCTTAAAAAACAAAAAATCGTTATGACATGAGGCCAAAATAAAAATATCCTGTAGGATGTTGATAAAGAGTGGATGGGTGGCAACTATAGTTTGTTTTTCCTCTACTTAGTATTCAGCTCTTTAGTCAAAATTGCTGAGATTTTCTTTTTCAAAGTGTTGTTTGAATTACATTGGTAGCAGTTTTTACTGAGGAAAGACCTAGAGAAGTTTTCATTACAGTAAGTATATGTGTGAGTTTAAGTGTAAAACTTTGAAAGAGGAAAGAAACTAACATTTAGTGGACAGGCCCTAGCAGTGTTCTAGGTACTTACGTGTGTGTCATTTTCTTTCTTTTATTTTTCTTTTCTGTCACCCACTGACTCTCAGATATTTAATTTAATCCACCTGCCAACTATGTGAAATACATATCTTATCTCCACTTTACAGATGAGGAGACTGAGATTTAGAGATACTTAAATACCTTGCCCATAATTATACAGTGAACTCATATTTGAACTCAAGTCCTCCTGTGCTCAGAGTCTACAACACCACCATATTATCCTGGGAGGCCAGATAGGATAGTATGGTATAAGTTAGCAAGTTACTGTAAGAACTTGTGCCAGCAAGGCCAGCTGTCAGAGCTCTGATTCTAACTTTCACGTGTTAGTTTCCACATGTATGACCTTAGTTAATTTACTTATCCTCTCTGCACCTTAGTTTCCTCATCCCTAAAGTGGAAATAATAATAATACCCACCCCAAAAAGTTGTTGTGAGATGAAATTAGATAATATATTTTAAAAACACTGATGCTCATGCCGTGTGCGGTGACTCACGCCTGTATTCTTAGCACTTTGGGAGGCCGCGGCAGGTGGATCACCTGAGGTCAGGATCACCTGAGGTCACCTGACCAACATGGTGAAACCCCATCTCTACTGAAAATACAAAATTAGCCAGGCGTGGTGGCGCATGCCTGTAATCCCAGCTACTTGGGAGGCTGAGGCGGAGGTTGGAGTGAGCAAAGATCGCGCCATTGCACTCCAGCCTGGGGAAGAATAACAGTGAAACTCCGTCTCAAAAACAAAACAAAACAAAAAACACTGATGCTCACACCAGTAATCCCAGCTACTTGGGAAGCTGATGAGGAAGAATCACTTGAGGCCAGGAGTTCGGGACCAGTCTAGGCACCATAGCGATACCCATCTCAACAAAAAATTTGAAAAGTAGCTGGGTGTGTTGGCACACACCTCTAGTCCCAGCTACTGGAGAGGATGAAGCGGGAGGATCACTTTAGCCCAGAAGTTTGAGACTGCAGTGAGCTCTAATCACAATCACACTACTGCATTCCAGGCTGGGTAACTGAGTGAGACCCCATCTCTTAAAACAAAACAAATAAACAACACTGATGGAACACAGTAAGAGGTCAGTAAATGTTAGCTTCTGTTATAAAGGTATTTCAGACAGCTTCTCTGGGGTTAGTGCAATTGATTATTAGAGAGGGTTGTGCCACCTGAATTGAAATATAAATAATCTAGCACTGTCCACCATGACAATGTGGAGAAAGCAAATTTAACATATGGGTTGTTTTAGTTGAACATTTAAAGCATCACTTTTGCATAAAATATACCAGACCCCTTTTGTGCTATGAAACTATGGAACCCACTCTTTGGAACTCCATCTTGACTGGATGAGGTTTTGGCTTCCCTGGGACTTGAAGGAAAAGGAAGCTAGCTGTTGGCGCCAGGCCCCCGAGATTTAAGAATCCCATCTTGCGGCCAGGCACGGTGGCTCATGCCTGTAATCCCAGCACTTTGGGAGGCCAAGGCGGGCGGATCACGAGGTCAGGAGATTGAGACCATCCTGGCTAACACGGTGAAACTCCATCTCTACTAAAAAATACAAAAAGTTAGTGGGGCGTCGTGGTGGGCACCTGTAGTCCCAGCTACTCGGGAGGCTGAGGCAGGAGAATGGCATGAACCCGGGAGGCAGAGCTTGCAGTCAGCCGAGATCATGCCACTGCACTCCAGCCTGGGCAACAGAGTGAGACTCTGTCTCAAAAAAAGAAAAAAAAAAAAAAAGAATCCCGTCTTGTTTTGAGCTGGGAGCAGTGGCATGCACCTGTAGTTCCAGCTACTCAGAAGTCTAAGAGGGGATTGGAGGATCTCTTGAACCTAGGAGTTCAAGTCCAGCCTGGGTAACATAATGAGACCCTGTCTCTAAAAGAAAAAAGAATTCTTTCCTGTTTCTCCACCAGGTCTGGCCCCAGTACTCTGAGGAGAATGTGTCCTTGTCCTGTTGGAACTCAGTCAGATGCCTGAGGGTCAGACTCTAGGTTACTTATTAATCAGAGGGGACTTTTTTTTTGGAGGGGGACAGGGTCTCGCTCTGTCACCCAGGCTGTAGTGGCACTGTCATGACTTACTGCAGCCTCAGACTCCTGGGCTCAAGCAATTGTCCCTGCTCAGCCTCCCAAAGTGCTGGAATTACAGGCATGAGCCACCATGCTTGGTTGATAGAGGACTTTTCAATAGTGATTTATAGTTCAGAGAACTTTTCACACACAGTATTTCCATTTATTGTAGCAGTAGGCCACAAGCTTTGAAGTAAGGATCTAATGATGTGCTTATTAAAACTGCAGGTTCCCAGGCTCTGACTACAGAATCTGATTCAGTAAGTCTGAGTTTGGGCCTAGGAATCTGCATTGTCAAAATTACTGGAGAAAACATTGTATTGCTTAGATCTGGAAAAGATGAGGAGGTAGCTAGATGTGGTAGTGTGCGCCTGTAGTCCCAGCTACTCAGGAGACTGAGGTGACGGGATGCCTTGAATCCAGGAGTTTGAGGTTACAGTGAGCTATGATCGTGCCACCGTGCTCTAGCCTGGGTGACAGAGCAAGACCCTGTCTCTAAAAAATAAATAAATAAATAAATAAATAAATAAATAAATAAATGAAAGATGAAGGGATGAATGAAGAGACCTAGGGAATTAAAAAAGAAATAGGGCTTGTATTTTTTAGTCTATCAAATGACGTACTATTTGCCTCTGTTTATATTTAATGATTTTGGGGGGTATCTTAATTCCCTCTTCTTCTTCTTCCGTTTTTTTTTTTTTTTTTGAGACAGGGTCTCCCTCTGTCGCCCAGGCTGGAGTGTCGTGGCGTGATCTTGGCTCACTGCACTTCTGCCTCCTGGGTTCAAGCGATCCTTCCACCTCAGCCTCCCAAGTAGCTGGGACTACAGGAACGCACCACCACACCCGGCTAATTTTTGGATTTTTTGTAATTTTGGTACAGATGGGGTTTCACCATATTGCCCAGGCTGGTCTCAAACTCCTGAGCTCAAGTGGTCCGCAAGCCTCAGCCTCCCAAAGTGCTGGGATTGTAGGTTTGAGCCACCGTGCAGTTCCCTTCTTATAGAATATCCTTCAATACATCCTTTCACCACTAATGTGAAGCCATATCTAGCCAGTCCCCAAATGTTACTGATTGTTTTCCTATGATGTATCCCCCCAGTTGTTCCTTCTGCTCCCATTATACTGTGATCTCCCAGACTCATGCCTGAACGTATCAGTTAGCTTTTTCTGGGTAATAACACACCACCAGAAAACACAGTGGCTTGAAACAATAACCATTTATTTATCCTGTGAGTCTGTGGTCGCTAGTTTGGGGCCGGGCTCAGAAGGGCAGTTCTTCTAGTCTTGCCTGAGCAATTTGTTCATCTGTGGCCAGCTGGGACAGGGTCTCACCATCCAGTAGACTAGATTGGACTCATTTACATGGGGGCAGAACAGGTCCAAGTGTAGCAAGAGGGCAAGCCCAGTGCACAGGTGCTTTGCAGACCTCTGCTAGATCACCTTTGCGAACATTCCATTATCTAGAACAAGTCACACAGCCAACCCAGGTCCAGCAGGTGGAGGAATAAATAAACTCTGCCTCTTTTTTTTTTTAGACAGAGCCTCACTCTGTCGCCCAGGCTGGAATGCAGTGGTGCGATCTTGGCTTACTGCAACCTCTGCCTCCCGAGTTCAAGCAGTTCTTCTGCATCAGTCTCCCGAGTAGCTGGGATTACAGGCACCCGCCACCACGCCCTGCTAATGTTTTGTATCTTTAGTAGAGACAGGATTTCTCCATGCTGGCCATTCTGGTTCAGGTGATCCACCCACTCCGCCTCCCAGAGTGCTGGGATTACAGGCGTGAGCCACCGCACCCGGCCAACTCTGCCTCTTAATGGGAGGATCTGCCTTGTCACATTGTAGGGTCATGAACGGAGGGAGAATAACTCTGCCCATTTTTACAATTTGCTTCATTATCATATTTCCCTTCCTTGCAAGCTTTTCTGACTATGGACTTGCTGCTCCAATTCATCCCACTTCGTGCTACCACATTCATTTTCCTTACACACTGCCTTCATATTACATCCTGGTTCACAAACCCGCAGAGGTCGCCTCTTTTCCTCCCTCATATGCTGTAAACTCTTATGCCCAGCTTTCAAAGGTCTCTTTAAGTTAGCCTGAGCTAAAAGCAGAGGCTGTGCTGTACAGGAAAAAAGGACTAGCATAGTCAGGGGAGGCTGTCAACAAACTTTATTACCTCTCTGGGCTTCTATTTCTCCTATAAAATGAGAGGTTGGGCTAAATCCATGAGATTCTTTTCAGATTTATTTATTTATTTATTTATTTATTTATTTCTCGAGACAGAGTCTTGCTCTGTCACCCAGGCTGGAGTGCAGTGGTGTGATCTCAGCTCACTGCAACCTCTGCCTCCTGGGTTCAAGCAATTCTCCTGCCTCAGCCTCCTGAGTAGCTGGGATTACAGGTGCCCGCCACCACACCCGGCTAATTTTTGTATTTTTAGTAGAGATGGGGTTTTACCATGTTGGCCAAGCTGGTCTCGAACTCCTGACCTCGTGATCCGCCCACCTCGGCCTCACAAAGTTCTGGGATTACAGGCATGAGCTACCACGCCCGGCCTATTTTTTGTTTTTTAATTTTACATTTTTGACATGAGGTCTTGCTATGTTGCCCAGGCTGGTCTTGAACTCCTGGGCTCAAGTGATCCTCCCACCTCGGCCTCCCAAAGTGCTGGGATTACAGGTGTGAGTCACTGCACCAGGCCTCTCTTCAAATTTAAGATTGTGGCTACATGTACCTACACAGGCTTATTTCCTAATACTCCCCAAATAAACCCTCAACTGTAATGAGACCAGGCTTCTTATTTTGCCATGGAACATCTCGTGTTCACATTGCCCTTAGAGTGTTCCTTGCCCTTTGAGTGTTGGTTCCCCATATTTTCTTTTTTTTTTCTTTTTTTTTTTTTTTTTTTGAGACAGAGTCTTGCTCCGTCACCCAGGCTGGAGTAACAGTGGTGTGATCTCAGCTCACTACAACCTCCGCCTCCCGGGTTTAAGTGATTCTCCCGCCTCAGCCTCCCAAGTAGCTAGGATTACAGGCTCCTGCCACCACGCCCAGCTAATTTTTGTATTTTTAGTAGAGACGGGGTCTCACCATGTTGGCCAGGCTGGTCTCAAACAACTGACCTCAGGTCATCCCACCCACCTCGGCCTCCCAAAGTGTTGGGATTACAGGCGTGAGCCACTGCCCCTGGCCTGTTCCCTATGTTTTCTGATTCTGGAATTGCTCTTTGCCTTCTCCACTGCTTGTCTGCTTGTTTTAAATTCTGGCCATCTCATGTCTTTGTTAATCTCTGCCATCCAAGTTGGCACTTAATCACATTATCTCTGGCATAATTCAGTGTTTAAATTGTTAGTCTTATTAACTAGATTATAAACTCGTCAAGGGAAGATACTGTATTTTATACATCGACTGAGCACATAGTAGGTATCAAATAAATATTTGTAGATTAATATTTGTAGATTTCCATCCCAGGTCATAGAAAATAGGAACTGGCTGAAAACTTTTAAGATAAGCAGGAGGATAAGAGCACTTGGGCAGAGGTGGAGATGATGGTGCTGGTGGTGGTTGGAGATAGGGGTATTTTGGTTAAATGCACCTAAGGCAGTGTACACTTACCAGGCTGGTGGCCTTTAGAATGTATCTATAAAATTGCCTTGCAGTCCTTTCCTCCCGCCATTCCATGACACTGGTTCTCCTTTGCTTATTTCCTACAGTTTCATCCTTTTATCCTGTAATCTGTCACCATGACCCTGACAAAAGGTTCCTTCACCTACTCCAGTGGGGAGGAATATCGTGGCGAGTGGAAGGAGGGTGAGAAGGACCCCTGGGGAGTATCCATGATGAACACTTCATTTGCTGGAGGACAAATACATCAGGATATATAGCCAACTTTATGGATCTTCATTTTCAACTCCAGGATTTAATTCCATATAGTGCCTGCCATTCCTTTATTCCATTTTAGGATTAAATAAAGGAATTTGAAAATGCTATTGTTAATTCAACCTCCAGGAATGAGTTATATCTTTCTTTTTTTTGCTTCTGTTTTTGTTTTGTTTTGTTTTGTTTTTTGAGATGAGGTCTCGCTCACTATGTTGCCTAGGCTGGAGTGCAGTGGTGCAATCTCAGCTCACTGCAACCTCTGCCCCCTGGGTTCAAGCGATTCTCGTGCCTCAGCCTCCCAAGTAGCTGGGATTACAGGCGCCTGCCACCACATCTGGCTAATTTTTGTATTTTTAGTAGAGACGGGGTTTCACCATGTTGGCCAGGCTGGTCTCGAACTCCTGACCTCAGGTGATCTGCCCACCTCGGCCTCCCCAAGTGCTGGGATTACAGGCATCAGCCACCATGCCCGGCCCATGCCAGCCTCTCTTCTAAGCATTTTGTATTTATCATCTTATTTAATCCTCATGACAACCTTATGAGGTAGGCACATACTATTATTATTCCCATTTAACAGATGGGGAAATTGAGGCAAGGAGAAGCTAAGTAACTTACTCAAGATCACAGAACTCTAAGTGGTAGAACAAGAAGGCAAACACAGCAGGCAGCCTGACTCGGTGTCCTCAAAATCTAACTACATTGCCTCTCTGAGGAAAAAAAAAAAAAAAAACAACCAGTATCCATTTAGCACCTTAAAGCTACTGGGCAAATCTAACAGCCTGATTAGCAGCACTGGTTTCAGCTTCATTATAACAACAGGGCTGTGCTTACTCTCTGAACTGACCAGAAAACAGAGCAAGATGTTGCAGGAGTAATCATGCCTTTCAAACAGAATTCAAGGGAGTTCTTGTGGTGGATACAGCCCACCCAGCAGAGCCTCAGGAAGTCTCTCCTCTAACAGTCCGCATTAAAGGGGACACCAGGTATTTGAAAGCCAGGAAGAAATGCCTGGGATTGGAGGAGCCAAGGTCACATCACACCTGTACAATTTCTCTCAAGGCTCAAGAATTTAGGGCAGGCACAGTGGCTCATGCCTGTAATCCCAACACTTTGTAATCCCAGCTACTGGGGAGGCTGAGGGAGGAGAATCATTTAAAACCAGGAGGCGGAGGTTACAGTGAGCCAAGATCGCACCACTGTGCTCCAGCCTGGGCGACAGAGTGAGACTCTGTCTCAAAAAAAAAAAAAAAAAAAAAAAAGAAGAGAGGCTGGCACATAGTAAAGGCACTATAAATACACATGTTAGCAATTGTTATTTATTTATTTATTTATTTATTTTGAGATGGAGTTTTGCTCTTGTTGCCCGAGCTGGAGTGCAATGGCATGATCTCGGCCCACTGCAACCTCCACCTCCCAGGTTCAAGCGATTCTCCTGCCTCAGCCTCCTGAGTAGCTGGGTTACAGGAGCGCGCCACCACCATGCCCGGCTAATTTTTTGTAGTTTTAGTAGAAACGGGGTTTCACCATGTTAGCCAGGCTGATCTTGAACTCTTGACCTCAGGTGATCTGCCCGCCTCCTCGGCCTCCCAAAGTGCTGGGATTACAGGCGTGAGTCACTGCGCCCAGCCAGTTGTTTTTTTGTTTGTTTGTTTGTTTTTTGAGACGGAGTCTCACTCTGTCGACAGGCTGGAGTGCAGTGGCGCGATCTCAGCTCACTGAAACCTCTGCCTCCCGGGTTCAAGTGATTCTCCTGCCTCAGCCTCCCGAGTAGCTGGGACCACAGGCAGGCGCCACTACACCCAGCTAATTTTTGTATTTTTAGTAGAGATGGGGTTTCACCATGTTGGCCAGGCTGGTCTCGATCTCTTGACCTCGTGATCCACCCTCAGCCTCCCAAAATGCTGGGATTACAGGTGTAAGCTACCGCGCCTGGTCAGCTGTTGTTATTTTTAAGTGCTCTCTTATTCATACTTGGGTAGACCTGCTTTAATCTGTAGTGATAAGATGGGAAGGCCCCAGGAGCCAGGTTTTCCCAGTGCCTGACTCTGGCTAATAATCCTCTGCCCTGCTAATGTCACTGCTTCTCTTGTTTTCTTTGTGGGTAGGGTGATGGCAGGTAAGGGATGCTACAAGAGTAAGAAGGGACCCTGAAGCTGCCTCCTTCCAACCTGACACCTATCCTTCTCTTTGTTCAGGCCGCAGGCATGGTTTTGGTCAACTGATGTTTGCAGATGGTGGCACCTACCTGGGTCATTTTGAGAATGGGCTCTTTAATGGCTTTGGGGTATTGACCTTCTCAGATGGTTCAAGGTGGGTATGAGGTCATTCCTTTCTTAGCCTTAAATAAGGGAGGGTCTGACAGAAAAATGGGACTCTGGTAAATATCTGGTCAATCCTGACCTTGTCTCACTCCCTGCAGAACACAGATGAGTAATAAGTAGTTCTTTTATTAGCTATTTTTTAAGTGGACCTAAAATTTGAAATGTCAACCAAGTGAGTGACTTTCCACCCCACTCCCATTCACATCCTATCTTCTTTCCTTGAGATCAGGGCTTCATGTCATATATACTCTCTGCTCCTTGGGAATAGGTGGGGTAGGTGGAGCTATGTGACTGGTAGAATCGGCTTGCTCCTTAGCATCATTAAATAACAGAGATCAGCAGCTGCTCGACTCCGTTCATCTGGACAGCTAACTTTCCACTGAAGGCTAACTTCTTGGTGTTTCTGCAGGTATGAGGGGGAGTTTGCCCAGGGCAAGTTTAATGGCGTCGGAGTCTTCATTCGATATGACAACATGACCTTTGAGGGGGAATTTAAAAATGGCAGAGTAGATGGTTTTGGTAAGTTGCAGCCCAGCAGGATGGCTGACTTAGGTGGGCATAATATGGGTGGAAATATACCTGTTTAGTTTTAATCCTGCGGGTGTCCAGCAATCCATAGTGGCCGTCCCTGACACCTATCCATTGAACTCATCAATAGAGTACTCCTGAGTAGAGCTGGGAGTTTTTCTCTTCTTTGGCCTGGACATATCAAGGCCAAAGATATGTCTCATCTTTGAGACATTAATGCCATTGTCACTCCCATATTTTCTCTGCCCTCCTCAAAGGCCTGCTGACTTTCCCTGATGGTTCTCATGGAATCCCCCGCAATGAAGGTCTCTTTGAGAACAACAAGCTGCTGCGACGTGAGAAGTGTTCTGCCATTGTTCAGCGGGCCCAGAGCGCCTCCAAGTCAGCCAGAAATCTCACTGCCTGACAGCGCAGTGGGCACCAGCTGATAAGTATTGGGTAAAGCCAGTGCCCCTGTTGTTGATTCGAGGTGAACAAATGAATCAGAGCTGAGATGAGTTGACAATGACAGTGGAGCAGAGGCCTTGTATGTGCCCTGTCACCTGCCATTCCAGAACTGGACCACAGAAAAGTGCTGAGGATGCTGGCCAGCAGACCCTGCAGCAGTCATTGGTGGTTCTGTCTTTCCCTAACCCTTATGTGCTGGAGGACAGAGGAGCCACCTCTTCTCACTGGTTGATACTCTGTTCCTAAGACCTCAGGTTACCCAGTGTAGCCTGCTGTGACCCTTCTGCTTCATTTTCTGCCAAGTGATACAGAACCTTCGTTCTGCTGCTTTGGGGACAGGTGATCCTAGCCCCAGCTTAGGGCCAGTGCTCTGTGCCACTCTGGAGAAATAGGGAAAAGATAGGGGTGGCTCAGTACAGCAGCCCTGTGAAAGTCAAGGCCAGAGCTTTTCTTTTTTAATTTTTTTATTATTATTATTATTATTTTATTTTTTATTTTTGAGATGGAGTTTTACTCTCGCCCAGGCTAGAGTGCAGTGGCATGATCTCAGCTCACTGCAACTTCTGCCTCCCAGGTTCAAGCAATTCCCCTGCCTCAGCTTCCTGAGTAGCTGGGACTACAGGAGCGCGCCACCACACCCAGCTAATTTTTGTATTTTTTTTTAGTAGAGACGGGGTTTCACCATATTGGCCAGGCTGGTCTCAAACTCCTGACCTCGTGATCCACCCGCCTTGGTCTCCCAAAGTGCTGGGATTACAGGCGTGAGCCACCACGCTCAGCCTTTAATTTTATTATTATAAAAAATTGAGCCAGGGTCTTGCTATGTGGCTCAGGCTCATCTCAAAATCCTGGGCTCAAGTGATCCTCCTGCCTGGGCCTGCCAAAGTGCTAGGATTGCAGGTGTGAGCCACTGTGCCTGGCTGGCAGAGCTTTTCCATATGTTACTCCTCATGCTGGTTGGAATCATGGCTGCAGGCTTCCACTTGGTCTGATCAGACTGGTATTCATTCCTGCCTATGTCCCCGTGAAGGATTCGGTAAGAGTGCTATTTCCTCCTCCCTTTAGAAGACAGGCTGTCTTCTTTCATCAACTTAGAGCAGATAATCCCCATGTGTGCCTCTCTCCTTCCTTAGATGGGGAACAGGATCCCTTTTTGGGACAATCAAGAAAAAAACTCATGTAAACAGTAATCTTATTACTTGTATTTGTGACTAACTCCAGGGAAAAGGGTAGAATATTTAGGCCACTTCAGGCACTACCATGGAGTGAACTGAATTCATACGGATGGCTTGGGCTGACACAGTTTCTTCCCAGTGGACCAATAAATCAGACTCACCCGAACCCCTGGGGTTTTGGTAGAATTGGACCTACTCTAGGACTGTGGGGAACTAAAGGAGCATTTGGCTCACTGTAGCTCTTCTATCATGAGCCTTGACCGTCAGGCCGCAATCAGACCTTACTGATGGGATCTCTGCAGTTTATTACGTAGGCCTCCCGTTACCCTGGTACCCAAATACGTCCCCCACCTCTAGCTCCCTAGCCTCACATTGAATGTCTCTTCAACAGCAGATTGTGGTGGAAGTTATAGCCGTGTGCCTCTATTTATTCTCTGAATTGTACTGTAGAAAAAGGTGTTTATAAAGAATAAAGAAATCACCAGAACTGCCTATACCTAGTTTTCCTGACTTTCTGGCCCTGCGTCTTCATGAATATCAACCCATTTGCTGTTTGTAAAAGTTAATCGGGTTAGCCCTTGGAACTGACCCTGCACACTTTATCAAGTCATCTAATTTTCTCAGCCTCTACAGAGGAGGACGTATGAACTTTTTTTTCTTATTTAAATCAGACAATCTCAGGCTGTCCCAACTAGTAGGTAGCACAGCTGGGTGAGATTTGTAACCGAGCCTTTCTGATTCCAGCTCCCTTTACTGGACCTCTCTCACCCTGAGCATCAGAGTACTTAAGTCCTGAGACTAGTTATGGCCACACCTGCTGGGTTACCTCTGGCAGGTCCACTCCTGCCGGAGTTTCCCTTTTTCTGCAACAGGAGAGTGGTGGAACATTGACCCCCACGCTAACCCTTTTACATGCACGTCCTTGTTGGAGGAAGGTACTATTATTATCCCTGTATTACAGATGAGGCTCAGGGAAGTTAAGCAGTTTCTCCAAGGTCCCATAGACACTAAGGGGCAGATCCCAGAACTTAAACCCAGACCTGTTTAAGCCCAGAGGCTGAGCTCTTACCCAGTGCACTACCCTGCCTGCCTAGCCCTAACTTTTCCCCCAAGTCCTAAACTTGATTCTCCTCTGAGCCTTGCTCCTCTGGAAGTTGCCTGTGAGAGGACCCCAGGCACTAAGCCCCAAGCTGTAGTGCCATTCAGAGCCTGGTTTTGGGTTGAAGATTGAGATCTTTTATTTTCTCTCCTTTAGCCTCTGCCCTAAACAAGTATCTATTTACCTCTCTTTTTAACCTTACACTTTCTTTTAAGGAGTAATTTTTTTACAATGTATCTCCATTTTTCTGCCACTAGTCAAATATTACCACTGAAAAAGGTTAAATATTTTGGAGAAAGCATCCTTTTTTGTTGTTGTTGTTGAGATGGAGTTTTGCTCTTGTGGCACAGGCTGGAGTGCCATGACACGATCTCGGCCCATTGCAACCTCCACCTCCCACGTTCAAGCGATTCTTGTGCCTCAGCCTCCTGAGTAGCTGGGATTACAGGCGTGTGCCACCACGCCCGGCTAATTTTTGTATTTTTAGTAGACATGGGGTTTGCCGTGTTGATCAGGCTGGTCTCAAACTCTTGACCTCATGTGATCCTCCTGCCTCCGCCTCCCAAAGTGCTGCCTGGCCCTAAACACTTAGCACTTTAATCAAAAAGGATGCTGAAGGGGTGCAGTGGCTCACGCCTATAATCCCAGCACTTTGGGAGGCCGAGGCAGGAAGATCACCTGAGGTCAGGAGTTCGAGACCAGCCTGACCAACATGGCGAAACGCTGTCTCTACTAAAAATACAAAAATTAGCCGGGCATGGTGGTGAACACCTGTAATTCCAGCTACTCGGGAGGGTGAGGCAGGGGAGTCACTTGAATCTGGGAGGCAGAGGTTGTAGTGAGCCGAGATCGTGCCACTGCACACCAGCCTGAATGACAGAGCAAGACTCTGTCTCAAAAAAATAAAATAAAAGTGCTAAGTGTTTGTTTCTAAATAGCTCACTTGCTCTCTTTTGCCTCTTACCCCTTCCCCAGGTCTCCAGTAAGTGAATGCCTGTTGGCTCAGTATTGCTGGGGACACTCTTCGAGCTGGGAGAAGGCAGACCATCAGAGCTCTTTTGCCTTTAGAAAGGTTCTTGACATCTGGCCAGGAAACCTAAGATCTGCATAGCAATAGAGTGTCCATCTTTATATAGCCACACTAATTTTTTCTGTTAAATTTTATTATAGTAACAAAGTGACTATTTTTAATAATAAAAGCAGAGTGCCTGTAGGCAAGTGGATGGCCCTATCTCAGGCCAAGTCTCCTTAGTGTTTCAGACCTAGGCTGACCAGAATAGTCTTCTAGAATGTAACATTTATCCACCAGGTGTCATTATTTACCAATCTGACAAGCCACTGGGCTGTCTCCGTGCATTCAATGGTTGGAATCAAGGCTACAGACCAGAATAGGAGATGAATGAAAATAGATTTAGAAAAGGGCGTTGTGGCTGGAATGCAGCTTGCAGTGTGGAGGGCAGGGATGGGAGGGTAAAGAGGGCTCTTTGAAAGACCAGTGTCACTTTCCTGATCAAGTTTCTTAAGCTGATACTTCCCTGGAAGGAGTCAGAACTTGGGTTTGTAGGAGTAGCCCTGGCCTCCAGCTGCATTGTGCTAGACTCAGGTTTGAAGCCCCAAATCTAAGTAGTCCCCCCTTTGATAAATTCCCGGCCGGGTGCAGTGGCTCACAGCTGTAATCCCAGCACTTTGGGAGGCCGAGGCAGTTGGATCACCTGAGGTCAGGAGTTCAAGACCAGCCTGGCCAACACGGTGAAACCCCATCTCTGCTAAAAATACAAAAATTAGCTGGGCGTGGTGGCAGGCGCCTGTAATCCCAGCTACTCGGGAGGCTGAGGCAGGAGAATCGCTTGAACCCAGGAGGCGAGATCATGCCATTGCACTCCAGCCTGGGTGACAGAGTGAAACTCTGTCTCAAAAAAAAAAAAAAAGAAAAGAAAATTCCCTTACTGTGCCTACTTGCCCCTCTGCCCTTCCTTTCTGACTTCATGTGCCTCAGGGCGTAGGAAAGCATCCACAGTAGAAAGATAAATTGAGAAATTGCTCCTTCCCAGTCTTCAGACCAGAGACACAGTTTAGGATCCAAAAGGGAGAGGTCAGGGGCCGTTAGAATAGGAGATATGCATGGGCGTGCCTGTGAAAGGCTGCCTGGAGGACCACAGCAGGCAAAGGAGCCTCTATCGGCTCCCCGCTGCCTGCCACCCTCATCCCCCTGTGCTCTCCGCTTCAGGCTGCAAGTGCAAGGCAGGAGGCTGAGATGGGCTCAGGCCAGCCATGGACCCTGCCTGCCCTCAGAGCCAGCCGTTGCTGGTGAAATCCATGCGCAGTGCCTCCTCCTCAGCGGGGCTCAGCTCCTGCAAGGGGGCGCGGCAGGGGCCTCCATAGTAGCCAAACCAGTCCATGATTTTCTTCAGCCCTGGGATCCCAAAGCGCCGGGTCACCTGCAAAGCAGGGCCTGTTAGAAGAGACTGAGAAATTTGCTGAACACCCATATCTGGAACTCGGAGATCTGTCACTTTCAGAACATTGAAGTCCTACCCTCTTCCCCCAGGAAAGTAACTGCCAACTCTATGGCACCCAGGGTACATTGGGAATCCAGATTTAGAGACCAGAGAGCAGGTCTGTAATAGCAAAATACAAAAACTTCAGATTGGGGAAGAAGAGTGCCTCCTTTGGTTTTAGGAGAAAAATCCACTCCAACAGAGAGGAGAGTGGTATTTGGTCCTCAAGCTGGGGTGGGAGAAGACAGCAAGGCTGCAGGTCTAGGCACTAGAGCATCAGCAGTCTGCAGCCCAGCTCCCTGAAACCTGACGCAGGTCACACCAGACCTGGGAAGTCAGGAAGGGGAAGGATCTGTGAGAGTCTCAGGCACAGCCCAGACCTCTACTCCCCTTGCATCTGGCTGCCCTCACCTCCCCATAGCTCCTCCTGACCCTAACACTAAATGGTCTCCCAGGAAAAGCAAAGCATCATTTCCCAAGGAAGTTTTGTTGTATAAACTGTATGTCATTTACTTATTATCTCTGAGTAAGTTCTCCTGTCTAAAAAAGGAAGGGGCTGGACAACATGATCTCTAAAGGCTTTTCCCTGATAATGGGGGACCTAAAGCTATTGTTATAATTTATTCATTTATTTTTATTTATTTATTTTTTTGAGACAGTCTTGCTCTGTCACCCAGGCTGGAGTGCAGTGTCCTGATCTCAGCTCATTGCAATCTCTGCCTCCTGGGTTCAAGTGATTCTCCTGCCTCAGCCTCCTGAGTAGCTGAGATTACAGGCACCTGCCACCACACCAAGCTCGTTTTATTTTATTTTATTTTTGTATTTTTAGTAGAGACAGGGCTTCGCCATGTTGGCCAGGCTGGTCTCAAACTCCTGACCTCAAGTGATCTGCCCGCCTCGGCCTCCCAAAGTGCTAGGATTACAGGCATGAGCCACTGCACCCGTAATAATTTATTTATTTTTATTTTATGTTTATGTTTTTGAGACAGGGTCTCACTGTGCCACTCAGGCTAGAGTGCAGTGGTATGATCATGGCTCACTGTAGCCTAGACCTCCTGGGCTCAATCGATTCTCCCACCTCAGCCTCCACAGCACCTTGGACTTCAGGTGCATGACAGCATGCCTGGCTAATTTTTGCATTTTTTGTAGAGACGAGGTCTTGCTATGTTGCTCAGGCTAGTCACAAACTCCTGAGCTCAAGTGATCTGCCCACCTTGGCCTCCCAAAGTCCTGGGATTACAGGCATGAGCCACGGCGCCTGGCCTATTATAATTTAAAATCGTGTATGGAATATTACAGAATAAATGAAGCATCAAATTTCCTTGCTTTTGGTATAGCAACTGGTTATTTCATGCTGATCAGAAATATTAGATGAATCTTTCACTACCTAAAAACTACAAAAGTAGTCCTTAAGAAAGTTTTATTTGGAGAGAAGCTAAAACCTTAGGAGGATAAAAATAAAAGGTTGTTTGGGATAAAAAGGCCAGGAACCACTGATGAAAGATTGACTAATAACTTTACCACTAGAGTCCCGGAGGCTTTATCAAGCATGGATTTTTTTTCTCGGAATGGGTGGTAAGCCACCCTCCTGCAGGCCTCGCCACCCCCATGATGTTCTAATAGCCTGGCCTTTTTACCCAAAGCCTGAGTAGGTGGGAAAGACCCAGGATACAGGATGGAAATAAGAGGTGCCCAGAGAAAAGCTCACTCCTGCCATGGGTTTCCAAAGATATCTGATGTGGCCCCTCTTCAAACCCTAAGAAGGGGTTGGTGGCAAAGACTGTAGAAAGTCCTAAATATAGCCAGGGGCAGGAGGCAGGCTGGTGGGAAGGTGGAGGAAGGACATTGTGTTTGACCAGGGATGGGCAATAGAGTGACATCAAGCTGTTCTCGGGGTGTCTGAGCCTACAGCCTAGGCAGCAGAAAGGTGTTCCAGGCATTCCTGGGTATGTGCCCAGAGCTGGCACAGGAGAGGACACAGAATGAAGGGTGAGGCAGGATGGGGTAGGGCGGGATGACACGCAGAGATCTGGGATGACAGCTAGGCATCCACTCTTCCCCAGGGGCAGCCCAAGCTGCTTCATCTGTGAAATGAGTGATAACAACACCTACCCCATAGAGACGTCCCAAGGGCCAGATGAGAAAAACACTGCTAATATTAGACCAGTTCCCATGAGCCCTGGAAGCCGCTCCGTTTCCTGTCCCGGTGGCATGCGGGTTCTGGGACCTTCGTTTTCAGAGGTGCACTGGGAGTGGGAGAGCAGAGGCCCCACCCCAGTGGAATGTTCAGTATGTGCAGGACGGCCTGTGCCCAACGGGGCCCTCGTTTCTGCAAGTTCTTATAACCTATTTATAGAAGGTCCCATCTCAGAAGCACCTTCACCTCCAGAGGGACTCAGATTTACCTCCTCAGCTGTCGTTTCTGTAAATCTAAGTTAATCTGCCCCTTTGAGGTAAGGATACAGCTGTGAGGGAGCTCTAGAGCCCACCCATCACTTTACCCAAACAAAATATTGTGGAGTGCCTAGCTCAGCCTGGGACTGCAGCCAGGCCCATGAGGCCCTTACCTTGCATGCAAAACTTAAGGGGAGGCCAAAAATCTCAATCATCAAAATAAGTAATATTTCAATGCAATTTTTTTTTTTTGAAACAGTCCCACTCTGTCGCCCAGGCTGGAGTGCAGTGGTACGATCTCGGCTCACTGCAACTTCCGCCTCCTGAGTTCGAGTGATTTCTCCTGCCTCAGTCTCCTGAGTAGCTGGGATTACAGGTGACCAACACCATGCCTGGCTAATTTTTGTATTTTTAATAGAGAGAGGGTTTCACCATGTTGGCCAGGCTGATCTCGAACTCCTGACCTCAGGCGATCTGCCTGCCTCGGCCTCCCAAAGTGCTGGGATTACAGGCGTGAGCCACCGTGCCCAGCCAAAATAAGTAATATTTCAATGCAATATTTTTTAAAAATCAAAATTAATGCAAAAAATATCCACAATGAATGAAACTTTAAATAAAGACAGGATCCAACAGAGCTGTGCCCCACCATATAGAAGGCTCATGCATAAGTAATCATGTGTGCCCCATGTATTTTTTGGTGTATTTTTTCATTTTTATTTATTGTATTTTTTAAATTTCTTTTTTTGAGACAGGGTCTTGCTCTTTTGTCCAGGCTGGAGTGAAGTGGCATGATCGTAGCTCACTGCAGCCTCGACCTCACGGGCTCAAGCAATCTCCCTGCCTCAGCCTCTGAGTAGCTGGGGCTAGAGTTGCACACCCTCATACCTGGCTAATTTTCATTTATTTTTACTAAAGACAAAATCTCACTCTATTGCCCAGGCTGGGCTCAAACTCCTGAGCTCAAATGATCTTCCTGCCTCAGCCTCCCAAATTGCTGGGATTACAGGTGTGAGCCACTGTGCCCTGCTGGTGTCTTTTTAGCGGTTATTCTTTCTCTAGAAGTAGACTTGGAAAAATATGTTTTGATGAGTTTGCTTCCATTAAAGCCAGGAAAATAAAATTATAATAAATCATGTTTTTGGTATATGAAATATTTAAGCCTAAAATAGTGCTGTGAGTTTTAACATACCTACTTCTCAATTTTCAATATTTTTTCACCCACTTTAATGTTCTTAGGGGGAAAAAAATCACCATTTAGAAAAATACTTAGAGCATTTACTTTCAGGAAGATGGAGTAGATGTACTTGTCCCAATTCTTCCCAATAAGTACAACTAAAAGCTCTGGACGTTACATAAAAATATTATCTGGACATTATATAAAAAATTATATATATATCTGGACATTATATAAAAGACATAAGAAGACTCTGGAAGGCAGAGAGAAGGAAGACCAACAAGGGACCTAGAGACCCAAGAAGTAACACAGTGCTACGTACCCTGGCCCAGACTTGGAGCTGAAGAAGTCAGCAAGCACGCAGTGCCAATGGGTACAGACAATACACGCACTAACAGAAGCCAGTTCTCTCTAGCCAGAGGACCAGAAAAGGGGTTGCCTAGCAAGATGGAAAGCTTTCAGACAGTAACTGCTCTACTCCAGCCGAAAACCAGCCAGGCCAGCAAAGACTGAGTGAAGGAGTCTGAACTGCCACCCCCGCTCCCAGCTGGGTGGTGTCAGAGCAGGCCAGGGGGAGGGAAGTCAGGACTTGCACCACTGCTCATCTTCAAAAGGCCACCAGAGCCCACCCCACCTGCTGCCAGACACACAGGCAATGCAGTGGAGGCAGTGTGTAGGGAGCAGCCAGGGGGCTCTTCTACCCTCCAGGCAGCAGGATGTCCATAGATGCCTAGTACAGATCCTAGTGCAGAGGTGTCTTTTTTTTTTTTTTTTTTAAGAGATGGGGTCTGGCCATGTTGCCCAGGTGGGTCTCAAACTCCTGGCCTCAAGCAATACTGCCGTCTCTATCTCCAAAAATGCTAAGATTATAGGCGTGAGCCACTCTGCACCAGATCCTTAGGTGTCAGTTTTTAAAAATATGTACAGGACTTGTTGGCTGGAAACTACAAAATGCTGAAGAAATAAATCAAAGAAGATCTAAATAAACAGAGAAATGTACCATGTTCAAGGACTGGAGGACAATATAGTAAAGAAGTCAGTTGTCCCCAGATTGGTATGCAGGCTTAACGCAATTTCGATCAAAGGCCCAGCAAGATTTTATTGTAGATATAAACAAGATTCTTGTAAAATTTATATGGAAAGTTAAAGAAATTAGACTAAAACAATTTTGAAGGAATAAAAAAAGAACAAAGTGGGAGGAATCAGTCTACCTGATTTGAAGACTTAGCTACAGTAGTCAAGTCTGTGTGGTATTGCAGAGAGATAGACATATACATCAATGGAAAGAATAGAGAACCCAGAAATAGACCCACACAAATATGCCCCACTGATTTTTGACAAAGGCACGCAAGCAGTTCAATGGAGGAAAGATGGCCTTTTCAGCAAAAGATGCTACAGCAAGTGAATATCCATTAGGGAAAAAAAACACAAAACCTTGACCTAAGTCTTACACTTTATATAAAAATTAACTCAAAATGAGTCACAGACTTATAAAACATAAAGCTATAAAACTTAAAAGAAAAAAATAAGAGAAAATCTTTACGATCTTCTAAGAACTCTTCAAGATTTTTTTTTTTTTCCCTGAGATGGAGTCTCACTGTCTCCCAGGCTGGAGTGCAATGGCATGATCTCGGCTCACTGCAACCTCTGCCCTCCGAGTTCAAGCGATTCTCCTGCCTCAGCTTCCTGAGGAGCTGGGATTACAGGCACCTGCCACTACCCGCAGCTAATTTTTTTTTTTTTTTTTTTTTTTGTATTTTTAGTAGAGACGGGGTTTCACCATCTCGACCAGGCAGGTCTTGAACTCCTGACCTCGTGATCCACCCACCTCGGCCTCCCAAAGTGCTGGGATTATAGGCGTGAGCCACCATGCCCAGAACTCTTTAAGAGTTATTAGACTTGACACCAAAAGCATGATCCGTAAAAGAAAATGTTGATAAATTGTACTTCATCAAAATGTAAAACTTGCTCTGCAAAAGACCTATTAAGGTAATGAAACGACAAGCTGTAGACTGGGAAAAGATATTTACAAGCCACATGTCTAACAAAGGACTAGTATTTAGAAGCTATAAAGAACTAAAATTCAACAGTCAAAAGAACAATCCAATTTCAAAATGCGTAAGAAATATAGATAGTTGACTGAAAAGGATATACAGATAGCAAATAAATACATGAAAAAAACGTTCAATAGCATTAGCCATCAGAGAAATGCAAATTAAAACCACAATGAGACGGTTTTAATTTGTACCATACATCTGTACTATACATCTATCAGAATGGCTAAAATAAAAAATAGTCACAACAAATGCTGGCAAAGCTGCAGAAAAACTAGATCACTCATACGTTTACATCAGTGTAAATTTAAAATAGTACAGCTGCTCTGGAAAGGTTTAGCAGGTTTGTTTCTGGGTTTTTGTTTGTTTGTTTCGGGTTTGTTTTTTGTTTGTTTTGGTTTTTTGTTTTTTTTTTTTGAGACAGGATCTCACTCTGTAGCCCAGGCTGGAGTGCAGTGGCAAAATCACAGCTCACTGCAGCCTCAACCTCCCAGATTCAAGGGATCTTCCCTTCTGCCTCAGCCTCCCAAGTCGTGGGACCACAGGTGCATGCCACCGCATCTATCTAATTTTCTATATTTTTTGTAGAGACAGTCTCCCCATGTTGCGCAGGCTGGTCTTGAACTCCTGGGCTCAAGCATTCGACCCCCCTCAGCCTCCCAAAATGATGGGGTTACAGGCGTGAGCCACCACACCCAGCCAGCAGTTTCTCAGAAAATGAAACATACCACTACCCTATGACCCACCATTTGTACTGCTGTGTATCGATCCCAGAAAAATGAAAACTTATGGACACACGAAAACCTGTTCATGAATGTTCATGGCAGCTTTTATTTATTTATTTATTGAGACGGAGTCTCACTCTGTCACCCAGGCTGGAGTGCAGTGGCACAATCTTGGCTCGCTGCAACCTCCACCTGCCGCATTCAAGCGATTCTCTTGCTCAGCCACTCGAGCAGCTGGGATTACAGATGTGCACCACCATGCCCAGCTAATTTTTGTATTTTTAGTAGAGACGGAGTTTCACCATGTTGGCCAGGCTGGTCTCAAACTCCTGACCTCAGGTGATCTGCCCGCCTCGGCCTCCCAAAGTGCTGGGATTACAGGTGTGAGCCACTGCTCCCTTCCCATGGCAGCTTTTAATAGCCAAAAACTGAAGATAACCCAGCTGTTCTTCAACAGGTGAATGGTTAAACATACTGTGGGGGGCCAGCCGTGGTGGCTCATGCCTGTAATCCCAGCACTTTGGGAGGCTGAGGAAAGATGGCTTGAGACCAGGAGTTTGAGACCAGCCTGGGCAACATAGCGAGACCTTGTCTCTACTAAAAATAAAAAAGAATTAGCCAGGTGTGTTGGTGTGCACCTGTTGTCCCAGCTACTTGGGAGGATAAGCTGGGAGGATTGCTTGAGCCAGGAGGTTGAGGCTGCAATGAGCAATGATCCTGCCACTGCACTCATCCCCGGTGACAGGGCAAGACCCTGTCTCAATAAATAAATAATAAATAAACATGCTGTGGTACGGCAATACCATGGTATCCTACTCAGAAATAAAAAGGAATTAACTATTGATACATGCAACAAACAACCTGGATGAATATCCAGAGAATTATGCTGAGTGGAAAAAAGCCAATCCCCAAAAGTTATATACCATGTGATTCCATATAGTATACTCTTGAACTGACAAAATTATAAAATGGTGAATGTATGTGTGGTTGCTAGAGGTTAAGGAGCCTGTGAAGGCAAATGTGAGTAGGCATGGCTATAAGAGGATGACATGAGGGATCCTTGTAGGGACAGAAATATTCTGTGTCTTGACTGTATCAAGGTCAATATCCAGACTATGAAATTATTCTACAGTTTTGTAAGATGTTGCCATTGGGGAAAACTGGCTCATGGGTACATGGGATCCCTTTGTATTAGTTCTTAAAGTTGCATGGGAATCTATAATTATCTAAAAATAAAAAGTTTGGCCAGGCGCAGTGGCTCATGCCTGTAATCCCAGCACTTTGGGAGGTCGAGGCGGGTGGATCATGAGGTCAGGAGTTCGAGGCCAGCCTGGCCAACATGGTGAAACCCGTCTTCACTAAAAGCACAAAAATTAGCCGGGTGTGGTGGCAGGCATCTGTAATCCCAGCTACTTGGGAGGCTGAGGCAGGAGAATTGCTTGAACCCGGGGGCAGAGGTTGCAGTGAGCCAATATTGTGCCACTGCACTCCAGCCTGGGCACAGAGTGAAACTCCATCTCAAAATAAATAAATAAAATAAAATAAAATAAAAAGTTAAATATAAAATATACAGTAGGCCAGTCATGGTGGCTCATGCCTGTAATCTCAGCATTTTGGGAGGCTGAGGTGGGAGGACTGCTTGAGCCCAGGAGATAAAGACCAGCCTAGGCAACATAGTGAGACCCCCATCTCTACAAAAATAAAAATAAAAAATTAAAAAGATTGCTTAAGCCCAGGACATTGAGGTTGCAGTGAGCTGTCATCACACCACTGTACTCTAGCCTGGGTGACAGAGAATGACCCTGTTTCGAAAATAAAAAAAATAAAAGAAAAAAGATTGGGAGGCCGAGGCAGGAGGATCACTTGAGGTTAGGAGTTTGAGGCCAGCCTGGCCAACATGGTGAAACCCCGTCTCTACTAAAAATACAAAAAAATTATCCGGGTATGGTGGCACGTGCCTGTAATCCCAGCTACTAGGGAAGCTGAGACAGGAGAATTGCTCGCACCAGGGAGGCGGAGGTTGCAGTGGGCCAAGATTGTGCCACTGCACTCCAGCCTGGGAAACAGAGTGAGACTATGTCTCAAAAAAGAAAAGAAAAGAAAAAAGAATAGGCCGGGCACTGTGGCTTACGCCTGTAATCCCAGCACTTTGGGAGGCTGAGGTGGGCAGATCACTTGAGGCCAGGAATTTGAGACCAGCATAGCCAATATGGTGAAACCCCATCTCTACTGAAAAATGAAAACAAAAACAAAAATTAGCTGGGCATGGTGGTGCACACGTGTAATCTCTGTTATTCAGGAGTGTGAGGCACAAGAATTGCTTGAACCTGGGAGGCAGAGGTTGCACTGAGCTGAGATTGCTGCACTCCAGCCTGGGCAAAAGAGCAAGACTCTGTCTAAAAAAAGAAAGAAGGAAAGAAAGAAAGAGAGAAAGAGAAAGAAAGACAGAAAGGAGGGAGGGAGGGAGGAAGGAAGGAACAAAGGAACGAAGGAAAGAAAGGATAAAATGTACATTAAAACTTGAATACAGGGGCACATATTTTTCTGTTGCCTCAGACTTCAGAATGACCCTGAACTTGATGGGCGTTCTCTCTGAAGTTCTCCTTTGCTTGCCCAACAAAGAATTGGGGTATACAGTCTGACCACAGAACCGATTATTTGAAGACAACACTCTCCTGCCTTCTAACTCCTTTGCCAGCCCCAGTCATTCCTATTTTTTCAGGACCTGGCCCCCGATAGCACGGATTTAGAGGCCCCTGGTTTACACTCTTTCTCTCCAGGCATCTCTAAGTGTGGTCCTAGGGTTACTCTGTCACAATCACACAGGATGTTTGTTTCAATGCATCTTCTTGGGCCCAAAAGTTGGAACTTTAATTCGCCCCCAAGGAAATTTTAATGCACACTTAAGTTTGACAATCAGTGGTGCTCGACTTTGTCCGAAGTCAGGATTTTCTGGGAGTCACAAGGAGTTCCCACACTGGGATGTTCTCTCAAAGGATTTTCTGAAAGGAAGAGACTGAGTGGGGCCTGGTGCCAGCCCTGGGTCCTGCTCCAATGAGGACACAGACTGCCCACCCCCCGCCAGGCCGCGCCCCCGCTGCCACTGGCTCACCGCAGCGTTTGGCTCAATGAGGCGGTGCTGCAGTTTCTGGGCATCTTCCCATTGCCCCGTGCAGCACAGTCGCTCCAGCTGGCACACCTGAGCCCCCAGGACATTGGCCAGGGCGCAGACGCCCCCCACAGCTCCTGCACGAAGTAAGACGCAGAACATCAGCCAGAGCCTCTCCCCTCCAGGCATCCCAAGCCCTGGTCCCAGCACCTCTTCAGCCTGGGGACATTAGATACAGATTTCTATGTCACTTGGCTGGCTACATCAAAGGCATGCTCTGTGAGTCCAGAGTATACATTTCCAGAGAGAAGAGCTGCCTGCATATTCAAAATAGAATCCCGCAGGTCAAGCACTGCTCAGGGCTGATCTGTGAGGGGCAGGGAGCAGAGCCTGAAAGTGAACTCAAGGACGGTTCCTTCCCTGAACCCCTCCCGGAATAAAATCCCATCTGACAGTTGACACCTCCAGCTTCCTCCAATAGCCCCCTGACTCATCAGTCCTGTAAGAGGGTAGGACGGATGGGAAGCCTTTGCTCTTTTGAAATTTTATTCCCCCCAGTGGATGCAACCAGAGACAGCAGTGGGCATGGAAAGCACTCTGGACAGAGTCAGGTCACCAGGCATGTCTTCCCATTGACTGCATAAACCTGAATGAGACCCTCTCTAGTCCTCTTTGTGCCCATCGGGGCAATGAAAATGGGTTTGGCTGTGATCTCAGAAACCCCCGCCACTTCTGCAAGCCTGTAAGTATGCTTCTAAGGCTAGATAGGAGTGGAACCCTAGGCACAGTGGCCTCAAAACCGTAGAGAGAGTAGGCAATTCAGAATGAGCTAATAGAGCTGTTGTTTGTGGAATACCTACTATGTGTCCCAGGCGCGCTACAGCAGCATGGCCCTGATGCTCTCTAATCCTCATGATCCCTCTGTACACAGAGTAGAAACTCAGGCCCAGAGAGGTGAGTGCTTTGCCCAGCATTACTCAGTGAATAAACTGCAGAGCTGAGATTCCCCCCAGCCTCCAGAGCCTGTGCTTTTTTTTTTATTTTTAATCTACTCCACTTCCAGGAATGAGGGAGAAATGGATCCCTTCTTCTTCCCCTTCACCGTAGAGGCCATGACATGGCAGGGGAGATGTACAAAGGCCTAGACAACCAGCCAAAGTCTGGAGGGACCAGATGGAATAGGAACAAGCATTCTCCCCTGCAGTGCTGGAAAAGTCCCTCAAATCTCTACTCACTGGGGCTTCAGCTGAAGGGAACAGCTTCCCTTCTTCTCCCTTCCCTCCAGGGCTCAAATCTAATCCAAACCCAAGGACCCTGACCCCAAACAGACAAGAGCAGTTGATCTAAGTGACATTCCTAGGGATCCTGGATTGGAACAGAATCTGATCAGGCAACTGAAGATCCCTGGCTCAACTCTGTAGATCTGACAATTCATTCTGGTCTGGGACAGGGGAGAGGAAAATGGACTCCTGAACTACAGAGGAGGGCCCCAGGGCCTCTGCCCTCAGAGAATGATGTACAAGGTGGGATTAGAGCAGCTAAGTTTGTCATCTAATCATGGAGCTCAGGACTCAGAACAAACTGCAGGCATCCCTACTACAGGCCAGGGATTGTACACGGCCATCCTCCTTCAGCCAACAAGGTTACTCACAGCATCCCGAATTCAGACAGGTAAGCGGCGTGGCCAGGTTTCTGAGTTTTCAGAGTGGGCAGGCTGGCAAACTACCATCTGCAGACCCAGCCCCAGCCCTCACGATCTCTCCCGGAAGACCCAGGTACCTGGGTATCTCTTGGTCACCCATGACAATTTGAGAGCAGTGGGCGGCCTACCCAAGGCATAGCTGGCCATCAGAAAGCCAGCCGATCCAGCCAACACCTGAAAATCCTGCTTCCTGGTCTTGTGAACAATCAGCCCAATCCTGGTCACCTGCAACAGCAAATGTGGTGTGAGAGCTGTGCCCAGAGCCTCATCCTGGATGAGGGCCGGGTAAGTGTGGTGGAATGAAAGCCCAGTGCTCAAAGAGATGCCCTCAAGAAAGTCCCAGAGAGCCCGCACGACAGAGAGAATCCACACAGAAGCCAAGGTTGGAAACAGATCTCAGAGCTGCCCTCAGGAGCAAAAGTGCTAGGACCCAGAAAAGGAGGAGAGGACCCCAGCCCCGGAGCTGCTGCCACTCACATCACCACCGCTGTCCTTCATGCCCACAATATTCGGGTGCTGGGAAAGCGTGACCACTGCATCCACAGGCAGGTCCAGCCCTGTGTTGGCTGGGACACTGTACAGCACCACAGGGATTGGAGAGAGATCAGCAACCTGGGGAGGGGGGCGCAGAGAAAAGCAGGAGAGGGCAGCCGCCCCAGGTCCCAAGAGCCAGAGACTTGCCCACCCACAGGTCCCAGCCTGCTTCACTACAGGGCCACCTGGACAGGCCTCCCTCCCATGCTACGTGCCCCGAGTGTAAGCAATCACAGTGGGTCATATTTATGGAGTGCTTTCCATATGCCACGCACAGTTCTAAGGCCTTTATGTTCCTGATCTCATTTAATGCTCACTGCAACCCTATGAGACAGATGACATCATTCCTCCAATTTTAGAGGGGAGAAAGCAGTAACACAGAGTGGTCAGGTAAGCCTCCCAATGTCGTGCAGCTGATCCATGGTGGCAGTCCACCCGTTTCCTATAGCTGCCGTTCATGTGAAGCACCACCCTATTCCCAGCTTCCCTTATCTCCTCTCCCTGGGCAGAGCCTCCTCTTGGTCTCAGGCCTCACACACACCTTGGTGTAGTGGTGAATGAGGGCCGCACTGCTCATGCGGCCACGATAGTAGCAAGGGGTCACCACCATGGCCGCGTCAGCCCCGACCTGGGCCATGCTGACGGTCATCTCCACTGTGGCTTGAGTGGCTGCCAGAGGAAGGAGAGAGGTGAGAGCAGGCAGAAGGAGGCCTGGACCAGGACACTGGGCCAAGCGAAGGTGCCTCAGCATGTCCCAGAAGAGGCAGAACAAGGAGACAGGACCCAAGCTAGGGCCTAGGAGCCTGGATCCTGCACATCCACCCACCCCCAGGGCCCAGGGCATTCTGGCTCACACTCGCATCCGGAGCCAGCTAGCAGGAGCCTGTTCTTGGGCATGGCCTGGCGCACACGGCTCACCACCTCGAGGCGCTCACTGCTGGTCAGGAAAGGAAACTCGCCATTGGAGCCCTGGACCACGAAGCCTGCAAGAGACACAGCTGACTAACTCCTTCCCATCCTCTACCGAACAACTAGGACATTGGTGTTCCTACCTTACGACACCATAATCTTTCACACATTTCCTTCCCATCTTTGCAGACAGAAGGTTCCCACACAGCTGCAATGACTGTTCACATCATTTTTCTTTTTTAGACACAGGGTCTCACTCTGTTGCCCAGGCTGGGATGCAGTGGCTCAACCATAGCTTGCTGCAGTTTCGACCTTCTGGGCTCAAGTGATCCTTATGTAATAAGGTTATTACAATTTTAAGCCTTGTAGAAATGGAATTAAGCTTAAATAGCCTTCTGCAGTTTGCTGTTTGTTTAATACTATTTTTTGAGCTTTGTTCATAAAAGCACACGTAGCCCTGATTCATTCATTTTAATTGCTGTATAGTATTCTGTTGTAAGGTTAGAACACAATTTATTTGTCATTCTCTTGTTGAGAGCATTTAGAATGTTTCCTTCTTTTGGCTGGGCCTGGTGGCTCACACCTATAATTTCAGCACTTTAGGAGGCCAAGGTGGGTGGATCGCTTGAGCCCAGGAGTTCAAAACCAGGCAGGGCAGCATGGCTGCCTGTCTCTACCAAAAAATGGCCTACCTGTCTCTACCAAAAAAGAAAAAAGAAGAAAAGAATGTTTTCTTCTATTTGCTATTGCAAACAATGCTGAAACAAACATTTTCTGTAAAGTCTTCTGTGCATATGTCTAAGAGTTCCTCTAGAGTTCAGATACTTTGGTGTGTTAATTGCTGAGTCATAGCTATGTGCACCTTCATCTGTGACACATTTTTTATGTATTTACTTTTTCTTTGAGGGTCTCACTCTGTCACCCAGGCTGGAGTGCAGTGTCACAATCACGGCTCACGGCAGCCTTAGCCCCCCAGGTTCAAGTGATCCTCCTGTCTTAGCCAGCTAGGATTACAGGCATGAGCTACCATGCCCAACTAATTTGTGTAGTTTTTTTTGTAGAGATGGAGTTTCACTATTTTGCCCAGGCTGGCTCGAATTCCTGGGCCCAGGTGATCCTCCCACCTTAGCCTCCAGAAGTGCTGGGATTACAGTCATGAGCCCCCATGCCTGACTGTGCGCCACATTTCTAATCAATCAGTGTAGACCTCAGGAGCAGCATAGAATGTCATACATGCCAAATCATGGTATTGTCAGAACAAATTTTTGCCAACTTTCTGGGTGAAAAGTGAATCTCATTGCTTTATTTTGCGTTTTCCTGTTTTTATCAATCACTTACTTGGGATATGTCTAACCAGTATACCTGTACCAGTTACAGGTGAGCCACAGTGCCCAGCCCGCTTAACTTTCTCTTTCTTCTTCTTTCTCCTCTCTATCCCACTCCATTAAAGAAAAAAAAAATGGCAGTAGTTTACAAACACAGAGTACAATACAACAGGATTCTTAATTAATAGAAGGATATTTGGGCCTGTAATCCCAGCACTTCAGGAGGCTAAGATGGGGGGATCACTTGAGGCCAGAAGTTCGAGACCACCTTGGGTAACAAAGTGAGACCCTGACTTTACAAAAAAATAAAAAATAAATAAACCAGGTGCATTTGAAGCTGCAGTGAACTATGATTGTGCCACTGCACTCCAGCCTGGGTGACAGAGCAAGACCCTGTCTCAAAAAAAAAAAAAAAATTGGAGGCTATTTGGGAGAAGGAAATGAAAATAAGGCCACAAGCAGTATTGGTATACAAAGTTCCTGCCATATAGTTGTGAGAAATGAGCCAGAAATTCGATGTGGAGTTTCCTGATAGCCAGAGCTAAAAGGGAAACATGGTCAGCTAACAGACATGTAGAACCCAAAAGATAAAAGCAAAGCAACTGCCCCGGAGAAACACAGAGTTTCCTGGCACTGGGACCAAGAGAAATTGTTCCTGTGAGTCATCCTTCAGGGGACACTGTGTGATGTAGACTCCACTTCATTCCACCAACTTTTTCCATGCTGTTCACTACACCGTCAGATTCCAGAGTGAGTTGCCAGGATATCAGGATATCTCTCATTGGATATTTAGCTGCTTTTTTTTTTTTTTTTTTGGTAGTTATTTTGCATTGGTAACATTGCAGGGAACGTCTGGAGGCACACAGCTTCTCGCTCCTGTGGGATTGCTTCTGGGGGATTGATTCCTGTGTGTCAGGCTAGCAGCCCAAGGAAGGGCCTCCCTGTGTCTTGCTACATGGGGCTGCAGTGCTCTCCGTAAAAGCTGCCAGCCCTGGGTGAGGACTCCAATCTAGCTACGATTGGACCAGCACCCTCTGACTAAAGAGTCAAAGATCAAACTCTTGCCACTCTCTCTGTTCCAATACCAAAGTCATCTTCCTCCCCAACCCTGCCTGCCGTCCTGGGCTGGGGCAGGTTCTTGCTGCGGCCACTGATTCAGCCACCATCACCCTCTTCCTTCACCTCTCATCCTGCTGGTCAGTTCCAGGGGCCCTACAGGTGGAGCTGGTCTAAACAGCAGGACAGCTGAGGCTTGCACTCTGGGAGTCAGAAGCAGACACTGTGCTCAAAGCTTCTATGACACAGCCCTCTCTTCTGTCTCATTGAAGGGGGCAACTGACTCATGCCTGACTCCCAAGAAGGAAGAAGTGCCTGGCTGGAGAAGAGGGAGTGTGGCGTAGTCAGGGCAGCACTAGACTCAAGAGTCACCTCTGGATATTGAACAAGTCACATCACATCTTTGAGTCTGTTTCCTTTTCTATGGGATGACAGTGAAATCATTTCAATCCTAGCTTATAGGACTGTTTTAAAGGATAAGAAAATGTCCCAGAAATCTGTGAGTGGGTACCCCAAAGAGCCCCTCCTTCACCCTGGTTAGATGTCCAGGTGTGAGCCTGATGTGTCCCTGTTAGTGTAGAGAGGGGGCCAGAGGAGAGGAAAAGGCCAGGATCTCCAATGAAGCAGGGACTGGGGAAAAAGCAGAAAAGCAGAGGGCTCACAGAAGAGGGGTCAGATGCACAGGCCCTGAAGTCAGAGAAGCCCAGGCTAACTCAATTAAAAAATAGTGATGATATTAGTGCCTTTCTCAGAGTTTTGTTTTGTTTTGTTTTGAGACAGAGTCTCACTCTGTTGCCCAGGCTGGAGTGCAGTGGTGCGACCTCGGCTCACTGCAGCCTCTGTCTCCCAGGCTCAAGCAATTATCCTGCCTCAGCCTCCTGAGTAGCTGGGATTACAGGCACCTGACACCATGCCGGCTAATTTTTGTATTTTTAGTAGAGACAGGGTTTCACCATGTTGGCCAGGCTGGTCTCGAACTCCTGGCCTCAGGTGATCCGCCTGCCTTGGCCTCCCAAAGTGCTGGGGATTATGGGCATGAGCCATCACACCCAGCCTCTCAGAGTTGTTTTGAAGTTTAAATGAGATACTATTTATAAAGTACTTCGAATAGAACCTGGTGCTCAATAAGTGTTAGCTGTCATTCTTATGGAGTCAGGAGAAAGTGCTCAAACCTTAAATCAGGAGGGTGGCTGGTGTTGAAGGGGAGGCTGCTCTCAATGACCTCTCATTGTACACCTACTGTGATATTAGGAGTGGGTGTACAAGGCCCCCTCCAGCTGTAAGACAAAGGAAGATACTCTCCCCTGCCCCCATGATTACACTTGCTGCTCTGGGAGCTGGGGTGGCAGTGAGGGGAGTGGGCGTTTGGGGCTGGGGACACATAAGCAACATGGTGACTTACTGTGGCTAAAAAGAATCACATAAGGAGTGTCCCCAGACATTATTATGCGTTCTTAGTCCATCATCATTGCCACCTCCTCTGAGAAGTCTTCCTGGGATCTCTCCACTGGGCCTCCCTGCTCTGCATTTCCGTTACCTGTTCCTTGTATAATATTTCCCCATGGACAGCACCCATCTACAAAGGTCCCTAGAACTCTTCAATCCTCCACCCCCACCCCCATGTGTGGGATTAGACACAATTTTTCAATCTGACCTCTCCTATAAAATAAGAAATTGGGCCAGGCACAGTGGCTCACACCTGTAATCCCAGCACTTTGGGAGGCCAAGACGGGTGGACTATTTGAGGCCAGGAGTTCGAGACCAGCCTGGCCAACATGGTGAAACCCTGTCTCTACTAAAAAAAAATTAAAATTAGGCCAGGCACAATGGTTCACACTTGTGATCCCAGCACTTTGGGACGCCGAGGCGGGCGAACCACAAGGTCAGGAGTTCAAGACCAGCCTGGCCAACATGGTGAAACCCCGTCTCTACTAAAAATACAAAAATTAGCTGGGCATGGTGGCAGGCACCTGTAATCCCAGTTACTCAGGAGGCCGAGGCAGGAGAATTGCTTGAACCCAGGAGGCAGAGGTTGCAGTGAGCCAAGATTGGGCTACTGCACTGCAGCCTGGGTGACAGTGTAAGACTCTGTCTTAAAAAAATAAAAAAAATTAAAAATCAAAAATTAGCCAAGCATGGAGGCGCGCACCTGTAATCCCAGCTACTCGGGAGTCAGAAGCAGGAGAATTGCTTAAGCCTGGGAGGTGGAGGTTGCAGTGAGCCCAGATCGCACCACTGATCGGTAGCCTGGGTGACAGAGTGAGACTCTGTCTCAAAAAAAAAAAAAAAAAAAAAAAAAGACCAGGCGCAGTGGCTCATGCCTGTAATTCCAGCACTTTGGGAGGCCAAGGCAGGCCAATCACTTGAGGTCAGGAGTTCGAGACCAGCCTGGCCAACGTGGTGAAACGCTATCTCTACTAAAAATACAAAAATTAGCTGGGCGTGGTGGTGCACGCTTGTAATCCCAGCTATTCGGGAGGCTGAGGCAGGAGAATCGCTTGAACCCGGGAGGCAGAGGTTACAGTGAGCCGAGGTCGTGCCACTGCACTCAAGCCTGGGTGACAAGAGTGAAACTCGGTCTCAAAAAAAAAACAAGTTGACTGCCATGGTTCCCCAGACACTGCACTTCCCTCCCTCTGCACCCTTGCTTGTGTTGTTCCCTTCTGCCTGGAACACCTTCCAAATGCGGGCCAACAAGCTCAAGTCGGCTACCCAGCATTCTGTTTTCCTTGCCCAGTGCTTGCCTTACTTTGCCTGGATGCATTCTGGCCTCCTGTGTGGTGCCTAGCATAGGTGTTGAGGTGTGTGTTGACAATTTGTTGTGCAAAAGAAAAAGAAGTTCTTTATTTTTTTCTGCCCTGGTCTGCGGCCAAAGTTTTTTGCATGACATAATTCATAACCTCCCTCTGGAAAGAAATTACATTCCTGATGAAATGCTTAAGCATTTTTGTGATGAACTTTATTTATTTTTTTCTTTTTTATGTTTTTTTTGAGACAGAGTCTGGCTCTGTTACCCAGGCTGGAGGGCAGTGGCATGGTCTCGGCTCACTGCAACCTCCACCTCCCAGGTTCAAGCAATTCTTCTGTCTCAGCCTCCCGAGTAGCTGAGATTACAGGTGCCTGCCACCACACCCAGCTAATTTTTTGTATTTTTAGTAGAGATGGGATTTCACCATGTTGGCCAGGCTGGTCTCAAACTCCTGATCTCAGATGACCCACCTGCCTCAGCCTCCCAAAGTGCTGGGATTACAGGCGTGAGCCGCCGTGTTCGGCCCCCAATGAACTTTAATGGAATTAAGACTTGATCTGGAAAATTAGCCACCCTCCCAGCCAACTCTCAGGCAAGAGCCTAGAAGCTGTTAACTACTCTTCTTTGTCTTTACGTAGTCTTAACAGTGAGTGATCTGACCATTCTCTTTTTTTTTTTTTTTTTTTTTTGAGACAGAGTCTCACTCTGTCGCCCAGGCTAAAGTGCAGTGGAGCGATCACTGTTCACTGCAACCTCCGCCTCCTGGATTCAAGCAATCCTCCCAACTCAGCCTCCCAAGCAGCTGGGATTAAGGTGGGCACCACCATGCCCAGCTCATTTTTGCATATTTAGTAGAGACGAGGTTTCACGAGGTTGTCCAGGCTGGTCTCACAAACTCCTGACCTCAAGTGATCTGCCCATCTCGGCCTCCCAAAGTGCAGGGATTACAGACAGGAGTCACCACGCCCAGCCTGACCATTCTTTTTTTAATAAAAATATTCTTACCAAGAGTATATATTTGAGTTAGCTGCTTACAGGTCATTTTGCTTGCATTACAACGATAATCAAACTTTGACACACACTCATAATCAAATTGTCTGAAAACTTTTTTTTTAACTTGAAATATTGAATTACTTTTAGATTTACAGAAAAGTTTCAAAAATAGTACAGGGATTTTCTGGCTGGGCACGGTGGCTCCCACCTGTAATCTCAGCACTTTGGGAGGCCGAGGCTGGCGGATCACGAAGTCAGGAGATGGAGAACATCCTGGCTAACACAGTGAAACCCCGTCTCTACTAAAAATGGAAAAAATTAGCCAGGCGTGGTGGCGGGCGCCTGTAGTCCCAGCTACTCGAGAGACTGAGGCAGGAGAATGGCATGAACCCGGGAGGTGAAGCTTGCAATGAGCCGAGATCGCACCACTGCACTCCAGCCTGGGCCACAGAGCAAGACTCCGTCTCAAAAAAAAAAAAAAAAAAGTACAGGGATTTTCTATACATCCTTCACCCAGCCTCCACCAATGATAATGTCTTACCTAGCTATAATATGATGACCAGAACCAAAGAATTAACACTGGTACAATGTCATTAACTAAGGACTTTATTTGAATTTTGCCAGTTTGAGTCTGAGGCTGCAGTGAACTATGATATCACCACTGTAATCCAGCCTGGGCAACATGGCAAAACCCCATCTCTACTAAAAATACAAAAAAAATTTGCCAGGCATGGTGGTGTGTGCCTTTGGCCTTAGCTACTCGGGAGGCTGAGGCATGAGAACCGCATGAACCCGGGAGGCAGAGGTTGCAGTGAGCCAAGATCGCGCCACTGTACTCCAGCCTGGGCAATGAAGCGAGACTCTGTCACACACACACACACACACACACACACACACACACACACACAAAATGAAAGAAAAGAAAAAAAAAAAATTAGCCAGGTGTGGTTCCACACACCTGCAGTCCCAGCTACTTGGGAAGCTGAGGTGGGAGGATCGCTCGAACCCAAGAGGCAGAGGTTGCAGTGAGCCGTGATCACGCCTCTGCACTCCAGCCTAGGCAGCAGGAGTGAAACCCTGTCTCAAAATATACATACATAAAAAACAAGAAAAAAAGGGAAAAGAAAAAAAAGAACCCAAGATGATCAGGTTAAATAGCTAATGCACGCAGGGCTAAATAAATACCTTAGGTGACGTGTTGATAGGTGCAGCAAACCACCATGGCACACGTTTACCTATGTAACAAACCTGAACATCCTGCCCATGTAACTCAGAACTTAAAATTAAATTAAATTAAATTAAATTAAATTAAGTTAAACAAACAAGAAGAAAGTGTTGTGCTCACTCAGTAGCTGTAGACTTAGGTGGTGGGGAGGTACTAACATGGATCCCAAGGGGCCCCAGGAAGCAGGTGGGGCTGGTGAGAGAACTGCCTTGTAGGATGCCACATGACTTGAGAGCAAAGATAGCACCAAGACGACAGGGGCCCTCATTCCCACCTGGCTTAGTTACTCTCCTCTGAAAGCCTGTTTCTCCTCCAAGCCCAATACCTGGCTGCTCCCCTCTTCCCTGGCAACATCAGATTGGGGGTGTTGAGACGTCTAGAGGTACCCCTTTTCCAGAACCTGAGACCAGGGTAGCTGTTTTATGGAGCTTTAAATGAGGCCCAGTGAAAAGGCCCCAGGTCGGGGGCCTTTTCTCCACTCCACTCCAGAGGACTGCTGGAGAGGGAGCCCCCTCCCTCCATCCCTGCCAGACCTTAGGCTGCCCACAGAGCCCCTGGACTCAGAGTGAAGGCACACAAAGCTTTATTGGCTCCGTTCCAGGCAATGACATCAGTGTGGGGCTCTTGCCTGCTCCCATCTGTCTTCTCTTGGTGGGTCTTCAGGGGCCTCAGGGTCTATCTCACCTGCGCTGTGTCCTCCCAGCTCTCCCTCCAACAGGGGCCATCTTCTGTGGCAGACCCCACTCATGGAGTTTAAAGAGCCCATAATCCCCGTGAGGAGCCTAAGAAAGTAGGGATTTGGGCACAGCATCTCACCCTGGCCTGCATAGATGGCCCCATAGGAGAGAAAACAGACGTGTGTGTGAGCCAGCCTTGCTGGGGGCAGGGGCGTCTCCATCCATGGTTAGGTGGCTTCCAAGAAGTCACAGATCTAGTGTCTGCGATTAGGCAGGCTGTGGCTCTGGTGGCTTGGGTGGCCATGGTGACTGTGGTGACTGTGGCCATAGAAGGTGTGTGTGTGATTGGCACCAGCTATGGTGTTTTCCCGCTGGGTGAGGAAATTCTTTTGCAGCTTCATCTCTACCTCCTCGAGGGCCCTCAGCTCCTCCTGGTTGATGTCCTTGGACTCTAGGTGACCTGAGTGCTGGTAAGCTATGGCCCGCTGCAGCATGGAGTGAGCCAGGTGCCGCCCCTGGGTGTCAATCTCCTTGGTGCAGGCAGCCACAGCGGCCCACGTGGCCTCATCAGTGGATGGGGCTTTTCCAGACTCCTGGTGGATCTCTTGGATCACTGAGGGCCCAGATGTCTTCTGCCTGCTGGTGAAGGATTCCCGGTGCAGAGCGGAGCCCACTTCTCCGTGCCTCGTGGTGAAGGTCTCTATGTGAACCGTGGAGCTGACCTCTTCACTCCCACTCTCAGTCTGGGTAGCATTGCCACTAGCGCTGGCATTGTTGTCGAGGGCCAGCTTCTCTTCGGAAAGGCGGCTAAAGTGGGATTTAATCCAGCTTTCATTCTTTGCTTTATGGGATTCTGGTGACTTGTCCTTGTCTGATGGACACTCAGAGGTTTCCTTTCTTCTCCTCTTTCTCTGAACCCACAGCATGAGACCTCCACCTCCTAGCAAGAGGGCAGTCCCCAGCACCACCTTGCATGATGGCTGCTGGATGAGCTCCAAGAAGGTCTCCAGGACCCTACACCAGGCAGGCAGAGCTAAGAGCACGCTGGGTGATCTCTGGTGGTATGATTCATGCTTGAAAGGGCAGGCTCCCCAAGGATGTCTGACAGGCAGGCCCCCTGCTGCACCCTCCCTAGGTGCCCCCCACCACCTCAACAATGAACCCCATTGTGAGGAAGGCAGTTGCGGGTGGGGTGGGGAGAGTGGGGTGGGGAGAGGCCGCAGCATCCCTCATGTCTAGCCTGGCAGGCATTGCCTGAGGCCTGGGTCCTGTCTCCTACCCTGACAGCTGTCCCCAGGCTCAGTGAAAGGGCTGCTTCTCCAATTCTGAGTCCTTCTGCCTTCTGCTTGGAATCCATTCTACAACTTAGGCCTTTGTATCTTCCAGTCTTTGGTTTCTCTCTCTCCCCATCTGGTGGCCCCCAGGGGGCAAAGTATGCTGGGTCAGGCTGGCCATGACAGAATGATCCCCTTGACTGGGCTGGTATCCATTCCTAGCCATCTGAGACCAGTGCACCTCCATCCAGTGCCCATGTCTGCTGCCAGCCTGGCATATTCCATCCTCATTTGCAGCCCCTCGCCTCACTACAGGGCAGAGTTCAGAGGGAAAAGAACCCAGGAAGGAGCTCATTCTGGAGTAACTAACATGAGGTCACAATGGGCTGAGGGTGGAGAGGCAAGCAGTGGGCTGAGAAGGCAGAGTGGACAGGAGACTTCATCGGGTCTAGATCCCTGGGGCCACTCCGGGATGGTAGCTGCTACCTCTTGCCTTAGTGAGGCACCTACAAACCCAGAATTTGCCCCCCCATAAATAGGCATGGTTCGGGTTGTGAGCAGGTGGGCTGGCTGGCCAGGCTTTCCATAGGTGCAGACAACTAAAAGCCTAATTAATCTCCAAGGCCTCTCAGGGTATAAACAGGCCTGGGCCACTGTATTTTTTTTTCCCCTCAAAAGCATCTAGCCCATTTAAAAAAAAATAAGAAATGCCAAAATGGGGTTGTAAACATTGTGATGCTTTAAACAAAATATTTTCTTTAACAGAGTAATGGTTTTAATATATACAAAATATTATATCTTTGCAAGAAAGCATGGTCCACTCTATGTATGGAAGGAATAGGACACAAGTGTTTTATGGAGAACCTCATCTTCCCAGTCCTGCTGGACTAGTTCTGTGGTTGGCTAACCTCATTTGGAAATAACAATTCAAAGTCCATCTTTGAGGGTGTTTATGGGTGTGAGTTCAGGGCCATAGAGCCCTTCTGTAATGACCCCTTCCTCTAGTCTCTGGTCATAATTTTTATTTAAAAAGAATACTCTTGGCTGGGCGCTGTGGCTCACGCCTGTAATCCCAACACTTTGGGAGGCCGAGGCGGACGATCACGAGGTCAGGAGATTGAGACCATCCTGGCTAACACGGTGAAACCCCATCTCTACTAAAAATACACACACACACACAAAAAATTAGCCGTGCATGGTGGTGGGAGCCTGTAGTCCCAGCTACTCAGGAGGCTGAGGCAGGAAAATGGCGTGAACCTGGAAGGCAGAGCTTGCAGTAAGCCGAGATCGTGCCACTGCACTGCAGCCTGGGAGACAGAGCAAGACTCCATCACAAAAAAAAAAAAAAAAGAAAGAAAAAACAAAAAGAATACTCTCTATTCAAATAATCAGTACAAATTAGCAATGCTAAAAAGATTTTTTAAAAAGAGCTACACGGGGCCGGGCATGGTGGCTCATGCCTGTAATCCCAGCATTTTGGGAGGCAGAGGCAGGCAGATCACTTGAGCTCAGGAATTCGAGATCAGCCTGGGCAACACGGCAAAATCCCATCTCTACTAAAAATACAAAAAATTAGCCGGGTATAGTGGTGTGCACCTTTGGTCCCAGCTACTCGGGAGGCTGAGATGGGCAGATTGCTTTAGTCCCAGGAGGCAGAGGTTGCAGTGAGCCGAGATCGTGCCACTGCAGTCCAGCCTGGGTGGCAGACTGAGACCCCATCTTAAAAATAAATAAATAAATAAGAGGCCCAGCGCGGTGGCTCACGCCTGTAATCCCAGCACTTTGGGAGGCCGAGGCCGGCGGACCGTGAGGTCAGGAGTTCAAGACCAGCTTGGCCAACATGGTGAAACCCCATCTCTACTAAAAATACAAAAATTAGCCAGGCGTGGTGGCAGGCACCTGTAATCCCAGCTACTCAGGAGGCTGAGGCATGAGAATCGCTTGAACCCAGGAAGCGGAGGTTTCAGTGAGGCAAATCATGCCACTGCACTCCAGCCTGAGCGACAGAGCAAGACTCTGTCTCAAAAAAAAAAGCTACACAGTTTCAGGGAGTGCTTTCCAGAAGAATCTCTAACTCTTCACTGATTCATCCAGGGCAGCTTTCCACCTCCTATTTATTTGTTTTAATAGAGACAGGGTCTCACTATGTTGGCCAGGCTGGTCTCCAACTCCTGGTCTCAAGAGATCCTCCTGCCTTGGCCTCCCAAAGTGCTGGGATTACAGGAGTAAGCCACTGTGCCTGGCCCTCATCTCCTCTTCAGAGGACCTTTAACTGGCTGCAGGAGGCCCTTACAATGTGATACGTTCCCTCCTCAGCCTGAGTGTTGGGCTGCAAAGTCTACCTCAGGGGCCAGGACAGGGCAAGAGAAACACAGATTTCAGAGCTAAAGTTGTTTGTGTCTTCCTTCCTGGGCATTTTGGCTGCACCCTGGAAGCAGGGAAGGGACCCTCTATCTCTGTGTTTTCTGTGACAGTGCCTTGGGAGGATTATATTGACCCTGTGGCTAGAAGCCTGAAGGCTCAGTTCCTATTCTAAAATGAGGACTGGATTTGAAAGGTTAAGTGGTTTCCCCAAGGTCTCTGTTAACTGGCAGAAGTGGCAGGATTCTTGCCCAGGTCCTCTAACTCAAGATGCTGGGCTCTTCCTACCACACCCCGCTGGCTCTCTGGTGTGTGGGTGAGTGATCAGATGGGAGCTGGAGCCTGCATAGGTTGCGAGGGAGACAGACAAGTGGGTATGTGCAGCCCACAGCCTGCTAAATCCACGGAAGCCTGTGCTCCTGGGCACCCCATGCCCTCTGCAAGAGTGGGTGGGTGGCCCAGAAGGGAGGGTCCAGAGAAGAGTCTGGGGGTCTCTGTGGATTCTCTGGGTGTCAGGCAAACACCAGATGCAAAGTCCACCCTCCCCACCCTGAACTAGAGCATCCTTGAACCTTGAAGCTGAAGTAAGGTCTTCACTTAGAGGCTCAAAATGCTTCTCACTTCAAGAGAACCAGGACCTCACCAAACCTCCAGGCCCCACGAGCCAAGCACCAGCAGAAACCTAACAGTTGTGCCCTGCTCAACGTGGCCCTCCACAGGGCATTCATTGTCCCCAAGGAAGGGGCACATTCCCTCAGTACTGAGCTATGAATGATCAACGTGTCCATCAGGCCAGGGGTCACAGTCACAAAGCAGCTTTGCTGCAATGCCAATCACACTGTCATTTTAATCATTATTACCATTGGAATCAGTACCTTCCAATGTATATTACTCCACAATTTATAGCACGATTTCACTTGCATTCTCTCAGATTTTTTTGTCCAACCATCCCATAATATGAGCATTATCACTCCCATGTGTCCGATAGGGACAGCAATCATCCCACACTAAGTCAGTGCCAGAGATGTGATTTGATTTTTTTTTTTTTTTTTGAGATGGAGTCTTGCTCTGTCGCCCGGGCTAGAGTGCAATGGTATGATCTCAGCTCACTGCAATCTCTGCCTCCCGGGTTCAAGCGATTCTCCTGCCTCAGTCTCCCGAGTAGCTGGGATTACAGGCACACACCACCACGCCCAGCTAATTTTTGCATTTTTAGTAGAGACGGGGTTTCACTATGTTGGCCAGGCTGGTCTTGAACTCCTGACCTCATGATCCCTCCGCCTCGGCCTCCCAAAGTGTTGGGATTACAGGCGCTCACTCCAGAGCTGTGATTTGAAACCAGAGTCCACAGTCTACACGATACTGCCTCAATAGCAGCCACAACAAAGCTAGTGCTGACCAGACACTCCGTTGAAATAGTGTGGCCTAGCAGCTCCAAAGGGTTTATAATGAGAGTCAGCGAGGGAGTAAAATGGAGCATGGGCCATGCAGTCAGACGAGGTGCAAACCTCAGCTCAGCTATGTGTTAGCCGAATGACCTTGGGCAGTGACCATGTCACTCTGAGGCCCAGATTCCCATCTGTGGGATGGTCCTACAGAGAGCACTGCCTCAGGGGATTGTGCAGTAAGGAATGGGGATGGGCGGAGCAGGGCAGGCAGAATTTGACATTTTCTTCTACCTTCATTTATTGTGCCTGGGACTCTGTTACATGTTGATTGTTGCAAATATCATCTGGTCCCTAACCTCAGAGTTGGGGAGACCCATGTGTAAAGAGAGATGGGGTCACAGGAGCCACAACAGGAGTCACAGGAGCCAAGGGGTCACAGGAGAACTAATTCTGGCAAGGAGGCTTTGTCCAGAAGAGAATGTACAAACAAACTTTGGAGGGAACTGGGACTGTGGCTGGGCTGCCACGTGACCCCAGCCACATGCCTTCACATCTGCACCAAGTGACAAGGTTGACAAGGACTTTCACGCCCATTATCCAGTCCAACCTCAGAATCACTCTGGGAGCTACAAAGGCACTTTAACAGTTTACAGCTGGGTAAACTGAAGCAGGTGAGGTTTAGCTTAAGGTTACAGGCCAGCGTGGAGCTTCCTGCCTGTCTCCTGACTCCAGACCAGTCTCCCCTGTTCCTCTCCCATAATAAAATGACCCACTGAGTACCAGACTATCCCTGGACAGCTTGACAGAGCCTGTGTACCCTCCCTTGGTCTCTGGCTAAAGGGCCACTCACATCTCCCCAGGTCCCACAGAGGACAGCCCCACTTACCTCGGAAGGGGAAGGTGCCCAGTTTGTGCAGATTCTCCTCCAGTTTCCCATAGTCCACCTCTGCAGTGGCAGTGAAGGGGGTGGTCACAGGGGGGTAGATACCCGCAATGTCCACCTTCTTCCCCTCCCCTGAGGCCCAGACCCCCACATTCCTGGACAAGCTCCTGCTTAGCCCCTGCCTCACAGAAGACCAGACTTGGGGACCCAGCATCTCTGCAGGAGGCCTGAAGCACAATTGGTCTATGTCCCAGAGTGAGACTTAGTTTGAACTCTTTCTAACCCCCTATTAATGATCAATGTTTCTAGTTAAAAATTTGCGGCCTCCCTGACTTGTGGCCACTGGGGCAGGCCTGAGCTGGGTGTTCCCAGGGTCAGGGGCAAGGCCTATAGGCCCCAGGGGGCCCTGTTCCTTCTGGGTAGCAGCTAGAGAGATGCCACAACCCAGTGTCCCTCTGGCCAGATATAGGACTGGTTTCTGGGATCCCAATACTAAAGAGTATCTCCTTCGGTATCTCCAGTGGGATCTGGGCCCTCCTCCCACAATTCCCAGCTCTGAAGCCAGAAGCCCAGCCAGGTTTCCACGGGCAGTTCTGAGGTTGGTGGAGCTGATTGGCTGAGCAGGTCCTGCCCTGTGGGAGGTGTGGCAAGGCTGGGCAAGAAGCTGCCTGTGACAGGCTGTCCATCCCCTGCCCCGCTCCCTTACCAGGCTCCTCCTGCCAAGGCAGCCACGTGACAAGCCTGTGCTAGCCACTCACAGCCCCACAGGACAGCAGGCACCAGGAAGGGGGCCAGGATGAGTGTATTACCAAGTCAATCCATGCAGGGGCCAAGCCTGGCCCTGGAGATGTGAGAAGGGGCAGGAAAAGTTGAGTGGCAGGGAGGAAAGGAAAAGAGACCACAGTAAAGAAGCTGCAGGGCTGGCTCAGAGGGCCAACCGGCTCCCAGTTTCCCTCCTCCCCAAACCAGCATTTGCCCCCAGTCTTCCTTCATTCCCAAAGATTTCAGACACAAGTGGAAATGAACATCGCAATTAGCAAAAACAGCTTTTTTATTGTGGTAGTTTGTGGTATGTGCTCCTGGATCATGCAGAAAAAAGGCTGGGCCCTCAGTTAGCTCCGGGAGCCATTCTTAGGACCCTCCGGCTGCACACAGAGAGGGGCTGGGTAGCTGGCTGGGCTGGGGCACGCATTCACTGGGCTGGCACAGGCTGAGGGGTCTCTCGCCCACTATCATTAGGCCCCTCCAGCCCGTTATGCTCAGCCCCCGGCTCAGGATGCTCCAGGGCGTGCCGGGTATCAGCCTGCCAGAGCTGCACCAGGTCCGTCGGGGTCTTTCCTGCCTGGAGGGGGCGGGACGGGGCGTGGGGGTTGGCAAGAGAAAATCTGTTAACTGTCCTGAAGGCTTTCACAGAAGGTACCCTCATTGACACCACCAGTGCTTCTCAAATGGGGGCAACTGGCATTGTGTGAAGATACTTTTGGTTGTCACACTAGGGGATGGGTACTACTGGCATCTAGTGGGCAGAGGCCAAGAATGTTGCTTAAATATCCTACAAGGCATAGGATGGTCCCCTACAACAAACAATCACCCAGCCCTAAATGTCAATAATGCTGAGGGTGAAAACCCCTCATTTATACCTTCTCCATATTTTCCTGCTTTTCTCATTATCCCTTTAGCCTTTCTTGAGCCCGAGGGACTCTCCCATGGCCTCCTTTTGTGAATGCTCTGGGCCCCAAAGAAGAACTTGGACTAAGTGTTCCCTAGTCCAAGGTGTTCCCTGGGCACCTTCCCCTTCCAAGGACTTCCTGCCTAGATCCTAAGAAAACTCAAAGACCACAGGAGCTGACATGGGGTGCTAGGAACTGTCATGCCAGCTGAGTGCTCGGTCCCTTCCAGCTCTGGCCTTTCATGATTCTGGCCTCCTTGGGCCAGTACTTGAGGACCCCCTCTGGCCTACTTGGGGGTCTTTGGGAAGTCCTCTTGCTGCCCCTCCTGCTGTCTCTCTGCACTTGCACTCTGGACATAGACACACATAGAGAATGGGGCGGACAGTTGGAATGGTGCTCTGGAAGAGGACAAGTTTATGTACTATGGTGCTGGCCAGAGCCAATGATACATGTCCCTAGGCGGGGGCTGCTCCAGGGACCAGGACAGCACCTCCACTGTATGAGTGCTCACGCCAGTGACTGAATCAAGGAGGGAATGAGCTTACCAGGTTCTTGGTCATCATGTCAGCCCCATGCAGGAGCAGCAGTTTGATGATTTTGTAGCGGTTGAGCCTCACAGCGTCATGCAGGGCAGTATCCCCTTCCTAGAGTCAGTGTGGCACTCACTATGGCCCTTGTGGGCAGTGGGAGGAGGCAAGGGTGATGGGAGGTGGGCTGGAGACCCTGCTCAGGAGCCAAGTCCTGAAGGCCCCAGGAGGAAGGACACCACCTGTAGGGGCCCGCAGGCTGCCCACACACCCATGGCGGGTGAGCAGCGGACAGGCTAGCACTCACCCTGTCTCTGGCATTGATTTCCAGGCCCAGGGATAGAAAGTGCTCCACAATCTCCACCTGCCCTGTCCGGACTGCCACGTGCAGCGGGGTGCTCAGCAGCTGGGTGGGAGGAATCAGGAACTGCTAGTTGACGGGGCCTGAACTGTGGTACCCCTGGGAAGGCGGGGGCTGTCCTAACTCCAGCTTAATCCCTCTTCCAAGTCCTAGTGCCAAGGCCTGAGCCTTGGAGGGGCAGAGAATGGTACAATTTCTTACCATCCTATCCAATGGCCTAACTCTAAAGCCTTAAATGCCACTTCCTCTGGGAAGCCTTCTGTGATTCTCCTCTCACCCAGCTGCTCACTCTTCTACCCTTCTTTTAATAATCATAATATATGTCATTTATTGAGAGATGACTATGTAATGGACATGGCAAAAGCTTACAAGACATTTGCCTTATGTTGAATAAATAATTCATTTACACATGTTTTCCCACCTAAGCTACACAAGAACTCTGCAAGACATTTCACAGATGAGCAACAGAAGCTCAGAGGCTGTCACTTGTTCAAGGTTGTACATGAAATAATGAATGAATAGAAGGATGGTGCATAAATAAATAAATGAATGAGGGGATGAATAAATGGAGGAATGGATGGATGGATAGACGGATAGATGAATAGATAGGTAGACAGAAGGATAATGACAGATAACATGAACAAATCTTGCATCTTTTGAGTGGTCCCAAAGCCCCCAACACAGTGAGTCTCTTGTCTTCCCTTCTTGTCTGCTCTTCCTGCTCCTATCCTCAGATGGTGGTTCCTCAAGGGCCTGTGTGGATGGCAGGGACCCATCCCTGGGCTGGGAGGCCCAGTAGGACACTGTTTTAGCTTCCCTGCTCTGCAGCCAGAAACCAGACTAGCTCACTACCTTCCTGCCCCCTAGGCTTTCCTGCCCTTGGACCCCTGCCTTTCTCCCCACAGCCACCCCAATATCTGTTGCTTCTGAGTGTTTTTGCCTCACCTTATCCCTCACATTGGTGTCTGCTCCATGGCTTTGCAGAAGTTTCACCACCTCTAAGTGGCCCCCGCGGCAGGCCCAATGCATGGCTGTGCAGTCCAGCTAGAAAGAAATGAGGGGGTCTAACTACAGAGCTGCAGGGAAGAAAGTATTCGGGGGTAATGTACCCCAGCCAGGAAGGCAGAGGGATATCTAGGGGAAAGGTACAGGGAGCAGGCCTGGGCATGGGCAATGGACCAAGTGGAACAGAAGAACACTCAGGGCCCATCTGGTCCAAGCCAGACTCACAGAGGATGCTTAGGGAGGAGAAGGGGCTTACTCAAGGTCACATAAGCCACTGAGGTGGAGTCTGGCACCTGAGCAACCTGTTTATGCTTCAGGTTGGCACAGGTGGCAGGGAGAGGGTGTCTGTCAGTGCTGGACCCACCTCCTGTCTCCCATTGAATACCTGCCCTCTCACTCACCCGATCCTGGAAGTCCACAGTGGCCCCATTATCTAGAAGCTTCTCCAGGATTTCCATGTGGCCTTCCAGGGAAGCTCGGTGCAGTGCTGTCCGACGGAACTGTCCCCAGAGAGGCTGTCAGGGCCTGGCCTCTGGCTCCAGGCCTGAGCCCATCTCCCACCCAAGCTGAGGCCCAGGCCTTCCCCCCAGCTTGATTCTCACCCCTGTGCTTGGCCCCCATGTTTTCTGTGTTCTGCCAGCTCCCTTATGCTCTATCCAGACCAGCCTGGGAGCCCTCTGCCCCAGGGAACCCGACCTTCTCACTGCCCCCCAGGCACATCAAGCCATGCCTCTCTACAGGTGGTTTCCTCTGCCAAGCATGCCTGTTTTGCCCTCACTTCCTGGGAGTGCTTGATAAAATCTGCTACTCCTTCAAGATGCAGCTCAAATGCCATCATTTCCTTGAAACCTCTAGGCCAGGGCTTCCCTAGGGCCCAGATGACCCTTAACTGTGAGAGTGTGTTCGAGGGCAGGTCAAGTCTTGCTGGACTCCCCAAGTGCCTAGCACAAGGCCAGCATGAACAGGTGACACTGATCACTGATTCAAAGAAAGAATAAACTTTTCCCCTTCTCCTTTCTGCCTTGGACTTTTGAAACGCTCAAGCCACAATATCTTTCCATATTCTCATGATCTGGTTACAGGACACACACAGTGAGTATCTTTCCTTATTCTAATGATCTGGTTACATGTCAGTCTCCCCAAGGAACCAACCCTGGTCTGTTTTTTTGTTTTGTTTTGCTTTTTTTGTTTTTTTGTATTCTGGCACCTAGCATGGTGCTCGGAAGTAGGAGGTAGTTGGACAGACTGAGAGGATGAAGACTCTGGAGTCTAAAGAACAGAAAGGACATGTGGTCCAAGTCTACAATAATGCAGACCAAAGGTGGAAAACCACTAATGTGCCAAATTCCAGGATACGAGAGCAAGAAAGCACCCCGGGAAGTGTGAAAGAGGCAGTTTCAGGCAAAACAAAAAGAAGTATGATGGGTGATGAAAAATTTAGAAAATATGGCTGTAAGGGGCCGGACACGGTGGCTCATGCCTGTAATCCCAGCACTTTGGGAGGCCGAGGTGGGTGGATCACCTGAGATCATGAGTTCAAGACCAGCTTGTTGTCAAGGGCCAACATGTTGAAACCTTGTCTCTACTAAAAATAAACAAATTAGCCGGGTGTGGTGGCGGGCGCCTGTAATCCCAGCTACTCAGGAGGCTGAGGCAGGAGAATCACTTGAACCTGGGAGGTGGAGGCTGCTGTGAGCTGAGATCGCACCGCTGCACTCCAGCCTGGGGGACAGAGCAAGACTCCATCTCAAAAAAAAAGAAAAAGAAAAAAAAAGAAAATATGGCTGCACAACATTGTGAATGTAATTAATGCCACTGAATTGTACACTTAAAATGGTTAAAGTGGAACATTTCACGTTATGTTTTACCATGAAAAAAAAATAGGCCAGGAGTGGTGGTTCAAGCCTGTAATCCCAACACTTTGGGAGGCTGAAGTGGGAGGATTGCTTGAGCCCAAGAGGCGAAAGTTGCAGTGAGCTGAGATTGCGCCACTGCACTCCAGCCTGGGTGACAGAGTGAGACTCTGTCTCAAAAAAAAAAAAAAAAAGTACAGTACTATACCATGAGAAACAAAAATATCATATCTTAACACATGCTTGATAGTTTCTTCATTCATTCAGTGAATACTGAGTTACTGAGGTGCTAATATTCCTTTTTTCCTTTTACCAAAAAAAAAAAAAATCTATATCTTTATCTATATATGTATAGAGACAGGGTCTCACTCTGTTGCTTAGGCTGGTCTTGAACTCCTAGGCTCAAGCGCTCCTCCCACCTTGACCTAAAGTGCTGGGATTACAGACGTGAGCCACAGTGCCCAGCCTAATATTCCATTTGATCACCGTAACATGTTGTGAGGGAAGTAGGCCATTTTACAGAGGAGGAAACTGAGGCATGGAGAGGGCACCGACCCAGCCACAGGTCCCACAACTCGTGAGTGAGAGAGATGGGATTTGAGCCCACATCTTCTGGTCCTGGTCTGTTTTTATTTGATTCTATTTTTCTTTCTTTCCTAAACAAACATGTGACATTTGTTGCTCTGCAGGTGATTCAAGTTGGAAAAGGGTTTAAGGATTTAGGTCAATTCCTGTACGGGGAAGGGACACCCATTCTGAGCGCCCCAGCCACCCACCCATCCAAAGAACACCGGTGCCTCCTCTCAAATAGGCTCACAGTGGGCTGACCCAGGAGCCGAACGGAGTGGGGGTGGCAACTGACAGGGAGGCTGGTCAGGGGCGGCTAGGAGCATCACCTGGTCGCACGTGTCGGCTGACCCCCCGTCAGCCAGGAACTTCTCAATGACCTTCATTTTCCCCTCCACCGCAGCTTTCAGGAAGGTCTCCTCATCCACAGGGCCAGTCTGCAGATGTGGACGCAGCAGTCACGGGCCGTCCCAGCAATCCGAAGCCTCCCGGGCTCCCCCTCCGCCCCCTCGCGGTGTCCTCCCCAGGACCCTTACGATCTCCTCGGGCTCTGGGGGCGGCTCATGCGAGGCGGCCAGAGCGTCCCGCTTCTTCTGCTTGCGTTTCTTCCGCAGCTCGATGAGGTTCTGGATCCCGCCCACATCGATGATCTCCCGCCGCAGGTCCAGGGACGTCTTGCGCACGCGCTCTTGGCCCTGCGCGGGATGGCCCATCAACCCCCCAGGCCGGGCAGAGAGTTTGGGGGGCTTGGGAGACCTCTGAGCTAAGCTGGTGGGGAGGGTGGGGTGGGCAGGAAGACCCTCTTAAGAAAGAAGGAACCAAGGTCTATCCCTCCTTCCAGGCCTAGATGGCTCTCACATTGGGGGAATTCTGACTCAGTAGTTCTGGGACGGGGCGGAGATTCTGCAGGGCTAGCAAGCTCTACCGGGGGTGCTGAACTGCTGGTCCATGGGCCACGTGGGGAGAGGTGCAGACAGGCCATGGCTACCTGGCTGGTCCCCTGGGTGCAGACATTGGATCCTCCCAGGCTTACCTTCACCTTCTGCAGGGCTGCACTCTGAGCCCCGTGGTGCTTCTCATCCTCCAGCACCAGCAAGTCCATGGGCAGCTTCTGGCGTGCGTCTCCTCGGAGTTTCTGGTGATCCAAAGAGGGCACCTTCTCCAGGACCCGAGGAGACAGGCAGCCTCTCCCCCAACCACACCAAGGACACCCCACAGAGACATCCTCCTGGGTGGTCTCAGAGCCCTTCTGGCTGATCCTGGGGAGCCCCCAGCAAGAGCAGGGCCCCTGGAGGGGCCCCCAAAAGGGGTGAGTTCCCCACCTCAGCTTCAGCCCCAGTCCCAACCCTGAGCTCAGACACCTGCCCACTAACTGGCCTGGATCCCTGCAAAACAACATTAAAGGCCACCAGAGTTGAGTTTTTCATGAGATTAAATATATTCACTCTTTCAAGCACCAAGATTATTTTTTTCTTTACTTTTTTGGCATTAAAAATTCACTTTGGCTGGGTGTGGTAGTGCCAGCCTTTAGTCCCAGCTACTGGGGAGGCTTAGACAGAAGTATTGCTCAATCCCAGGGGTTCGAGACCAGCTCCAGAGACATAGCAAGATCGTGTCTCTAAAAATAAATAGGCCAGGCACAGTGGCTCACCTCTATAATCCCAGCACTTTGGGAGGCTGAGGTGGGAGGATCTCTTGAGCCCAGAAGTTTGAGATCAGCCTGGGCAATATAGTGAGACCCCATCTTTACAAAAAAATTAAATAATTAGCCAAGCGTAGTGGCTTTTGTTGTAGTGCCAGCTACTTGGGAGACTGAGGTGGGAGGATTACTTGAGCCCAGGAAGGGGAGGTTGCAGTGAGCCAAGGTCATGCCACTGCACTCCAGCCTGAGTGACAGTGAGAGAGAGAGAGAATGACCCTGCCTCAAAAAATAAATAGGCCAGGTACAGTGGCTCACGCCTATAATCCAAGCACTTTGGGAGGCCGAGGCAGGTGGATTGCTTGAGCCCAGGAGTTCGAGACCAGCCATAGGCAACATGGTGAAACCCCATCCCTACTAAAAATACAAAAATTAGCCAGGCGTGTTGGCACGCACCTGTAGTCCCAGCTACTTGGGAGGCTGAAGCACAAGAATCACTTGAACCCAGGAGGTGGAGGTTGCAGTGAGCCAAGATCGTGCCACTATACTCCAGCTTGGGCGGCAGAGTAAGACTCGGTCTCAAAAAATAAATAAATAAATAAATAAATAAATAAATAAATAAATAAAATAAGTTTTAAAAATAAATAATTCACTTTGATGAAATGATTATGATGAGAGATGATTACTTCTTAAATGTTCTTACTCAGCAATATAAAATTTGGCAGCTCTTTGTTAGATACTATTTTTTTTTTCTCTCAGATTTCACTGATCTGTGAAGTCTAGAGCTTGGAAACTATTGCTTTCAGGGGAACTTGGTGATGGGAGCAGCAGCTCCTCAGCCTTCAGCCTGAAACGGGCTCTAAGTCTTAACCTTCTTTTCACTGTAATCCAGGTCCAACTGCCTGCCAGGTCTTCTCTGCATTTGCCCTCTGATTTTCCTGGACTGCTTCTTCTCTCTTTGTGATGTGCTGGCACTCCCATCTCTGCAGTCCCCACCAGGCAGCTTGTGTGGCTATGAGTCCAGGAACAATTGCCCAGGTTGGAGGGTCCTGAGTCAATGTGGCAGCTGGGAAGGAGGCCACCCTTACAGAGCACTCAGGCCCCTTTCCCATTCCTCCCTGAGCTCCCGCATTTGCTCCTTCAGGGTGGTTTTGAGAGCCGATTTCCCAGGTCTTCATTCTGAAGGTTCTGTTAGCCACTGCTTTCTCTCTTTCATGTTGGGCTTCATGGTTTGAGGTCTCAGTGCTGGCCTAATCAGAAACACTGCATCTTCTTCCAAGAATGAAAGATAACCTGGGGCTGCAGCTACTGCTGCATGTGGGACTCTGGCTGGGCTCCTCAGGGAGCATCCAGAGGGCCAGCTTGTGTATTTTTTTTTTTTTTTTGAGACCGAGTCCCACTCTGTCACCCAGGCTGGAGTGCGGTGGTGTGATCTCGGCTTGCTGTAACCTCCACTTCCTAGGTTCAAGCAATTCTCCTGCCTCAGCCTCCTGAGTAGCTGGGACTACAGGCGCATGCCGCCACGCCTGGCTAATTATTTTTGTATTTTAGTAGAGACAGGGTTCCACCATGTTGCCCAGGCTGGTCCAAACTCCTGAGCTCAGGCAATCCGCCCACCTTGGCCTCCCAAAGTGTTGGGATTACAGGCGTGAGCTACTGCACCCGGCTATAAATTTTGTTGTTGTTGTCACATAGATGAGAGGTTTCCATGTTGTCCAGGCTGGCCTCAAATGCCTAGCCTTGCCTCCTTATGCGCCAGGACAACAGGCCTGAGCCACTGTGGCTCCCGAGCTTGTGTCTTAATCATCTTGGTGTCCCCAGCATCTGTGACAGGCTCTAGCACATAGTAGGTGCTTAGTGACTGGTGAATGAATGAATGATCGAATGGATGATGGCAAGCAGACTCAGCATCTCTGCTAACCCTTAAGTTCTCAGTGATGACCTAACCCAGTAAACTCGCCACAGTGGAACTCCAGCCCCTGCACTGGCCTCTGGGGCCCTCTTTCCCCTCCCACCCTGGGGATGGGGCACAGGCTAGACAGAGGTTCTCCTCCAAGAACCCTGCCAGGCTGGGGCCTGGTAGAGACAACTGGGGACTCTAATGCTCACCCACATCTTCCTCAGACCCTACAGCCCTTCATTTCAGGTTTGTCTTTGTGGGCTGGCACACAGTAGGTGCTCAGTAGCTGTTTGCTGCATTGAATGTGAGTTCATGAAACACACAAAGCTCCCACTTTACGTCATAGATTGCTATGCAGATTAAATGGGAGAATGCCTGTAAAATGCTTAGCACAGGGCCTGGCACTGGTGTCCTGACAGCTCTGTAGCTATATTTATTGGATGAATGAACGGAAGACACTGCTCTGCGTCCCCTTGCTGAAGGTCTGTGTGTCTATTGGCAGCACTCCAGAACTGGCATAGCAGCATGACTCACCTGCCTGGCACCAGCCAACCATAGGCACATGCCCTTGGGGGAGGGAGAAGTGGGATTCCTAGAGATCCAGGGATGCTTGCCCCAGCCAGGGCTCATTCCAAGCTCTTTCCTGACCTCATCCCTTCTTCCCTTGGGGTCTTGACCCTTCCTTCCTCCTCACCCCTCATTCAGTCACACTCCTTTTTTTGAATGGCATCTACCTCCAACCTGATTTATCTCCTCCCCTCCATTCCTGCTAGGGCCAGCCTTTTCCAACAAGTCCTTCTCAGGGCCATCAGAGCTGCTTTCCTAAAATAGGTCAGATGACACCAATCTCCCTCACTCAATAACATTTAGTGGCTCCTCACTGCCCACAGAATAAATATCTTTTACATGGCCCTCTCTGGCTTGTGTCTTTCCAGCCTTAGCCCCTACTACCAGACTTTATCAAGACAGCCACGCTTTCACTCATGGAAACTTCAGCTCCTGCATTTCCTGAGGCTGGAATACCCTCCACCATCCTGGACTCCACTGAGTCCCCTTGAAGGCCCAGCTCAGGTATCCTCCTGTCCACAGAGGAGTCCCCTTTTTTTTTTTTTTGAGACGGAGTCTCCCTCTGTCACCCAGGCTGAAGTGCAGTGGTGCGATCTCGGCTTACTGCAACCTCCGCCTCCCAGGTTCAAGCAATTCTCCTGCCTCAGCCTCCTGAGTAGCTGGGATTACAGGTGCCTGACACCATTCCTGGCTAATTGTATTTTTAGTAGAGACAGGATTTCACCATGTTGGCCAGGTGAGTCTCGAACTCTTGACTTCAAGTGATCTGCCCACCTCGGATCTCAGATCTCAAAATGCTGGGATTACAGGCTTGAGCCACTGCACCTGGCCCTGTCCACAGAGGAGTCCTTGAAGGCCCTCAGAACAATTCATGAGCCCCTTGTGTTCCTCCACTTCTGATTCACACCTCTATTTAGTCATTTCTTCCCTTTGCCTTGTTTCTTAGTTGACTATGAAACCAACAAATGGGCTAAAATGAATCCTGGGTTGGTAAAAAGAAGGCAGGGTCTGACCCTTATTGGTCCACCCATTTCTACAGCTCTGGGCTCTTGGCAGAGCCAACACTAGATGAAGTATTAGTTTAAATAAAGTGAAGAGTAGGGGCCGGGCATGGTGGCTCATACCTGTAATCCCAGTACTTTGGGAGGCCAAGGTGGGTGGATCATCTGAGGCCAGGAGTTTGAGACCAGCCTGACCAACAGAGTGAAACCCCATCTCTACTAAAAATACAAAAATTAGCCAGGCATGGTGGTGCATGCCTGTAATCCCAGCTACTCGGGAGGCTGAGGCAGGAGAATCGCTTGAACCCAGGAGGCGGAGGTTGCAGTGAGTCAAGATCATGCATTGCACTCCAGCCTGGGCAACAGAGGGAGACCCCGTCTCAAAAAAAAAAATGCAGAATAGGACAAGCCAGCACCCCCTGCCACCGCTCCACTTCCTTATCCCAGAGAAAATGCAATTGCCCAGAACACCACACGCCAAAGGACTCCCCAAGGGTGGCCAGCAGGCTGGCAAAATCCATGCTTCATTTCCCAGCATCCCTTCCTCACTCTCTTCTTCACTGGCCAAATACTGGAGTTTCCCCTGCCCCAGCCTCCCACTCAGTCACTGGGGCATCACAGGGCCACACATTCCTGAAAGTCCCAGGCAGCACCCAGCTGTCTGCTTTGTACAGCCCACTGTCTCTCAAGGCCCAGGAGGGTGAGCAGTCTTAGGAAGCCCAGCCCAGCTCCCCATCTCACTGACTTAATTTTGAAGGCTGAAGCCTCAGTCTTCTGCTGCCAGCAATACCCCCTGCCAGTAATACCCTGGGACAGGAATGAGGCCCAACTGGGCCCCTGGGGACATCTGCCCCCCTCCCCACCACAGGTGTAGCAGACAGGATCTCCCTCCCCTTGACAGCAGAACTGGATCTCCTCAGACCCCCTTGGGCACCTCCACCCCTGCTCGCACCTCATTCTCCTCCTCCTGTGCCAGCCGCTGCTCGATGAGCGCTGTGGCCCTCTGCACCGCCTCGGAGTCCTCCATGGTGCCGTCCATAACCGCCTCTGCAGGCCACAGGGCCTCGGGGGCTTTATAGGCCAGAGCACCCACCCCTGCCCAGCTGGGCGCCTTTGCCATGAGCTCACTGGCCCAATTCTCCACCTGCCTCCCCCACCTGTCACCTTCACCTCGGGCAGCCCCAGGGAGCAGGGGGAGCCAGGGCCAGGGAGCAGAGCCAGTTGCCCCCCCAACTCCTGGCCTATTAGAGCCGGAGGGCACTGTGTCCCAAGAGCAGGGGTGCAGGAAGGAGCCCGTCCAGCCTCTGTCCTGAGCACTTGGGACTGGTTGGGCCTTAGCCAAGGCAACTGAGTTGCAAAAGGGAACTGCTGGCTGCATGCTCCAGCCCAGATGACAGTGCCACCTGCTGGATGCCTGGAAACCCTGCTCAGCCAGCTCCAGGAAGAGGGCCTGAAAACCAAACGGGGGACCCAGGACAGTTCTGTACTCCCAGGCTGTCCTGCAGACAGGCCCTGCTGGCTGTGAGGAGGGTCACACTCTACTTGTCCAGGCCAGGGCCGTGGTAGCAGGAAGGGCAGCTGTCTCCCTCTCTGATCACAGCTCACGCTGGCCTTCGGCTCTCCGGGGTCCCACATGCTTCCCCGTTAAGCATCACTGCATTTGGCTGGGTGACTTTTAGTCATGAACAAACCTTATCCAATCTGTCTCCTCTCTTGGTAAGTGCTCAGGGGACCTCTGCAGGGCTTACAGAGTCTTGCTTCAAGAAAGGGGTCTCCGGAAAGCACTAAGCCCAGCTAGCGAGGAACAGCAGCTACTCTGGATCCTTCTACCCTCCCAGGGTTTCCCTGTCAGGCCCAGACAGTGCCAGACTTCCCTGGCCAGGAGGCTGCCCATGCTCACTAAGAAGGAAAAATACTCCCAAGTGGAGCAAAAGCAGATCTGTACTTGCTCAGTTCCACACCTGGAACTCGCATGCTGGAGCTCTGAGTCACTGTGACCCAGGTTAATCTGCTAGGGAACTGCAGACACCCAGCCCTGTGCTTCTGTAAGGCTCACCTGGCTGGTGGCTGCCCTTAGCTAAACAGCCTTATATAAGATTCCCTTCTCTTCAGATATGCATGCATTCCCCTAGGAAGCATGAGGAACCGGTTCCTTTTCCTTTCTGGTTCCCTTGCTGGGAAGCTGACACAAACCTCTGACACACGATCTAAATCTGTCAGAGATTTTGCTTTAACATCACGATGGCTACAGCGTCTCCAGGGCCGGAAGTTAGCCCCTCTTGCTGCAGGAGCAGACCACCTTCCTGAGGTGCTGTCTTCGCCTTGCAAGCACTTTCACATCTGTCTTCCTGCTTAATCCTCCCAGCAACTGATGGAGGAGGCAGGGCAGGCAGCATGGCTCTGCTTTAAAGAAAAGCAAAGAGTGGCTTTTCCTGAGGACTCATGAGGACACCAGGGGAGCTGGGATCAGGGCCCAGAAGACTGGCAGTTCCAGGCTCACTCTGCTGGAGATTGCATGCCCAGAGCAGCTGGGGAGGCCAGGCATCCACCTGTTCCCATACCAGAACAGCTCCAGGGGCCCCACAGAGCTGCAGGAGAATTCAGTCAAATGCCAGGCAAGCGAGAAGGAGCAAAAGGCTTTATTGATAAATATGCAGATATGTCTGTCCACAGGGACCTGCTGTGGAGGCCATGACCAGGCTGCAGACCTCCCACTGCCTGGGTTACAGCCAGGACATGGCCCTGTGCAGACCCTGCCACGACAGCCCAGCTGTCCACCACCCGCCTCATCTCTGCCAATTGTGCTGGGGGCAGGGAGAGGCAGAGGCCCGCCTCAGGCTTCCCAAGCCCTGGGGCTCACGGGTGGTTCCCTCCCTTCCAAGGGAGTGGCACTGTGCCCAGGGGAGAGCCAGGGGATGGGGGCAGAGGAGGGAGACAGCAGCTGCTTCAGACCCTGAGCAGAAAACCAGAGTGAGCACAGCTGGCAGCACCAGATGACAGATCTGGGCTCCAGGGGCCTCCTGGTTGGCCCTTGTGGCTCGAACCTGCTTCGGGAGACAGGCAGGGTGAGGGCCCTGTTCGCCTTTTCTCTGACAAGGTTGCAAGGCCCGTGTGTGGCTGCCTGCTCCCTGGGTACCGGGAACTGGTGGCGCGTAGTGCCCTGAAAGGCAGGGTCCCTTCACGGCTCACCCACCAGCCACACCGAGGGGAGGGCCCCTGAAGAAAATGACAGCACTGGAAGGCAGCAGCAGGGTGGGGGCCTAGTGCTCCAGGCGGGGCCTCTTCCCAGGGGTCCGTGGGCCCATCAGTCCTGGGGTGGTGGGGGCTGGTTGATGATGACCTGGATGACAAAATCTTTCTGGATCTTGGTCTCCTGGAGCCGTGTGCGGTCTGTGAGCAGCTTCCCGGAGAAGAACCACCGCTGCCACGATGGCTCGATGCCCTCCTGGGCGTGCAGCTGCCTCTTGAGCTGCCCCACTGTGTCGGGCAGGCTGGCGCTGAGCCTCACGTCCTTGCCCGTGGACAGGCGCACCTTCAGCGGGAACTCACGGCGCACGCTGGGTGGAGGCTCGGGGGGCTCCAGGCTCTCCTCCTCCGTGTGCTCCAGCAGCAGGTTCACCGGCGGTGACAGGCAGTAGATGGGCAGCTGGTAGCGATTGCCCAGCTCATCGTAGCATTCACAGAGGGTGCCTGTAGGAGAGGCAGGGCTGTCAGAGTCAGCTTGGGGATCCACTATCATGGATTAAATGTTTGGGTCCCCCCAAATTCATATGGTGAAACTCTAACCCCCAATGTGACTGTATTTGGACATGGGGCCTATACAGAAATAAATAAAGTTAAATGAGGTCATAGCGTGGGGCCCTGACCTTCTGACCCCTTGATGGGAAAAATGGTCCTTTTTTTTTTTTTCTTTTGAGACAAGATCTCCCTATGTTGCCTAGGCTAGTCTCGAACTCCTGGGCTCATGCAATCCTCCCACCTCAGCCTCCCGAGCAGCTGAGACTACAGGTGTGCTCCACTGCCCTGGCTTACAGTTCTTGTAGAGACACTAGAGCACTATCTCACTCTCCACTCGCTCCCCATGTGAGGACACAGCAAGAAGACGGACACCTGCAAGCCAGCAACAGAGTCCTCACCAAAACCTGAACCAGCCAGCACCATGATGCCGGATTTCCCAGCCTCCAGAACTGTGGAAAATAAATGTCTCTTGATTAAGTCACCCAGCATGTGGTATTTTGTTACAGGAGCCTGAGCAGACTAATACACCTGCCATGGCCACCCCACAGTCAGATCTCCCTAGGACAGCCTGATGACCAGGTGTACAGGGCTGGAGTCAGGAAGACCTGAGCTGGCATCCCAGCTCCACCAGGTACTGGCTTGTTCATCCTGGCATATTATTTTTCACTTCTTCACATGTGCCAGGTGCTGGGGTTACAGGGATGAATGAAATAGCACAGCTCTGCTCTCCATGGGCCTTAGTGTCCTTACTGGCAAAACGTAATGCATGGAGAAATATGTTTATTGTCTCTTGAGCACCTACTAAGTGCTGGGACTGGACTAAATGATGTTATGTGTATCTTACTGAATCCTAATAATCATCTCCCCTTTACAGTCGTAAGGCAGTCAGGCTCTAAATTCGAGAAGCTCCTTGCTAAAGCCAAGACAGTTAGGAAAGGGAAACATTCAGACTGAAACCCAGGTCTGTGGCCAGGCGCAGTGGCTCACGCCTGTAATCCCAGCACTTCGGGAGGCCAAGGCGGGCGGATCACCTGCAGTTGGAAGTTTGAGACCAGCCTGACCAACATGGAGAAACCCTGTCTCTACTAAAAATACAAAATTAGCTGGGCGTGATGGCGCATGCCTGTAATCCCAGCTACTCAGGAGGCTGAGACAGGAGAATCACTTGAACCCAGGCGGCGCAGGTTGCGGTGAGCCGAGATCGCTCCACTGCATTCCAGCCTGGGCAACAAGAGGGAAACTCCGTCTCAAAAAAAAAGAAACTCAAGTCTGTGATTCTAGGGCTCCACTGTCACCCTCTGCTTTACATGGCCCCATAAGACTGCTATGAACTTACGTGAGCTAATGCAGTGGAAGTTTCTAGTTCGGTGTCCAGCACATAACAACCCAATAAAAGGTCAGTGCCTTTGGGAGGCTGAGGCCAGTGGATCACTGGAGCTTAGGAGTTTGAGACCAGCCTGGCCAACATGGTGAAACCCCGTCTCTACTAAAAATACGAAAATTAGCCAGGCATGGTGGCACATGCCTGTAATCCCAGCTACTCAGGAGGCTGAGGCAGGAGAATTGCTTGAACTCAGGAGGTGAAGGATGCAGTGAACCGAGATCCCACCACTGAGCCTCAGCCTAGCCAACAGAGCAAGTAAGACTCCATCTCAAAAAAAAAAATAAAATAAAAAGGTCAGTGCCTTGGATGTTCTGGGGTCCCAAAGTGCATTTGTGACACTGCTTTGCAGGTTTGTTGTCTTTCTGTCATGTCATTAGGCAAGCATAGACTGTGTCTCTTTTTCTTTGTGTACCCACTCCTGGTCCATGCTCAGTAAGGGGTGCTTGAATGAATGAATACGTGAGTAACCACCTGCCCCACCGCTCCACACTCCTCAACACCCTCAAACTGTGCTGGTGACCCCCTAGCTCCAGCGGGGATAAAGCCCTGGCCCTGCCCACTTACCATGAGGCAGGGTGATGCTGGCTCCATCCAGGATGGCCTGGGCCAGCTCGTGGTCGTTGGCTTCAGCAGCATAGGCGGCAGCCTTGAGGGCATCCCAGATCTCCTTGCGGCCCTCGAAGGCAGGCGCTGTGTCCCAGAACTCATCCCGTTTGCTCCGCAGCTGCCCGTCAGTCATGGGGTAGTCGCTCTTCCACTTAAGCCGCTCTTTCTTCAGGGGCTCATTGCGTCCTGGGCAGGACAGAAGGAGAGGCTCAGCATCTCTAAAGCCACTTGAGCTGCAACCTGCCCTCCCCCTCCCCTCCCCTCCCCAGGCCAGACCCTGAAACCCTGCTGCACTGGCTACTAAGTATTCAGGTCTTTGAAGCCCTTCCTAAATAGCAGGGAAGAGTCAGAAAACTTCACATAACCAACCTAGGGACATAAAATAATTGTGTCAGCAAAGCATACGCTACCATTGTTTTTGTTTTTTGTTTTTTGTTTTTGAGATGGAGTTTCACTCTTGTTGCCCAGGCTGGAGTGCAATGGCATGACCTCGGCTCACTGCAACCTCCGCCTCCCGGGTTCAAGCGACTCTCCTGCCTCAGCCTCCCGAGTAGCTGGGATTACAGGCGCCCACCACCACGCCTGATTAATTTTTGTATTTTTAGTAGAGATGGGGTTTCACCATGTTAGTCAGGCTGGTCTCAAACTCCTGACCTCGTGATCCACCCGCCTCAGCCTCCCGAAGTACTGGGATTACAGGCGTGAGCCACCGCACCCTTCCCACATGATGTGGGGCAGGGCGCGGTGGCTCACGCCTGTAAT